>NC_000005.10:47961236-48287263 GCF_000001405.40 Homo sapiens
CTTCCTTGTGTTGTGTGTATTCAACTCACAGAGTTGAACGATCCTTTACACAGAGCAGACTTGTAACACTCTTTTTGTGGAATTTGCAAGTGGAGATTTCAGCCGCTTTGAAGTCAAAGATAGAAAAGGAAATATCTTCCTATAAAAACTAGACAGAATGATTCTCAGAAACTCCTTTGTGATGTGTGCGTTCAACTCACAGAGTTTAACCTTACTTTTCATAGAGCAGTTAGGAAACACTGTGTTTGTAAAGTCTGCAAGTGGATATTCAGACCTCCTTGAGGCCTTCGTTGGAAACGGGATTTCTTCATATTATGCTAGACAGAAGAATTCCCAGTAACTTCCTTGTGTTGTGTGTGTTCAACTCACAGAGTTGAACTTTCATTTACACAGAGCAGATTTGAAACACTCTTTTTGTGGAATTTGCAATTGGAGATTTCAAGCGCTTTGAGGCCAAAGGCAGAAAAGGAAATATCTTCGTATAAAAACTAGACAGAATCATTCTCAGAAACTGCTCTGTGATGTGTCCGTTCAACTCTCAGAGTTTAACTTTTCTTTTCATTCAGCAGTTTGGAAACACTCTGTTTGTAAAGTCTGCACGTGGATAATTTGACCACTTAGAGGCCTTCGTTGGAAACGGGTTTTTTTCATGTAAGGCTAGACAGAAGAATTCCCGGTAACTTCCTTGTGTTGTGTGCATTCAACTCACAGAGTTGAACGTTCCCTTAGTCAGAGCAGATTTGAAACATTCTTTTTGTGCAATTTGCAAGTGGAGAATTCAAGCGCTTTAAGGTCAATGGCAGAAAAGGAAATATCTTAGTTTCAAAACTAGACACAATCATTCCCACAAACTGCGTTGTGATGTGTTCGTTCAACTCACAGAGTTTAACCTTTCTGTTCTTAGAGCAGTTAGGAAACACTCTGTTTGTAAAGTCTGTAAGTGGATATTCTGACATCTTGTGGCCTTCGTTGGAAACGGGATTTCTTCATATTCTGCTAGACAGAAGAATTCTCAGTAACTTCCTTGTGTTGTGTGTATTCAACTCACAGAGTTGAACGATCCTTTACACAGAGCAGACTTGAAACACTCTTTTTGTGGAATTTGCAAGTGGAGATTTCAGCCGCTTTGAGGTCAATGGTAGAAAAGGAAACATCTTCGTATAAAGACTAGACAGAATGATTATCAGAAACTCCTTTGTGATGTGTGCGTTCAACTCACAGAGTTTAACCTTTCTTTTCATAGAGCAGTTAGGAAACACTCTGTTTGTAAAGTCTGCAAGTGGATATTCAGACCTCTTTGAGGCCTTCGTTGGAAACGGGATTTCTTCATATTCTGCTAGACAGAAGAATTCTCAGAGTCTTCCTTGTGTTGTGTGTATTCAACTCACAGAGTTGAACGATCCTTTACACAGAGGAGACTTGAAACACTCTTTTTGTGGAATTTGCAAGTGGAGATTTCAGCCGCTTTGAGGTCCATGGTAGAAAAGGAAATATCTTCGTATAAAAACTAGACAGAATGATTCTTAGAAACTCCTTTGTGATGTGTGCGTTCAACTCACAGAGTTTAACCTTTCTTTTCATAGAGCAGTTAGGAAACACTCTGTTTGTAAAGTCTGCAAGTGGATATTCAGACCTCTTTGAGGCCTTCGTTGGAAACGGGTTTTTTTCATATAAGGCTAGACAGAAGAATTCCCAGTAACTTCCCTTGTGTTGTGTGCATTCAACTCACAGAGTTGAACATTCCCTTAGACAGAGCAGATTTGAAACACTCTATTTGTGCAATTTGCAAGTGTAGATTTCAAGCGCTTTAAGGTCAACGGCAGAAAAGGAAATATCTTCGTTTCAAAACCAGACAGAATCATTCCCACAAACTGCGTTGTGATGTGTACGTTCAACTCACAGAGTTTAACCTTTCTGTTCATAGAGCAGTTAGGAAACACTCTGTTTGTAAAGTCTGTAAGTGGATATTCTGACATCTTGTGGCCTTCGTTGGAAACGGGATTTCTTCATATTCTGCTAGACAGAAGAATTCTCAGTAACTTCCTTGTGTTGTGTGTATTCAACTCACAGAGTTGAACGATCCTTTACACAGAGCAGACTTGAAACACTCTTTTTGTGGAATTTGCAAGTGGAGATTTCAGCCGCTTTGAGGTCAATAGTAGAAAAGGAAATATCTTCGTAGATAAACTAGACAGAATGATTCTCAGAAACTCCTTTGTGATGTGTGCGTTCAACTCACAGAGTTTAACCTTTCTTTTCATAGAGCAGTTAGGAAACACTCTGTTTGTAAAGTCTGCAAGTGGATATTCAGACCTCTTTGAGGCCTTCGTTGGAAACGGGTTTTTTTCATATAAGGCTAGACAGAAGGATTCCCAGTAACTTCCCTTGTGTTGTGTGTGTTCAACTCACAGAGTTGAACTTTCATTTACAAAGAGCAGATTTGAAACACTCTTTTTGTGGAATTTGCAAGTGGAGATTTCAAGCGCTTTGAGGCCAAAGGCAGAAAAGGAAATATCTTCGTATAAAAACTAGACAGAATCATTCTCAGAAACTGCTGCGTGATGTGTGCGTTCAACTCTCAGAGTTTAACTTTTCTTTTCATTCAGCGGTTTGGTAATACTGTGTTTGTAAAGTCTGCACGTGGATATTTTGACCACTTAGAGGCCTTCGTTGGAAACGGGTTTTTTTCATGTAAGGCTAGACAGAAGAATTCCCAGTAACTTCCTTGTGTTCTGTGCATTCAACTCACAGAGTTGAACGTTCCCTTAGACAGAGCAGATTTGAAACACTCTATTTGTGCAATTTGCAAGTGTAGATTTCAAGCGCTTTAAGGTCAATGGCAGAAAAGGAAATATCTTCGTTTCAAAACTAGACAGAATCATTCCCACAAACTGCGTTGTGATGTGTTCGGTTCAACTCACAGAGTTTAACCTTTCTTTTCATAGAGCAGTTAGGAAACAGTCTGTTTGTCAATTCTGTAAGTGGATATTCTGACATCTTGTGGCCTTCGTTGGAAACGGGATTTCTTCATATTCTCCTAGACAGAAGAATTCTCAGTAACTTCCTTGTGTTGTGTGTATTCAACTCACAGAGTTGAACGATCCTTTACACAGAGCAGACTTGAAACACTCTTTTTGTGAAATTTGCAAGTGGAGATTTCAGCCGATTTGTGGTCAATGGTAGAATAGGAAATATCTTCCTATAGAAACTAGACAGAATGATTCTCAGAAACTTCTTTGTGATGTGTGCGTTCAACTCACAGAGTTTAACCTTTCTTTTCATAGAGCAGTTAGGAAACACTCTGTTTGTAAACTCTGCAAGTGGATATTCAGACCTCTTTGAGGCCTTCGTTGGAAACCGGATTTCTTCATACTGTGCTAGACAGAAGAATTCTCAGTAACTTCCTTGTGTTGTGTGTATTCAACTCACAGAGTTGAACGATCCTTTACACAGAGCAGACTTGTAACACTCTTTTTGTGGAATTTGCAAGTGGAGATTTCAGCCGCTTTGAGGTCAATGGTAGAAAAGGAAATATCTTCCTATAAAAACTAGACAGAATCATTCTCAGAAACTGCTCTGCGATGTGTGCGTTCAACTCTCAGAGTTTAACTTTGCTTTTCATTCAGCAGTTTGGAAACACTCTGTTTGTAAAGTCTGCACGTGGATAATTTGACCACTTAGAGGCCTTCGTTGGAAACGGGTTTTTTTCATGTAAGGCTAGACAGAAGAATTCCCAGTAACTTCCTTGTGTTGTGTGCATTCAACTCACAGAGTTGAACGTTCCCTTAGACAGAGCAGATTTGAAAAACTCTATTTGTGCAATTTGCAAGTGTAGATTTCAAGCGCTTTAAGGTCAACGGCAGAAAAGGAAATATCTTCGTTTCAAAACTAGACAGAATGATTCTCAGAAACTCCTTTGTGATGTGTGCGTTCAACTCACAGAGTTTAACTTTTCTTTTCATAGACCAGTTAGGAAACACTCTGTTTGTAAAGTCTGCAAGTGGATATTCAGACCTCTTTGAGGCCTTCGTTGGAAACGGGATTTCTTCATATTATGCTAGACAGAATAATTCTCAGTAACTTCCTTGTGTTGTGTGTATTCAACTGACAGAGTTGAACGATCCTTTACACAGAGCAGACTTGAAACACTCTTTTTGTGGAATTTGCAAGTGGAGATTTCAGCCGCTTTGAGGTCAATAGTAGAAAAGGAAATATCTTCGTAGAAAAACTAGACAGAATGATTCTCAGAAACTCCTTTGTGATGTGTGCGTTCAACTCACAGAGTTTAACCTTTCTTTTCATAGAGCAGTTAGGAAACACTCTGTTTGTAAAGTCTGCAAGTGGATATTCAGACTTCCTTGAGGCCTTCGTTGGAAACAGGATTTCTTCATATTTCTGCTAGACAGAAGAATTCCCAGTAACTTCCCTTGTGTTGTGTGTGTTCAACTCACAGAGTTGAACTTTCATTTACACAGAGCAGATTTCAAACACTCTTTTTGTGGAATTTGCAAGTGGAGATTTCAAGCGCTTTGAGGCCAAAGGCAGAAAAGGAAATATCTTCGTATAAAAACTAGACAGAATCATTCTCAGAAACTGCTCTGTGATGTGTGCGTTCAACTCTCAGAGTTTAACTTTTCTTTTCATTCAGCAGTTTGGAAACACTCTGTTTGTAAAGTCTGCACGTGGATAATTTGACCACTTAGAGGCCTTCATTGGAAAAGGGTTTTTTTCATGTAAGGCTAGACAGAAGAATTCTCAGTAACTTCCTTGTGTTGTGTGTATTCAACTCACAGAGTTGAACGTTCCCTTAGACAGAGCAGATTTGAAACACTCTATTTGTGCAATTTGCAAGTGTAGTTTTCAAGCTCTTTAAGGTCAACGGCAGAAAAGGAAATATCTTCGTTTCAAAACTAGACAGAATCATTCCCACAAACTGCGTTGTGATGTGTTCGTTCAACTCACAGAGTTTAACCTTTCTGTTCACAGAGCAGTTAGGAAACACTCTGTTTGTAAAGTCTGTAAGTGGATATTCTGACATCTTGTGGCCTTCGTTGGAAACGGGATTTCTTCATATTCTGCTAGACAGAAGAATTCTCAGAAACTTCGTTGTGTTGTGTGTTTTCAACTCACAGAGTTCAACGATCCTTTACACAGAGTATACTTGAAACACTCTTTTTGTGGAATTGGCAGGGTGGAGATTTCAGCCGCTTTGAGGTCAATGGTAGAAAAGGAAATATCTTCGTATAAAAACTAGACAGAGTGATTCTCAGAAACTCCTTTGTGATGTCTGCGTTCAACTCACAGAGTTTAAACTTTCTTTTCATAGAGCAGTTAGGAAACACTCTGTTTGTAAAGTCTGCAAGTGGATATTCAGACCTCCTTGAGGCCTTCGTTGGAAACGGGATTTCTTCATATTCTGCTATACAGAAGAATTCCCAGTAACTTCCTTGTGTTGTGTGTGTTCAACTCACAGAGTTGAACTTTCATTTAGACAGAGCAGATTTGAAGCACTCTTTTTGTGGAATTTGCAAGTAGAGATTTCAAGCGCTTTGAGGCCAAAGGCAGAAAAGGTAATATCTTCGTTTCAAAACTAGCCAGAATCATTCTCAGAAACTGCTCTGCGATGTGTGCGTTCAACTCTCAGAGTTTGACTTTTCTTTTCATTCAGCAGTTTGGAAACACTCTGTTTGTAAAGTCTGCACGTGGATAATTTGACCACTTAGAGGCCTTCATTGGAAACGGGTTTTTTTCATGTAAGGCTAGACAGAAGAATTCCCAGTAACTTACCTTGTGTTGTGTACATTCAACTCACAGAGTTGAACGTTCCCTTAGACAGAGCAGATTTGAAACACTCTTTTTGTGCAATTGGCAAGTGGAGATTTCAAGCGCTTTAAGGTCAATGGCAGAAAAGGAAATATCTTCGTTTCAAAACTAGACAGAATCATTCCCACAAACTGCGTTGTGATGTGTTCGTTCAACTCACAGAGTTTAACCTTTCTTTTCCTAGAGCAGTTAGGAAACAGTCTGTTTGTCAATTCTGTAAGTGGATATTCTGACATCTTGTGGCCTTCGTTGGAAACGGGATTTCTTCATATTCTGCTAGACAGAAGAATTCTCAGTAACTTCATAGTGTTGTGTGTATTCAACTCACAGATTTCAACGATCCTTTACAAAGAGCAGACTTGAAACACTCTTTTTGTGGAATTTGCAAGTGGAGATTTCAGCCGCTTTGAGGTCAATGGTAGAATAGGAAATATCTTCCTATAGAAACTAGACAGAATGATTCTCAGAAACTTCTTTGTGATGTGTGCGTTCAACTCACAGAGTTTAACCTTTCTTTTCATAGAGCAGTTGGGAAACACTCTGTTTTTAAAGTCTGCAAGTGGATATTCAGACCTCTTTGAGGCCTTCGTTGGAAACGGGTTTTTTTCATGTAAGGCTAGACAGAAGAATTCTCAGTAACTTCCTTGTGTTGTGTGTATTCAACTGACAGAGTTGAACTTTCATTTAGAGAGAGCAGATTTGAAACACTGTTTTTGTGGAATTTGCAAGTGGAGATTTCAAGCGCTTTGGGGCCAAGGGCAGAAAAGGAAATATCTTCGTATAAAAACTAGACAGAATCATTCTCAGAAACTGCTGCGTGATGTGTGCGTTCAACTCTCAGAGTTTAACTTTTCTTTTCATTCAGCGGTTTCGAAACACTCTGTTTGTAAAGTCTGCACGTGGATATTTTGACCACTTAGAGGCCTTCGTTGGAAACGGGTTTTTTTCATGTAAGGCTAGACAGAAGAATTCTCAGTAACTTCCTTGTGTTGTGTGTATTCAACTCACAGAGTTGAACGATCCTTTACACAGAGCAGACTTGAAACATTCTTTTTGTGGAATTTGCAAGTGGAGATTTCAACCGCTTTGAGGTCAATGGTAGAATAGGAAATATCTTCCTATAGAAACTAGACAGAACGATTCTCAGAAACTCCTTTCTGATGTGTGCGTTCAACTCACAGAGTTTAACCTTTCTTTTCATAGAGCAGTTAGGAAACACTCTGTTTGTAAAGTCTGCAAGTGGATATTCAGACCTCTTTGAGGCCTTCGTTGGAAACGGGATTTCTTCATATTCTGCTAGACAGAAGAATTCTCAGTAACTTCCTTGTGTTGTGTGTATTCAACTCACAGAGTTGCACGACCCTTTACACAGAGCAGACTTGAAACACTCTTTTTGTGGAATTTGCAAGTGGAGATTTCAGCCGCTTTGAGGTCAATAGTAGAAAAGGAAATATCTTCGTAGAAAAACTACACAGAATGATTCTCAGAAAATCTTTTGTGATGTGTGCGTTCAACACACAGAGTTTAACTTTTCTTCTCATAGAGCAGTTAGGAAACACTCTGTTTGTAAAGTCTGCAAGTGGATATTCAGACCTCTTTGAGGCCTTCGTTGGAAACGGGATTTCTTCATATTATGCTAGACAGAAGAATTCTCAGGAACTTCCTTGTGTTGTGTGTATTCAACTGACAGAGTTGAACTTTCATTTAGAGAGAGCAGATTTGAAACACTGTTTTTGTGGAATTTGCAAGTGGAGATTCCAAGCGCTTTGGGGCCAAAGCCAGAAAAGGAAATATCTTCGTAGAAAAACTAGACAGAATCATTCTCAGAAACTGCTCTGCGATGTGTGCGTCCAACTCTCAGAGTTTAACTTTTCTTTTCATTCAGCAGTTTGCAAACACTCTGTTTGTAAAGTCTGCACGTGGATATTTTGACCACTTAGAGGCCTTCGTTGGAAACGGGATTTCTTCATACTATGCTAGACAGAAGAATTCTCAGTAACTTCCTTGTGTTGTGTGTATTCAACTCACAGAGTTGAACGATCCTTTACAAAGAGCAGACTTGTAACACTCTTTTTGTGGAATTTGCAAGTGGAGATTTCAGCCGCTTTGAAGTCAAAGATAGAAAAGGAAATATCTTCCTATAAAAACTAGACAGAATGATTCTCAGAAACTCCTTTGTGATGTGTGCGTTCAACTCACAGAGTTTAACCTTCCTTTTCATAGAGCAGTTAGGAAACACTCTGTTTGTAAAGTCTGCAAGTGGATATTCAGACCTCCTTGAGGCCTTCGTTGGAAACGGGATTTCTTCATATTATGCTAGACAGAAGAATTCTCAGTAACTTCCTTGTGTTGTGTGTATTCAACTCACAGAGTTGAACGATCCTTTACACAGAGCGGACTTGAAACACTCGTTTTGTGGAATTTGCAAGTGGAGATTTCAGCCGTGTTGAGGTAAATGGTAGAAAAGGAAATATCTTCGTATAAAAACTAGACAGAATGATTCTCAGAAACTCCTTTGTGATGTGTTCGTTCAACTCACAGAGTTCAACCTTTCTTTTCATAGAGCAGTTGGGAAACACTCTGTTTGTAAAGTCTGCAAGTGGATATTCAGACTTCTTTGAGGCCTTCGTTGGAAGCGGGATTTCTTCATATTCTGCTAGACAGAAGAATTCCCAGTAACTTCCTTGTGTTGTGTGTGTTCAACTCACAGAGTTGAACTTTCATTTACACAGAGCAGATTTGAAACACTCTTTTTGTGGAATTTGCAAATGGAGATTTCAAGCGCTTTGAGGCCAAATGCAGAAAAGGAAATATCTTCGTATAAAAACTAGACAGAATCATTCTCAGAAACTGCTCTGCGATGTGTGCGTTCAACCCTCAGAGTTTAACTTTTCTTTTCATTCAGCAGTTTGGAAACACTCTGTTTGTAAAGTCTGCACGTGGATATTTTGACCACTTAGAGGCCTTCGTTGGAAACGGGTTTTTTTCCTGTAAGGCTAGACAGAAGAATTCCCAGTAACTTCCTTGTGTTGTGTACATTCAACTCACAGAGTTGAACGTTCCCTTAGACAGAGCAGATTTGAAACACTCTTTTTGTGCAATTAGCAAGTGGAGATTTCAAGCGCTTTAAGGTCAATGGCAGAAAAGGAAATATCTTACTTTCAAAACTAGACAGAATCATTCCGACAAACTGCGTTGTGATGTGTTCGTTCAACTCACAGAGTTTAACCTTTCTGTTCATAGAGCAGTTAGGAAACACTCTGTTTGTAAAGTCTGTAAGTGGATATTCTGACATCTTGTGGCCTTCGTTGGAAACGGGATTTCTTCATATTCTGCTGGACAGAAGAATTCTCACTAACTTCCTTGTGTTGTGTGTATTCAACTCACAGAGTTGAACGATCCTTTACACAGAGCAGACTTGAAACACTCTTTTTGTGGAATTTGCAAGTGGAGATTTCAGTCGCTTTGGGGTCAATAGTAGAAAAGGAAATATCTTCGTAGAAAAACTAGACAGAATGATTCTCAGAAACTCCTTTGTGATGTGTGCGTTCAACTCACAGAGTTTAACCTTTCTTTTCATAGAGCAGTTAGGAAACACTCTGTTTGTAAAGTCTGCAAGTGGATATTCAGACCTCCTTGAGGCCTTCGTTGGAAACGGGATTTCTTCATATGATGCTAGACAGAAGAATTCCCAGTAACTTCCTTGTGTTGTGTGTGTTCAACTCACAGAGTAGAACTTTCATTTACACAGAGCAGATTTGAAACACTCTTTTTGTGGAATTTGCAAGTGGAGATTTCAAGCGCTTTGAGGCCAAAGGCAGAAAAGGAAATATCTTCGTATAAAAACTAGACAGAATCATTCTCAGAAACTGCTCTGCGATGTGTGCGTTCAACTCTCAGAGTTTAACTTTTCTTTTCATTCAGCAGTTTGGAAACACTCTGTTTGTAAAGTCTGCACGTGGATATTTTGACCATTTAGAGGCCTTCGTTGGAAACGGGTTTTTTTCTTGTAAGGCTAGACAGAAGATTTCCCAGTAACTTCCTTGTGTTGTGTACATTCAACTCACAGAGTTGAACGTTCCCTTAGACAGAGCAGATTTGAAACACTCTTTTTGTGCAATTGGCAAGTGGAGATTTCAAGCGCTTTAAGGTCAATGGCAGAAAAGGAAATATCTTCGTTTCAAAACTAGACAGAATCATTCCCACAAACTGCGTTGTGATGTGTTCGTTCAACTCACAGAGTTTAACCTTTCTGTTCATAGAGCAGTTAGGAAACACTGTGTTTGTAAAGTCTGTAAGTGGATATTCAGACCTCCTTGAGGCCTTCGTTGGAAACGGGATTTCTTCATATTCTGCTAGACAGAAGAATTCTCACTAACTTCCTTGTGTTGTGTGTATTCAACTCACAGAGTTGAACGATCCTTTACACAGAGCAGACTTGAAACACTCTTTTTGTAGAATTGGCAAGTGGAGATTTCAGCCGCTTTGAGGTCAATGGTAGAAAAGGAAATATCTTCGTATAAAGACTAGACAGAATGATTCTCAGAAACTCCTTTGTGATGTGTGCGTTCAACTCACAGAGTTTAACTTTTCTTTTCATAGAGCAGTTAGGAAACACTCTGTTTGTAAAGTCTGCAAGTGGATATTCAGACCTCTTTGTGGCCTTTGTTGGAAACGGGATTTCTTCATATTATGCTAGACAGAAGAATTCTCAGTAACTTCCTTGTGTTGTGTGTATTCAACTGACAGAGTTGAACTTTCATTTAGAGAGAGCAGATTTGAAACACTGTTTTTGTGGAATTTGCAAATGGAGATTTCAAGCGCTTTGGGGCCAAAGGCAGAAAAGGAAATATCTTCGTATAAAAACTAGAAAGAATCATTCTCAGAAACTGCTCTGCGATGTGTGCGTTCAACTCTCAGAGTTTAACTTTTCTTTTCATTCAGCAGTTTGGAAACACTCTGTTTGTAAAGTCTGCACGTGGATATTTTGACCACTTAGAGGCCTTCGTTGGAAACGAGATTTTTTCCTGTAAGGCTAGACAGAAGAATTCCCAGTAACTTCCTTGTGTTGTGTGCATTCAACTCACAGAGTTGAACCTTCCCTTAGACAGAGCAGATTTGAAACACTCTATTTGTGCAATTTGCAAGTGTAGATTTCAAGCGCTTTAAGGTCAATGGCAGAAAAGGAAATATCTTCGTTTCAAAACTAGACAGAATCATTCCCACAAACTGCGTTGTGATGTGCTCGTTCAACTCACAGAGTTTAACCTTTCTGCTCATAGAGCAGTTAGGAAACACTCTGTTTGTAAAGTCTGTAAGTGGATATTCTGACATCTTGTGGCCTTCGTTGGAAACGGGATTTCGTCATATTCTGCTAGACAGAAGAATTCTCAGTAACTTCCTTGTGTTGTGTGTATTCAACTCACAGAGTTGAACGATCGTTTACACAGAGCAGACTTGTAACACTCTTTTTGTGGAATTTGCAAGTGGAGATTTCAGCCGCTTTGAAGTCAAAGGTAGAAAAGGAAATATCTTCCTATAAAAACTAGACAGAATGATTCTCATGAACTCCTTTGTGATGTGTGCGTTCAACTCACAGAGTTTAACCTTTCTTTTCATAGAGCAGTTAGGAAACACTCTGTTTGTAAAGTCTGCAGGTGGATATTCAGACCTCCTTGAGGCCTTCGTTGGAAACGGGATTTCTTCATATTCTGCTAGACAGAAGAATTCCCAGTAACTTCCCTTGTGTTGTGTGTGTTCAACTCACAGAGTTGAACTTTGATTTACACAGAGCAGATTTGAAACACTCTTTTTGTGGAATTTGCAAGTGGAAATTTCAAGCGCTTTGAGGCCAAAGGCAGAAAAGGAAATATCTTCGTATAAAAACTAGACAGAATCATTCTCAGAAACTGCTCTGCGATGTGTGCGTTCAACTCTCAGAGTTTAACTTTTCTTTTCATTCAGCAGTTTGGAAACACTCTGTTTGTAAAGTCTGCACGTGGATATTTTGACCACTTAGAGGCCTTCGTTGGAAACGGGTTTTTTTCCTGTAAGGCTAGACAGTAGAATTCCCAGTAACTTCCTTGTGTTGTGTACATTCAACTCACAGAGTTGAACGTTCCCTTAGACAGAGCAGATTTGAAACACTCTTTTTGTGCAATTGGCAAATGGAGATTTCAAGGGCTTTAAGGTCAATGGCAGGAAAGGAAATATCTTCGTTTCAAAACTAGACAGAATCATTCCCACAAACTGCGTTGTGACGTGTTCGTTCAACTCACAGAGTTTAACCTTTCTGTTCATAGAGCAGTTAGGAAACACTCTGTTTGTAAAGTCTGCAAGTGGATATTCAGACCTCCTTGAGGCCTTCGTTGGAAACGGGATTTCTTCATATTATGCTAGACAGAGGAATTCTCAGTAACTTCCTTGTGTTCTGTGTATTCAACTGACAGAGTTGAACGATCCTTTACACAGAGCAGACTTGAAACACTCTTTTTGTGGAATTTGCAAGTGGAGATTTCAGCCGCTTTGAGGTCAATGGTAGAAAAGGAAACTATCTTCGTATACAGACTAGACAGAATGTTTCTCAGAAACTGCTTTGTGATGTGTGCGTTCAACTCACAGAGTTCAACCTTTCTTTTCATAGAGCAGTTGGGAAACACTCTGTTTGTAAAGTCTGCAAGTGGATATTCAGACTTCTTTGAGGCCTTCGTTGGAAGCGGGATTTCTTCATATTCTGCTAGACAGAAGAATTCCCAGTAACTTACCTTGTGTTGTGTGTGTTCAACTCACAGAGATGAACTCTCATTTACACAGAGCAGATTTGAAACACTCTTTTTGTGGAATTTGCAAGTGGAGATTTCAAGCGCTTTGAGGCCAAAGGCAGAAAAGGAAATATCTTCGTATAAAAACTAGACAAAATCATTCTCAGAAACTGCTGCGTGATGTGTGCGTTCAACTCTCAGAGTTTAACTTTTCTTTTCATTCAGCGGTTTGGAAACACTCTGTTTGTAAAGTCGGCACGTGGATATTTTGACCACTTAGAGGCCTTCGTTGGAAACGGGTTTTTTTCATGTAAGGCTAGACAGAAGAATTCCCAGTAACTTCCTTGTGTTGTGTGCATTCAACTCACAGAGTTGAACGTTCCCTTAGACAGAGCAGATTTGAAACACTCTATTTGTGCAATTTGCAAGTGTAGATTTCAAGCGATTTAAGGTCAATGGCAGAAAAGGAAATATCTTCGTTTCAAAACTAGACAGATAATCATTCCCACAAACTGCGTTGTGATGTGTTCGTTCAACTCACAGAGTTTAACCTTTCCGTTCATAGAGCAGTTAGGAAACACACTGTTTGTAAAGTCTGTAAGTGGATATTCTGACATCTTGTGGCCTTCGTTGGAAACGGGATTTCTTCATATTCTGCTAGACAGAAAGAATTCTCAGTAACTTCCTTGTGTTGTGTGTATTCAACTCACAGCAGTTGAACGATCCTTTACAGAGAGCAGACTTGAAACACTCTTTTTGTGGAATTTGCAAGTGGAGATTTCAGCCGCTTTGAGGTCAATGGTAGAATAGGAAATATCTTCCTATAGAAACTAGACAGAATGATTCTCAGAAACTCCTTTGTGATGTGTGCGTTCAACTCACAGAGTTCAACCTTTCTTTTCATAGAGCAGTTGGGAAACACTCTATTTGTAAAGTCTGCAAGTGGATATTCAGACTTCTTTGAGGCCTTCGTTGGAAGCGGGATTTCTTCATATTCTGCTTGACAGAAGAATTCCCAGTAACTTCCCTTGTGTTGTGTGTGTTCAACTCACAGAGTTGAACTTTCATTTACACAGAGCAGATTTGAAATACTCTTTTTGTGGAATTTGCAGGTGGAGATTTCAAGCGCTTTGAGGCCAAAGGCAGAAAAGGAAATATCTTCGTATAAAAACTAGACAGAATCATTCTCAGAAACTGCTCTGTGATGTGTGCGTTCAACTCTCAGAGTTTAACTTTTCTTTTCATTCAGCAGTTTGTAAACACTCAGTTTGTAAAGTCTGCACGTGGATATTTTGACCACTCAGAGGCCTTCGTTGGAAACGGGTTTTTTTCATGTAAGGCTAGACAGAAGAATTCCGAGTAACTTCCTTGTCTTGTGTGCATTCAACTCACAGAGTTGAACGTTCCCTTAGACAGAGCAGATTTGAAACACTCTTTTTGTGCAATTTGCAAGTGGAGATTTCAAGCGATTTAGGGTCAATGGCAGAAAAGGAAATATCTTCGTATAAAAACTAGACAGAATCATTCCCACAAACTGCGTTGTGATGTGTTCGTTCAACTCACAGAGTTTAACGTTTCTGTTCATAGAGCAGTTAGGAAACACTCTGTTTGTAAAGTCTGCAAGTGGATATTCAGACCTCCTTGAGGCCTTCGTTGGAAACGGGATTTCTTCATATTCTGCTAGACAGAAGAATTCTCAGTAACTTCTTTGTGTTGTGTGTATTCAACTCACAGAGTTGAACGATCCTTTACACAGAGCAGTCTTGAAACACTCTTTTTGTGGAATTTGCAAGTGGAGATTTCTGCCGCTTTGAGGTCAATGGTAGAATAGGAAATATCTTCCTATAGAAACTAGACAGAATGATTCTCAGAAACTCCTTTGTGATGTGTGCGTTCAACTCACAGAGTTCAACCTTTCTTTTCATAGAGCAGTTGGGAAACACTCTGTTTGTAAAGTCTGCAAGTGGATATTCAGACTTCTTTGAGGCCTTCGTTGGAAGCGGAATTTCTTCATGTTCTGCTAGACAGAAGAATTCTCAGTAACTTCCTTGTGTTGTGTGTATTCAACTCACAGAGTTGAACGATCCTTTACACAGAGCAGACTTGGAACACTCTTTTTGTGGAATTTGCAAGTGGAGATTTCAGCCGCGTTGAGGTCAATGGTAGAAAAGGAAATATCTTCCTATAAAAACTAGACAGAATGATTCTCAGAAACTCCTTTGTGATGTTTGCTTTCAAATCACAGAGTTTAACCTTTCTTTTCATAGAGCAGTTAGGAAACACTCTGGTTGTAAAGTCTGCAAGTGGATATTCAGACCTCTTTGAGGCCTTCGTTGGAAACGGGATTTCTTCATATTCTGCTAGACAGAAGAATTCCCAGTAACTTCCTTGTGTTGTGTGTGTTCAACTCACAGATTTGAACTTTCATTTACACAGAGCAGATTTGAAACACTCTTTTTGTGGAATTTGCAAATGGAGATTTCAAGCGCTTTGAGGCCAAAGGCAGAAAAGGAAATATCTTCGTATAAAAACTAGACAGAATCATTCTCAGAAACTGCTCTGCGATGTGTGCCTTCAACTCACAGAGTTTAACTTTTCTTTTCATTCAGCAGTTTGGAAACACTCTGTTTGTAAAGTCTGCACGTGGATATTTTGACCACTTAGAGGCCTTCGTTGCAAACGGGTTTTTTTCCTGTAAGGCTAGACAGAAGAATTCCCAGTAACTTCCTTGCGTTGTGTACATTCAACTCACGGAGTTGAACGTTCCCTTAGACAGAGCAGATTTGAAACACTCTTTTTGTGCAATTGGCAAGTGGAGATTTCAAGCGCTTTGAGGTCAATGGTAGAAAAGGAAATATCTTCGTTTCAAAACTAGACAGAATCATTCCCACAAACTGCGTTGTGATGTGTTCGTTCAACACACAGACTTTAACCTTTCTTTTCATAGAGCAGTTAGGAAACAGTCTGTTTGTAAATTCTGTAAGTGGATATTCTGACATCTTGTGGCCTTCGTTGGAAACGGGATTTCTTCATATTCTGCTAGACAGAAGAATTCTCAGTAACTTCCTTGTGTTGTGTGTATTCAACTCACAGAGTTGAACGATCCTTTACACAGAGCAGACTTGAAACACTCTTTCTGTGGAATTTGCAAGTGGAGATTTCAACCGCTTTGAGGTCAATAGTAGAAAAGGAAATATCTTCGTAGAAAAACTAGACAGAATGATTCTCAGAAACTCCTTTGTGATGTGTGTGTTCAACTCACAGAGTTTAACCTTTCTTTTCATAGAGCAGTTAGTAAACACTCTGTTTATAAAGTCTGCAAGTGGATATTCCAACCCCTTTGAGGCCTTCGTTGGAAACGGGATTTCTTCATATTATGCTAGACAGAAGAATTCCCAGTAACTTCCTTGTGTTGTGTGTGTTCAACTCACAGAGTTGAACTTTCATTTACACAGAGCAGATTTGAAACACTCTTTTTGTGGAATTTGCTAATGGAGATTTCAAGCGCTTTGAGGCCAAAGGCAGAAAAGGAAATATCTTCGTATAAAAACTAGACAGAATCATTCTCAGAAACTGCTGCGTGATGTGTGTGTTCAACTCTCAGAGTTTAACTTTCCTTTTCATTCAGCGGTTTGGAAACACTCTGTTTGTAAAGTCTGCACGTGGATATTTTGACCACTTAGAGGCCTTCGTTGGAAACGGGTTTTTTTGTATGTAAGGCTAGACAGAAGAATTCCCAGTAACTTCCTTGTGTTGTGCGCATTCAACTCACAGAGTTGAACGTTCCCTTAGACAGAGCAGATTTGAAACACTCTATTTGTGCAATTTGCAAGTGTAGATTTCAAGCGCTTTAAGGTCAAGGGCAGAAAAGGAAATATCTTCGTTTCAAAACTAGACAGAATGATTCTCAGAAACTCCTTTGTGATGTGTGCGTTCAACTCACAGAGTTTAACCTTTCTGTTCATAGAGCAGTTAGGAAACACTCTGTTTGTAAAGTCTGCAAGTGGATATTCAGACCTCCTTGAGGCCTTCGTTGGAAACGGGATTTCTTCATATTCTGCTTGACAGAAGAATTCTCAGTAACTTCCTTGTGTTGTGTTTATTCAACTCACAGAGTTGAATGATCCTTTACACAGAGCAGACTTGAAACACTCTTTTTGTGGAATTTGCAAGTGGAGATTTCAGCCGCTTTGAGGTTAATGGTAGAAAAGTAAATATCTTCGTATAAAGACTAGACAGAATGATTCTCAGAAACTTCTTTGTGATGCGTGCGTTCAACTCACAGAGTTTAACCTTTCTTTTCATAGAGCAGTTAGGAAACACTCTGTTTGTAAACTCTGCAAGTGGATATTCAGACCTCTTTGAGGCCTTCGTTGGAAACGGGATTTCTTCATACTATGCTAGACAGAAGAATTCTCAGTAACTTCTTTGTGTTGTGTGTATTCAACTGACAGAGTTGAACTTTCATTTAGAGAGAGCAGATTTGGAACACTGTTTTTGTGGAATTTGCAAGTGGAGATTTCAAGCGCTTTGGGGCCAAAGGCAGAAAAGGAAATATCTTCGTATAAAAACTAGACAGAATCATTCTCAGAAACCGCTCTGTGATGTGTGCGTTCAACTCGCAGAGTTTAACTTTTCTTTTCATTCAGCAGTTTGGAAACACTCTGTTTGTAAAGTCTGCACGTGGATATTTTGACCACTTAGAGGCCTTCGTTGGAAACGGGTTTTTTTTCATGTAAGGCTAGACGGTAGCATTCCCAGTAACTTCCTTGTGTTGTGTGCATTCAACTCACAGAGATGAATGTTCCCTTAGACAGAGCAGATTTGAAACACTCTATTTGTGCAATTTGCAAGTGTAGATTTCAAGCGCTTTAAGGTCAATGGCAGAAAAGGAAATATCTTCGTTTCAAAACTAGACAGAATCATTCCCACAAACTGCGTTGTGATGTGTTCGTTCAACTCACAGAGTTTAACCTTTCTGTTCATAGAGCAGTTAGGAAACACTCTGTTTGTAAAGTCTGCAAGTGGATATTCAGACCTCCTTGAGGCCTTCGTTGGAAACCGGATTTCTTCATATTCTGCTAGACAGAAGAATTCTCAGTAACTTCCTTGTGTTGTGTGTATTCAACTCACAGAGTTGAACGATGCTTTACACAGAGCAGACTTGAAACACTCTTTTTGTGGAATTTGCAAGTGGAGATTTCAGCCGCTTTGAGGTCAATGGTAGAAAAGGAAATATCTTCGTATAAAGACTAGACAGAATGATTCTCAGAAACTCCTTTGTGATGTGTGTGTTCAACTCACAGAGTTTAACCTTTCTTTTCATAGAGCATTTAGTAAACACTCTGTTTATAAAGTCTGCAAGTGGATATTCAGACCCCTTTGAGGCCTTCGTTGGAAACGGGATTTCTTCATATTATGCTAGACAGAAGAATTCCCAGTAACTTCCTTGTGTTGTGTGTGTTCAACTCACAGAGTTGAACTTTCATTTACACAGAGCAGATTTGAAACACTCTTTTCGTGGAATTTGCAAATGGAGATTTCAAGCGCTTTGAGGCCAAAGGCAGAAAAGGAAATATCTTCGTATAAAAACTAGACAGAATCATTCTCAGAAACTGCTCTGCGATGTGTGCGTTCAACTCTCAGAGTTTAACTTTGCTTTTCATTCAGCAGTTTGGAAACACTCTGTTTGTAAAGTCTGCACGTGGATAATTTGACCACTTAGAGGCCTTCGTTGGAAACGGGTTTTTTTCATGTAAGGCTAGACAGAAGAATTCCCAGTAACTTCCTTGTGTTGTGTGCATTCAACTCACAGAGTTGAACGTTCCCTTAGACAGAGCAGATTTGAAACACTCTGTGCAATTTGCAAGTGTAGATTTCAAGCGCTTTACGGTCAATGGCAGAAAAGGAAATATCTTCGTTTCAAAACTAGACAGAATCATTCCCACAAACTGCGTTGTGATGTGTTCGTTCAACTCACAGAGTTTAACCTTTCTTTTCATAGAGCAGTTAGGAAACAATCTGTTTGTAAATTCTGTAAGTGGATATTCTGACATCTTGTGGCCTTCGTTGGAAACGGGATTTCTTCATATTCTGCTAGACAGAAGAATTCTCAGTAACTTCCTTGTGTTGTGTGTATTCAACTCACAGAGTTGAACGATCCTTTACACAGAGCAGACTTGTAACACTCTTTTTGTGGAATTTGCAAGTGGAGATTTCACCCGCTTTGAAGTCAAAGGTAGAAAAGGAAATATCTTCCTATAAAAACTAGACAGAATGATTCTCAGAAACTCCTTTGTGATGTGTGCGTTCAACTCACAGTGTTTAACCTTTCTTTTCATAGAGCAGTTAGGAAACACTCTGTTTGTAAAGTCTGCAAGTGGATATTCAGACCTCCTTGAGGCCTTCGTTGGAAACGGGATTTTTTCATATAAGGCTAGACAGAAGAATTCCCAGTAACTTCCTTGTGTTGTGTGTGTTCAACTCACAGAGTTGAACTTTCATTTACGCAGAGCAGATTTGAAACACTCTTTTTGTGGAATTTGCAAGTGGAGATTTCAAGCGCTTTGAGGCCAAAGGCAGAAAAGGAAATATCTTCGTTTCAAAACTAGACAGAATGATTCTCAGAAACTCCTTTGTGATGTGTGCGTTCAACTCACAGAGTTTAACTTTTCTTTTCATTCAGCGGTTTGGAAACACTCTGTTTGTAAAGTCTGCACGTGGATATTCAGACCTCTTTGAGGCCTTCGTTGGAAACGGGTTTTTTTCATGTAAGGCTAGACAGAAGAATTCCCAGTAACTTCCTTGTGTTGTGTACATTCAACTCACAGAGTTGAACGTTCCCTTAGACAGAGCAGATTTGAAACACTCTTTTTGTGCAATTGGCAAGTGGTGATTTCAGCCGCTTTGAGGTCAATGGTAGAAAAGGAAATATCTTCGTATAAAAACTAGACAGAATCATTCCCACAAACTGCGTTGTGATGTGTTCGTTCAACTCACAGCAGTTTAACCTTTCTGTTCATAGAGCAGTTAGGAAACACTCTGTTTGTAAAGTCTGTAAGTGGATATTCTGACATCTTGTGGCCTTCGTTGGAAACGGGATTTCTTCATATTCTGCTAGACAGAATACTTCTCAGTAACTTCCTTGTGTTGTGTGTATTCAACTCACAGAGTTGAACGATCCTTTACAGAGAGCAGACTTGAAACACTCTTTTTGTGGAATTTGCAAGTGGAGATTTCAGCCGCTTTGAGCTCAATGGTAGAATAGGAAATATCTTCCTATAGAAACTAGACAGAATGATTCTCAGAAACTCCTTTGTGATGTGTGCGTTCAACTCACAGAGTTTAACCTTTCTTTTCATAGAGCAGTTAGGAAACACTCTGTTTGTAAAGTCTGCAAGTGGATATTCAGACATCTTTGAGGCGTTCGTTGGAAACGGGATTTCTTCATGTTCTGCTAGACAGAAGAATTCCCAGTAACTTCCTTGTGTTGTGTGTGTTCAACTCACAGAGTTGAACTTTCATTTACCCAGAGCAGATTTGAAACACTCTTTTTGTGGAATTTGCAAGTGGAGATTTCAAGCGATTTGAGGCCAAAGGCAGAAAAGGAAATATCTTCGTTTCAAAACTAGACAGAATCATTCTCCGAAGCTGCTGCGTGATGTGTGCGTTCAACTCTCAGAGTTTAACTTTTCTTTTCATTCAGCGGTTTGGAAACACTCTGTTTGTGAAGTCTGCACGTGGATATTTTGACCACTTAGAGGCCTTCGTTGGAAACGGGTTTTTTGCATGTAAGGCTAGACAGAAGAATTCCCAGTAACTTCCTTGTGTTGTGTACATTCAACTCACAGAGTTGAACGTTCCCTTAGACAGAGCAGATTTGAAACACTCTTTGTGCAATTGGCAAGTGGAGATTTCAAGCGCTTTAAGGTCAATGGCAGAAAAGGAAATATCTTCGTTTCAAAACTAGACAGAATGATTCTCAGAAACTCTTTTGTGATGTGTGCGTTCAACTCACAGAGTTTAACCTTTCTTTTCATAGAGCAGTTAGGAAACACTCTGTTTGTAAAGTCTGCAAGTGGATATTCAGACATCCTTGAGGCTTTCGTTGGAAACGGGATTTCTTCATATTATGCTAGACAGAAGAATTCTCAGTAACTTCCTTGTGTTGTGTGTATTCAACTCACAGAGTTGAACGATCCTTTACACAGAGCAGACTTGAAACACTCCTTTTGTGGAATTTGCAAGTGGAGATTTCAGCCGCTTTGAGGTCAATGGTAGAATAGGAAATATCTTCCTATAGAAACTAGACAGAATGATTCTCATAAACTCCTTTGTGATGTGTGAGTTCAAATCACAGAGTTTAACTTTTCTTTTCATAGAGCAGTTAGGAAACACTCTGTTTCTAAAGTCTGCAAGTGGATATTCAGATCTCTTTGAGGCCTTCGTTGGAAACGGGATTTCTTCATATTATGCTAGACAGAAGAATTCTCAGGAACTTCCTTGTGTTGTGTGTATTCAACTCACAGAGTTGAACTTTCATTTACACAGAGCAGATTTGAAACACTCTTTTTGTGGAATTTGCAAATGGAGATTTCAAGCGCTTTGAGGCCAAAGGCAGAAAAGGAAATATCTTCGTATAAAAACTAGACAGAATCATTCTCAGAAACTGCTGCGTGATGTGTGCGTTCAACTCTCAGAGTTTAACTTTTCTTTTCATTCAGCGGTTTGGAAACACTCTGTTTGTAAAGTCTGCACGTGGATATTTTGACCAGTTAGAGGCCTTCGTTGGAAACGGGTTTTTTTCATGTAAGGCTAGACAGAAGAATTCTCAGTAACTTCCTTGTGTTGTGTGTATTCAACTCACAGAGTTGAACGATCCTTTACACAGAGCAGACTTGAAACAATCTTTTTGTGGAATTTGCAAGTGGAGATTTCAGCCGATTTGAGGTCAATGGTAGAAAAGGAAATATCTTCGTATAAAAACTAGACAGAATGATTCTCAGAAACTCCTTTGTGATGTGTGCGTTCAACTCACAGAGTTTAACCTTTCTTTTCATAGAGCAGTTAGGAAACACTCTGTTTGTAAAGTCTGCAAGTGGATATTCAGACCTCCTTGAGGCCTTCGTTGGAAACGGGATTTCTTCATTTTATGCTAGACAGAAGAATTCTCAGTAACTTCCTTGTGTTGTGTGTATTCAACTCACAGAGTTGAACGATCCTTTACACAGAGCATACTTGAAACACTCTTGTTGTGGAATTTGCAAGTGGAGATTTCAGCCGCTTTGAGGTCAATGGTAGAATAGGAAATATCTTCCTATAGAAACTAGACAGAATGATTCTCAGAAACTCCTTTGTGATGTGTGCGTTCAAGTCACAGAGTTTAACCTTTCTTTTCATAGAGTAGTTAGGAAACACTCTGTTTGTAAAGTCTGCAAGTGGATATTCAGACCTCTTTGAGGCCTTCGTTGGAAACGGGTTTTTTTCATATAAGGCTAGACAGAAGAATTCCCAGTAACTTCCTTGTGTTGTGTGTGTTCAACTCACAGAGTTGAACTTTCATTTACCCAGAGCAGATTTGAAACACTCTTTTTGTGGAATTTGCAAATGGAGATTTCAAGCGCTTTGAGGCCAAAGGCAGAAAAGGAAATATCTTCGTTTCAAAACTAGACAGAATGATTCTCAGAAACTCCTTTGTGATGTGTGCGTTCAACTCACAGAGTTTAACCTTTGTTTTCATTCAGCGGTTTGGAAACACTCTGTTTGTAAAGTCTGCACGTGGATATTCAGACCTCTTTGAGGCCTTCGTTGGAAACGGGTTTTTTTCATGTAAGGCTAGACAGAAGAATTCCCAGTAACTTCCTTGTGTTGTGTGCATTCAACTCACAGAGTTGAACGTTCCCTTAGACAGAGCAGATTTGAAACACTCTATTTGTGCAATTTCCAAGTGTAGATTTCAAGCGCTTTAAGGTCAACGGCAGAAAAGGAAATATCTTCGTTTCAAAACTAGACAGAATCATTCCCACAAACTGCGTTGTGATGTGCTCGTTCAACTCACAGAGTTTAACCTTTCTTTTCATAGAGCAGTTAGGAAACAGTCTGTTTGTAAATTCTGTAAGTGGATATTCTGACATCTTGTGGCCTTCGTTGGAAACGGGATTTCTTCATATTCTGCTAGACAGAAGAATTCTCAGAATCTTCCTTGTGTTGTGTGTATTCAACTCACAGAGTTGAACGATCCTTTACACAGAGCAGACTTGAAACACTCTTTTTGTGGAATTTGCAATTGGAGATTTCAGCCGCTTTGAGGTCCATGGTAGAAAAGGAAATATCTTCGTATAAAAACTAGACAGAATGATTCTCAGAAACTCCTTTGTGATGTGTGCGTTCAACTCACAGAGTTTAACCTCTCTTTTCATAGAGCAGTTGGGAAACACTCTGTTTGTAAAGTCTGCAAGTGGATATTCAGACATCCTTGAGGCTTTCGTTGGAAACGGGATTTCTTCATATTCTGCTAGAAAGAAGAATTCTCAGTAACTTCCTTGTGTTGTGTGTATTCAACTGACAGAGTTGAACTTTCATTTAGAGAGAGCAGATTTATAACACTGTTTTTGTGGAATTTGCAAGTGGAGATTTCAGCCGCTTTGGGGCCAAAGGCCGAAAAGGAAATATCTTCGTATAAAAACTAGACAGAATCATTCTCAGAAAATGCTCTGTGATGTGTGCGTTCAACTCTCAGAGTTTAACTTTTCTTTTCATTCAGCACTTTGGAAACACTCTGTTTGTAAAGTCTGCACGTGGATATTTTGACCACTTAGAGGTCTTTGTTGGAAACGGGTTTTTTTCACGTAAGGCTAGACAGAAGAATTCCCAGTAACTTCCTTGTGTTGTGTGCATTCAACTCACAGAGTTGAACGTTCCCTTAGACAGAGCAGATTTGAAACACTCTATTTGTGCAATTTGCAAGTATAGATTTCAAGCGCTTTAAGGTCAACGGCAGAAAAGGAAATATCTTCGTTTCAAAACTAGACAGAATCATTCCCACAAACTGCGTTGTGATGTGTTCGTTCAACTCACAGAGGTTAACCTTTCTGTTCATAGAGCAGTTAGGAAACACTCTGTTTGTAAAGTCTGCAAGTGGATATTCAGACCTCCTTGAGGCCTTCGTTGGAAACGGGATTTCTTCATATTCTGCTAGACAGAAGAATTCTCAGTAACTTCCTTGTGTTGTGTGTATTCAACTCACAGTGTTGAACGATCCTTTACACAGAGCAGACTAGAAACACTCTTTTTGTGGAATTTGCAAGTGGAGATTTCAGCCGCTTTGAGGTCAATGGTAGAAAAGGAAATATCTTCCCTCCTATAAAAACTAGACAGAATGATTCTCAGAAACTCCTTTGTGATGTGTGCGTTCTACTCACAGAGTTTAACCTTTCTTTTCATAGAGCAGTTAGGAAACACTCTGTTTGTAAAGTCTGCAAGAGAATATTCAGACATCTTTGAGACTTTCGTTGGAAACGGGATTTCATCATATTCTGCTAGACAGAAGAATTCCCAGTAACTTCCTTGTGTTGTGTGTGTTCAACTCACAGAGTTGAACTTTCATTTACCCAGAGCAGATTTGAAACACTCTTTTAGTGGAATTTGCAAGTGGAGATTTCAAGCGCTTTGAGGCCAAAGGCAGAAAAGGAAATATCTTCGTTTCAAAACTAGACAGAATCATTCTCAGAAACTGCTGCATGATGTGTGCGTTCAACTCTCAGAGTTTAACTTTTCTTTTCATTCAGCGGTTTGGAAACACTCTGTTTGTAAAGACTGCACGTGGATATTTTGACCACTTAGAGGCCTTCGTTGGAAACGGGTTTTTTTTCATGTAAGGCTAGACAGAAGAATTCCCAGTAACTTCCTTGTGTTGTGTACATTCAACTCACAGAGTTGAACGTTCCCTTAGACAGAGCAGATTTGAAATACTCTTTTTGTGCAATTGGCAAGTGGAGATTTCAAGAGCTTTAAGGTCAATGGCAGAAAAGGAAATATCTTCGTTTCAAAACTAGACAGAATCATTCCCACAAACTGCGTTGTGATGTGTTCGTTCAACTCACAGAGTTTAAACTTTCTGTTCATAGAGCAGTTAGGAAACACTCTGTTTGTAAAGTCTGTAAGTGGATATTCTGACATCTTGTGGCCTTCGTTGGAAACGGGATTTCTTCATATTCTGCTTGACAGAAGAATTCTCAGTAACTTCCTTGTGTTGTGTGTATTCAACTCACAGAGTTGAACGATCTTTTACACAGAGCAGACTTGAAACACTCTTTTTGTGGAATTTGCAAGTGGAGATTTCAGCCGCTTTCAGGTCAATAGTAGAAAAGGAAATATCTTCGTAGAAAAACTAGACAGAACGATTGTCAGAAACTCCTTTATGATGTGTGCGTTCAACTCACAGAGTTTAACCTTTCTTTTCATAGAGCAGTTAGGAAACACTCTGTTTGTAAATTCTGCAAGTGGATAATCAGACCTCTTTGAGGCCATCGTTGGAAACGGGATTTCCTCATATTCTGCTAGACAGAAGAATTCCCAATAACTTCCTTGTGTTGTGTGTGTTCAACTCACAGAGTTGAACTTTCATTTACACAGAGCAGATTTGAAACACTCTTTTTGTGGAATTTGCAAGTGGAGATTTCAAGCGCTTTGAGGCCAAAGGCAGAAAAGGAAATATCTTCGTTTCAAAACTAGACAGAATCATTCTCAGAAACTGCTCTGCGATGTGTGCGTTCAACTCTCAGAGTTTAACTTTTCTTTTCATTCAGCAGTTTGGAAACACTCTGTTTGTAAAGTCTGCACGTGGATAATTTGACCACTTAGAGGTCTTCGTTGGAAACGGGTTTTTTTCATGTAAGGCTAGACTGAAGAATTCCCAGTAACTTCCTTGTGTTGTGTACATTCAACTCACAGAGTTGAACGTTCCCTTAGACAGAGCAGATTTGAAACACTCTTTTTGTGCAATTGGCAAATGGAGATTTCAAGCGCTTTAAGGTCAATGGCAGAAAAGGAAATATCTTCGTTTCAAAATTAGACAGAGAATCATTCCCACAAACTGCGTTGTGATGTGTTCGTTCAACTCACAGCAGTTTAACCTTTCTTTTCATAGAGCAGTTAGGAAACAGTCTGTTTGTAAATTCTGTAAGTGGATATTCTGACATCTTGTGGCCTTCGTTGGAAACGGGATTTCTTCATATTGTGCTAGACAGAAGAATTCTCAGAATCTTCCTTGTGTTGTGTGTATTCAACTCACAGAGTTGAACGATGGTTTACACAGAGCAGATTTGAAACACTCTTTTTGTGGAATTTGCAAGTGGACATTTCAGCCGCTTTGAGGTCAATGGTAGAAAAGGAAATATCTTCGTATAAAAACTAGACAGAATGATTCTCAGAAACTCCTTTGTGATGTGTGCGTTCTACTCACAGAGTTTAACCTTTCTTTTCATAGAGCAGTTAGGAAACACTCTGTTTGTAAAGTCTGCAAGTGGATATTCAGACATCTTTGAGACTTTCGTTGGAAACGGGATTTCATCATATTCTGCTAGACAGAAGAATTCTCAGTAACTTCCTTGTGTTGTGTGTATTCAACTGACAGAGTTGAACTTTCATTTAGAGAGATCAGATTTGAAACACTGTTTTTGTGGAATTTGCAAGTGGAGATTTCAAGCGCTTTGGGGCCAAAGGCAGAAAAGGAAATATCTTCGTATAAAAAGTAGACAGAATCATTCTCAGAAACTGCTGCGTGATGTGTGCGTTCAACTCTCAGAGTTTAACTTTTCTTTTCATTCAGCGGTTTGGAAACACTCTGTTTGTAAAGTCTGCACGTGGAAATTTTGACCACTTAGAGGCCTTCGTTGGAAACGGGTTTTTTTCATGTAAGGCTAGATAGAAGAATTCCCAGTAACTTCCTTGTGTTGTGTACATTCAACTCACAGATTTGAACGTTCCCTTAGACAGAGCAGATTTGAAACACTCTTTTTGTGCAATTGGCAAATGGAGATTTCAAGCGCTTTAAGGTCAATGGCAGAAAAGGAAATATCTTCGTTTCAAAACTAGACAGAATCATTCCCACAAACTGCGTTCTGATGTGTTCGTTCAACTCACAGTAGTTTAACCTTTCTGTTCATAGAGCAGTTAGGAAACACTCTGTTTGTAAAGTCTGTAAGTGGATATTCTGACATCTTGTGGCCTTCGTTGGAAACGGGATTTCTTCATATTCTGCTAGACAGAAGAATTCTCAGTAACTTCCTTGTGTTGCGTGTATTCAACTCACAGAGGTTGAACGATCCTTTACACAGAGCAGACTTGAAACACTCTTTTTGTGGAATTTGCAAGTGGAGATTTCAGCCGCTTTGAGGTCAATATGTAGAAAAGGAAATATCTTCGTAGAAAAACTAGACAGAAATGATTCTCAGAAACTCCTTTGTGATGTGTGTGTTCAACTCACAGAGTTTAACCTTTCTTTTCATACAGCAGTTAGGAAACACTCTGTTTGTAAATTCTGCAAGTGGATATTTTGACCGCTTTGAGGCCTTCGTTGGAAACGGGTTTTTTTCATGTAAGGCTAGACAGAAGAATTCTCAGCAACTTCCTTGTGTTGTGTGTATTCAACTGACAGAGTTGAACTTTCATTTAGAGAGAGCAGATTTGAAACACTGTTTTTGTGGAATTTGCAAGTGGAGATTTCAAGCGCTTTGGGGCCAAAGGCAGAAAAGGAAATATCTTCGTATAAAAACTAGACAGAATCATTCTCAGAAACTGCTCTGTCATGTGTGCGTTCAACTCTCAGAGTTTAACTTTTCTTTTCATTCAGCAGTTTGGAAACACTCTGTTTGTAAAGTCTGCACGTGGATATTTTTACCACTTAGAGGTCTTCGTTGGAAACGGGTTTTTTTCATGTAAGGCTAGACAGAAGAATTCCCAGTAACTTCCTTGTGTTGTGTGCATTCAACTCACAGAGTTGAACGTTCCCTTAGACAGAGCAGATTTGAAACACTCTATTTGTGCAATTTGCAAGTGTAGATTTCAAGCGCTTTAAGGTCAACGGCAGAAAAAGGAAATATCTTCGTTTCAAAACTAGACAGAATGATTCTCAGAAACTTCTTTGTGATGTGTGCGTTCAACTCACAGAGTTTAACCTTTCTTTTCATAGAGCAGTTAGGAAACACTCTGTTTGTAAAGTCTGCAAGTGGATATACAGACCTCTTTGAGGCCTTCGTTGGAAACGGGATTTCTTCATACTATGCTAGACAGAAGAATTCTCAGTAACTTCCTTGTGTTGTGTGTATTCAACTCACAGAGTTGAACTATCCTTTACACAGAGCAGACTTGAAACACTCGTTTTGAGGAATTTGCAAGTGGAGATTTCAGCCGCTTTGAGGTCAATGGTAGAAAAGGAAATCTCTTCGTATAAAAACTAGACAGAATGATTCTCAGAAACTCCTTTGTGATGTGTGCGTTCAACTCACAGAGTTTAACTTTTCTTTTCATAGAGCAGTTAGGAAAAACTCTGTTTGTAAAGTCTGCAAGTGGATATTCAGACCTCTTTGAGGCCTTCGTTGGAAACGGGATTTCTTCATATTCTGCTAGACAGAAGAATTCCCAGTAACTTCCTTGTGTTGTGTGTGTTCAACTCACAGAGTTGAACTTTCATTTACACAGAGCAGATTTGAAACACTCTTTTTGTGGAATTTGCAAGTGGAGATGTCAAGCGCTTTGAGGCCAAAGGCAGAAAAGGAAATATCTTCGTTTCAAAACTAGACAGAATCATTCTCAGAAACTGCTGTGTGATGTGTGCGTTCAACTCTCAGAGTTTAACTTTTCTTTTCATTCAGCGGTTTGGAAACACTCTGTTTGTAAAGTCTGCACGTGGAAATTTTGACCACTTAGAGGCCTTCGTTGGAAACGGGTTTTTTTCATGTAAGGCTCGACAGAAGAATTCCCAGTAACTTCCTTGTGTTGTGTGCATTCAACTCACAGAGTTGAACGTTCCCTTAGACAGAGCAGATTTGAAACACTCTCTTTGTGCAATTTGCAAGTGTAGATTTCAAGCGCTTTAAGGTCAATGGCAGAAAAGAAAATATCTTCGTTTCAAAACAAGACAGAATGATTCTCAGAAACTCCTTTGTTATGTGTGCATTCAACTCACAGAGTTTACCCTTTCTTTTCATAGAGCAGTTAGGAAACACTCTGTTTGTAAAGTCTGCCAGTGGATATTCAGACATCCTTGAGGCTTTCGTTGGAAACGGGATTTCTTCATATTCTGCCAGAAAGAAGAATTCTCAGTAACTTCCTTGTGTTGTGTTTATTCAACTCACAGAGTTGAATGATCCTTTACAGAGAGCAGACTTGAAACACTCTTTTTGTGGAATTTGCAAGTGGAGATTTCAGCCGCTTTGAGGTCAATGGTAGAAAGGTAAATATCTTCGTATAAAGACTAGACAGAAATGATTCTCAGAAACTTCTTTGTGATGTGTGCGTTCAACTCACAGAGTTTAACCTTTCTTTTCATAGAGCAGTTAGGAAACACTCTGTTTGTAAACTCTGCAAGTGGATATTCAGACCTGTTTGAGGCCTTCGTTGGAAACGGGATTTCTTCATACTATGCTAGACAGAAGAATTCTCAGTAACTTCCTTGTGTTGTGTGTATTCAACTGACGGAGTTGAACTATCATTTAGAGAGAGCAGATTTGAAACACTGTTTTTGTGGAATTTGCAAGTGGAGATTTCAAGCGCTTTGGGGCCAAAGGCAGAAAAGGAAATATCTTCGTATAACAACTAGACAGAATCATTCTCAGAAACTGCTGCGTGATGTGTGCGTTCAACTCTCAGAGTTTAACTTTTCTTTTTATTCAGCGGTTTGGAAACACTCTGTTTGTAAAGTCTGCACGTGGATATTTTGACCACTTAGAGGCCTTCGTTGGAAACGGGTTTTTTTCATGTAAGGCTAGACAGAAGAATTCCCAGTAACTTCCTTGTGTTGTGTGCATTCAACTCACAGAGTTGAACGTTCCCTTAGACAGAGCAGATTTGAAACACTCTGTTTGTGCAATTTGCAAGTGTAGATTTCAAGCGCTTTAAGGTCAATGGCAGAAAAGGAAATATCTTCGTTTCAAAACTAGACAGAATCATTCCCACAAACTGCGTTGTGATGTGTTCGTTCAACTCACAGAGTTTAACCTTTCTGTTCATAGAGCAGTTAGGAAACACTCTGTTTGTAAAGTGTGTAAGTGGATATTCTGACATCTTGTGGCCTTCGTTGGAAACGGGATTTCTTCATATTCTGCTAGACAGAAGAATTCTCAGTAACTTCCTTGTGTTGTGTGTATTCAACTCACAGAGTTGAACGATCCTTTACAGAGAGCAGACTTGAAACACTCTTTTTGTGGAATTTGCAATTGGAGATTTCAGCCGCTTTGAGGTCAATAGTAGAAAAGGTAATATCTTCGTAGAAAAACTAGACAGAATGATTCTCAGAAACTTCTTTGTGATGTGTGCGTTGAACTCACAGAGTTTAACCTTTTTTTTCATAGAGCAGTTAGGAAACACTCTGTTTGTAAACTCTGCAAGTGGATAATCAGACCTCTTTGAGGCCTTCGTTGGAAACGGGATTTCTTCATACTATGCTAGACAGAAGAATTCTCAGTAACTTCCTTGTGTTGTGTGTTTTCAACTCACAGAGTTCAACGATGCTTTACACAGAGTAGACTTGAAACACTCTTTTTGTGTAATTTGCAAGTGGAGATTTCAGCCGCTTTGAGGTCAATGGTAGAAAAGGAAATATCTTCGTATAAAAACTAGACAGAGTGATTCTCAGAAACTCCTTTGTGATGTCTGCGTTTAACTCACAGAGTATAACCTTTCTTTTCATAGAGCAGTTAGGAAACACTCTGTTTGTAAAGTCTGCAAGTGGATATTCAGACCTCCTTGAGGCCTTCGTTGGAAACGGGATTTCTTCATATTATGCTAGACAGAAGAATTCTCAGTAACTTCCTTGTGTTGTGTGTATTCAACTCACAGAGTTGAAGGATCCTTTACACAGAGCAGACTAGAAACATTCTTTTTGTGGAATTTGGAAGTGGAGATTTCAGCCGCTTTGAGGTCAATGGTAGAATAGGAAATATCTTCCTATAGAAACTAGACAGAATGATTCTCAGAAACTCCTTTGTGATGTGTGCGTTCAACTCACAGAGTTTAACCTTTCTTTTCATAGAGCAGTTAGGAAACACTCTGATTGTAAAGTCTGCAAGTGGATATTCAGACCTCCTTGAGGCCTTCGTTGGAAACGGGATTTCTTCATATTATGCTAGACAGAAGAATTCCCAGTAACTTCCTTGTGTTGTGTGTGTTCAACTCACAGAGTTGAACTTTCCTTTACACAGAGCAGATTTGAAACACTCTTTTTGTGGAATTTGCAAGTGGAGATTTCAAGCGCTTTGAGGCCAAAGGCAGAAAAGGAAATATCTTCGTTTCAAAACTAGACAGAATCATTCTCAGAAACTGCTCTGTGATGTGTGCGTTCAACTCTCAGAGTTTAACTTTTCTTTTCATTCAGCAGTTTGGAAACACTCTGTTTGTAAAGTCTGCACGTGGATATTTTGACCACTTAGAGGCCTTCGTTGGAAACGGTTTTTTTCATGTAAGGCTAGACAGAAGAATTCTCAGTAACTTCCTTGTGTTGTGTGTATTCAACTCACAGAGTTGAACGATCCTTTACACAGAGCAGACTTGTAACACTCTCTTTGTGGAATTTGCAAGTGGAGATTTCAGCCGCTTTGAAGTCAAAGGTAGAAAAGGAAATATCTTCCTATAAAAACTAGACAGAATCATTCCCACAAACTGCGTTGTGATGTGTTCGTTCAACTCACAGAGTTTAACCTTTCTGTTCATAGAGCAGTTAGGAAACACTCTGTTTGTAAAGTCTGTAAGTGGATATTCTGACATTTTTTGGCCTTCGTTGGAAATGGGATTTCTTCATATTCTCCTAGACAGAATTCTCAGTAACTTCCTTGTGTTGTGTGTATTCAACTCACAGAGTTGAACGATCCTTTGCACAGAGCAGACTTGGAACACTCTTTTTGTGGAATTTGCAAGTGGAGATTTCAGCCGCTTTGAAGTCAAAGGTAGAAAAGGAAATATCTTCCTATAAAAACTAGACAGAATGATTCTCAGAAACTTCTTTGTGATGTGTGCGTTCAACTCACAGAGTTTAACCTTTCTTTTCATAGAGCAGTTAGGAAACACTCTGTTTGTAAACTCTGCAAGTGGATATTCAGACCTCCTTGAGGCCTTCGTTGGAAACGGGATTTCTTCATACTGTGCTAGACCAGAAGAATTCTCAGTAACTTTCCTTGTGTTGTGTGTATTCAACTGACAGAGTTGAACTTTCATTTGGAGAGAGCAGATTTGAAACACTGTTTTTGTGGAATTTGCAAGTGGAGATTTCAAGCGCTTTGGGGCCAAAGGCAGAAAAGGAAATATCTTCGTATAAAAACTAGACAGAAATCATTCTCAGAAACTGCTCTGCGATGTGTGCATTCAACTCTCAGTAGTTTAATTTTTCTTTTCATTCAGCAGTTTGGAAACACTCTCTTTGTAAAGTCTGCACGTGGATATTTTGACCACTTAGAGGCCTTCGTTGGAAACGGGTTTTATTCTTGTAAGGCTAGACAGAAGAATTCCCAGGAACTTCCTTGTGTTGTGTACATTCAACTCACAGAGTTGAACGTTCCCTTAGACAGAGCAGATTTGAAACACTCTTTTTGTGCAATTGGCAAGTGGTGATTTCAGCCGCTTTGTGGTCAATGGTAGAAAAGGAAATATCTTCGTATAAAAACTAGACAGAATCATTCCCACAAACTGCGTTGTGATGTGTTCGTTCAACTCACAGAGTTTAACCTTTCTTTTCATAGAGCAGTTAGGAAACAGTCTGTTTGTCAATTCTGTAAGTGGATATTCTGACATCTTGTGGCCTTCGTTGGAAACGGGATTTCTTCATATTTGGCTAGACAGAAGAATTCTCAGTATCTTCCTTGTGTTGTGTGTATTCAACTCACAGAGTTGAACGCTCCTTTACACAGAGCAGACTTGAAACACTCTTTTTGTGGAATTTGCAAGTGGAGATTTAAGCCGCTTTGAGGTCAATGGTAGAAAAGGGAATATCTTCGTATAGAAACTAGACAGAATGATTCTCAGAAACTCCTTTGTGATGTGTGCGTTCAACTCACACAGTTTAACCTTTCTTTTCATAGAGCAGTTAGGAAACACTCTGTTTGTAAAGTCTGCAAGTGGATATTCAGACCTCCTTGAGGCCTTCGTTGGAAACGGGATTTATTCATATTATGCTAGACAGAAGAATTCCCAGTAACTTCCTTGTGTTGTGTGTGTTCAACTCACAGAGTTGAACTTTCATTTACACAGAGCAGATTTGAAACACTCTTTTTGTGGAATTTGCAAGTGGAGATTTCAAGCGCTTTGAGGCCAGAGGCAGAAAAGGAAATATCTTCGTTTCAAAACTAGACAGAATGATTCTCAGAAACTGCTGCGTGATGTGTGCGTTCAACTCTCAGAGTTTAACTTTTCTTTTCATTCAGCGGTTTGGAAACACTCTGTTTGTAAAGTCTGCACGTGGATATTTTGACCACTTAGAGGCCTTCGTTGGAAACGGGTTTTTTTCATGTAAGGCTAGACAGAAGAATTCCCAGTAACTTCCTTGTGTTGTGTACATTCTACTCACAGAGTTGAACGTTCCCTTAGACAGAGCAGATTTGAAACACTCTTTTTGTGCAATTGGCAAGTGGTGATTTCAACCGCTTTGAGGTCAATGGTAGAAAAGGAAATATCTTCGTATAAAAACTAGACAGAATGATTCTCAGAAACTCCTTTGTGATGTGTGCGTTCAAATCACAGAGTTTAACTTTTCTTTTCATAGAGCAGTTAGGAAACACTCTGTTTGTAAAGTCTGCAAGTGGATATTCAGACCTCTTTGAGGCCTTCGTTGGAAACGGAATTTCTTCATATTATGCTAGACAGAAGAATTCTCAGTAACTTCCTTGTGTTGTGTGTATTCAACTCACAGAGTTGAACGATCGTTTACACAGAGCAGACTTGAAACATTCTTTTTGTGGAATTTGCAAGTGGAGATTTCAGCCGCTTTGAGGTCAATGGTAGAATAGGAAATATCTTCCTATAGAAACTAGACAGAATGATTCTCAGAAACTCCTTTGTGATGTGTGTGTTCAACTCACAGCAGTTTAACCTTTCTTTTCATAGAGCAGTTAGGAAACGCTCTGTTTGTAAAGTCTGCAAGTGGATATTCAGACCTCGTTGAGACCTTCGTTGGAAACGGGATTTCTTCATATTCTGCTAGACAGAAGAATTCTCAGAATCTCCCTTGTGTTGTGTGTATTCAACTCACAGAGTTGAACGATCCTTTACACAGAGCAGACTTGAAACACTCTTTTTGTGGAATTTGCAAGTGGAGATTTCAGCCGCTTTGAGGTCCATGGTAGAAAAGGAAATATCTTCGTATAAAAACAAGACAGAATGGTTCTCAGAAACTCCTTTGTGATGTGTGCGTTCAACTCACAGAGTTTAACTTTTCTTTTCATAGAGCAGTTAGGAAACACTCTGTTTGTAAAGTCTGCAAGTGGATATTCAGACCTCTTTGAGGCCTTCGTTGGAAACGGGATTTCTTCATATTCTGCTAGACAGAAGAATTCCCAGTAACTTCCTTGTGTTGTGTGTGTTCAACTCACAGAGTTGAACTTTCATTTACACAGAGCAGATTTGCAACACTCTTTTTGTGGAATTTGCAAATGGAGATTTCAAGCGCTTTGAGGCCAAAGGCAGAAAAGGAAATATCTTCGTTTCAAAACTAGACAGAATCATTCTCAGAAACTTCTCTGCGATGTGTGCGTTCAACTCTCAGAGTTTAACTTTTCTTTTCATTCAGCAGTTTGGAAACACTCTCTTTGTAATGTCTGCACGTGGATATTTTGACCACTTAGAGGCCTTCGTTGGAAACGGGTTTTTTTCCTGTAAGGCTAGATAGAAGAATTCCCAGTAACTTCCTTGTGTTGTGTACATTCAACTCACAGAGTTGAACGTTCCCTTAGACAGAGCAGATTTGAAACACTCTTTTTGTGCAATTGGCAAGTGGAGATTTCAAGCGCTTTGAGGTCAATGGCAGAAAAGGAAATATCTTCGTTTCAAAACTAGACAGAATGATTCTCAGAAACTCCTTTGTGATGTGTGCGTTCAACTCACAGAGTTTAACTTTCCTTTTCATAGAGCAGTTAGGAAACACTCTGTTTGTAAAGTCTGCAAGTGGATATTCAGACCTCTTTGAGGCCTTCGTTGGAAACGGGATTTCTTCATATTCTGCTTGACAGAAGAATTCTCAGTAACTTCCTTGTGTTGTGTGTATTCAAGTCACAGAGTTGAACGATCCTTTACACAGAGCAGACTTGAAACACTCTTTTTGTGGAATTTGCAAGTGGAGATTTCAGCCGCTTTGAGGTCAATAGTAGAAAAGGAAATATCTTCGTAGAAAAACTAGACAGAATGATTCTCAGAAATTCCTTTGTGATGTGTGTGTTCAACTCACAGAGTTTAACCTTTCTTTTCATAGAGCAGTTAGGAAACACTCTGTTTGTAAAGTCTGCAAGTGGATATTCAGACCTCTTTGAGGCCTTCGTTGGAAAAGGGATTTCTTCATGCTCTGCTAGACAGAAGAATTCTCAGTAACTTCCTTGTGTTGTGTGTATTCAACTGACAGAGTTGAACTTTCATTTGGAGAGAGCAGATTTGAAACACTGTTTTTGTGGAATTTGAAAGTGGAGATTTCAAGCGCTTTGGGGCCAAAGGCAGAAAAGGAAATATCTTCGTAGAAAAACTAGACAGAATCATTCTCAGAAACTGCTCTGTGATGTGTGCGTTCAACTCTCAGAGTTTAACTTTTCTTTTCATTCAGCAGTTTGGAAACACTCTGTTTGTAAAGTCTGCACGTGGATATTTTGACCACTTAGAGGCCTTCGTTGGAAACGGGTTTTTTTTCATGTAAGGCTAGACAGAAGAATTCCCAGTAACTTCCTTGTGTTGTGTGCATTCAACTCACAGAGTTGAACGTTCCTTAGACAGAGCAGATTTGAAACACTCTATTTGTGCAATTTGCAAGTGTAGGTTTCAAGCGCTTTAAGGTCAATGGCAGAAAAGGAAATATCTTCGTTTCAAAACTAGACAGAATCATTCCCACAAACTGCGTTGTGATGTGTTCGTTCAACTCACAGAGTTTAACCTTTCTTTTCATAGAGCAGTTAGGAAACAGTCTGTTTGTAAATTCTGTAAGTGGATATTCTGACATCTTGTGGCCTTCGTTGGAAACGGGATTTCTTCATATTCTGCTAGACGGAAGAATTCTCAGTAACTTCCTTGTGTTGTGTGTATTCAACTCACAGACTTGAATGATCCTTTACACAGAACAGTCTTGAAAGACTCTTTTTGTGGAATTTGCAAGTGGAGATTTCAGCCGCTTTGAGGTCAATGGTAGAATAGGAAATATCTTCCTATAGAAACTAGACAGAATGATTCTCAGAAACTCCTTTGTGATGTGTGCGTTCAACTCACAGAGTTTAACTTTTCTTTTCATAGAGCAGTTAGGAAACACTCTGTTTGTAAAGTCTGCAAGTGGATATTCAGACCTCTTTGTGGCCTTCGTTTGAAACGGGATTTCTTCATATTCTGCTAGACAGAAGAATTCCCAGTAACTTCCTTGTGTTGTGTGTGTTCAACTCACAGAGTTGAACTTTCATTTACACAGAGCAGATTTGAAACACTCTTTTTGTGGAATTTGCAAGTGGAGATTTCAAGCGCTTTGAGGCCAAAGGCAGAAAAGGAAATATCTTCGTAGAAAAACTAGACAGAATCATTCTCAGAAACTGCTCTGCGATGTGTGCGTTCAACTCTCAGAGTTTAACTTTTGTTTTCATTCAGCAGTTTGGAAACACTCTGTTTGTGAAGTCTGCACGTGGATAACTTGACCACTTAGAGGCCTTCGTTGGAAACGGGTTTTTTTCATGTAAGGCTAGACAGAAGAATTCCCAGTAACTTCTTTGTGTTGTGTGCATTCAACTCACAGAGTTGAACGTTCCCTTAGAGAGAGCAGATTTGAAACACTCTATTTGTGCAATTTGCAAGTGTAGATTTCAAGCGCTTTAAGGTCAATGGCAGAAAAGGAAATATCTTCGTTTCAAAACTAGACAGAATCATTCCCACAAACTGCGTTGTGATGTGTTCGTTCAACTCACAGAGTTTAACCTTTCTGTTCATAGAGCAGTTAGGAAACACTCTGTTTGTAAAGTCTGTAATTGGATATTCTGACATCTTGAGGCCTTCGTTGGAAACGGGATTTCTTCATATTCTGCTAGACAGAAGAATTCTCAGTAACTTCCTTGTGTTGTGTGTATTCAACTCACAGAGTTGAACGATCCTTTACACAGAGCGGACTTGAAACACTCTTTTTGTAGAATTTGCAAGTGGAGATTTCAGCCGCGTTGAGGTCAATGGTAGAAAAGGAAATATCTTCGTATAAAAACTAGACAGAATGATTCTCAGAAACTCCTTTGTGATGTGTGTGTTCAACTCACAGAGTTTAACCTTTCTTTTCATAGAGCAGTTAGGAAACACTGTGTTTGTAAAGTCTGCAAGTGGATATTCAGACCTCTTTGAGGCCTTCGTTGGAAACGGGTTTTTTTCATATAAGGCTAGACAGAAGAATTCTCAGTAACTTCCTTGTGTTGTGTGTTTTCAACTGACAGAGTTGAACTTTCATTTAGAGAGAGCAGATTTGTAACACTGTTTTTGTGGAATTTGCAAGTGGAGATTTCAAGCGCTTTGGGGCCAAAGGCAGAAAAGGAAATATCTTCGTATAAAAACTAGACAGAATCATTCTCAGAAACTGCTCTGCGATGTGTGCGTTCAACTCTCAGAGTTTAACTTTTCTTTTCATTCAGCAGTTTGGAAACACTCTGTTTGTAAAGACTGCACGTGGATAATTTCACCACTTAGAGGTCTTCGTTGGAAACGGGTTTTTTTCATGTAAGGATAGACAGAAGAATTCCCAGTAACTTCCTTGTGTTGTGTACATTCAACTCACAGAGTTGAACGTTCCCTTAGACAGAGCAGATTTGAAACACTCTTTTTGTGCAATTGGCAAGTGGAGATTTCAAGCGCTTTATGGTCAATGGCAGAAAAGGAAATATCTTCGTTTCAAAACTAGACAGAATCATTCCCACAAACTGCGTTGTGATGTGTTCTTTCATCTCACAGAGTTTAACCTTTCTTTTCATAGAGCAGTTAGGAAACACTATGTTTGTAAATTCTGTAAGTGGATATTCTGACATCTTGTGGCCTTCGTTGGAAACGGGATTTCTTCATATTCTGCTAGACAGAAGAATTCTCAGTAACTTCCTTGTGTTGTGTGTATTCAACTCACAGAGTTGAACGATCCTTTACACAGAGCAGACTTGAAACACTCTTTTTGTGGAATTTGCAAGTGGAGATTTCATCCACTTTGAGGTCAATAGTAGAAAAGGAAATATCTTCGTAGAAAAACTAGACAGAATGATTCTCAGAAACTCCTTTGTGATGTGTGCGTTCAACTCACAGAGTTTAACCTTTCTTTTCATAGAGCAGTTAGGAAACACTCTGTTTGTAAAGTCTGCAAGTGGATATTCAGACCTCTTTGAAGCCTTCGTTGGAAACGGGATTTCTTCATATTATGCTAGACAGAATAATTCTCAGTAACTTCCTTGTGTTGTGTGTATTCAACTCACAGAGTTGAACTATCCTTTACAGAGAGCAGACTTGAAACACTCTTTTTGTGGAATTTGGAAGTGGAGATTTCAGCCGCTTTGAGGTCAAAGGTAGAATAGGAAATATCTTCCTACAGAAAATAGACAGAATCATTCTCAGAAACTGCTCTGCGATGTGTGCGTTCAACTCTCAGAGTTTAACTTTTCTTTTCATTCAGCAGTGTGGAAACACTGTGTTTGTAAAGTCTGCACGGGGATATTTTGACCACTTACAGGCCTTCGTTGGAAACGGGTTTTTTTCCTGTAAGGCTAGACAGAAGAATTCCCAGTAACTTCCTTGTGTTGTGCGCATTCAACTCACAGAGTTGAACGTTCCCTTAGACAGAGCAGATTTGAAAGAGCCTATTTGTGCAATTTGCAAGTGTACATTTCAAGCGCTTTAAGGTCAACGGCAGAAAAGGAAATATCTTCCTTTCAAAACTAGACAGAATGATTCTCAGAAACTCCTTTGTGATGTGTGCGTTCAACTCACAGAGTTTAACCTTTCTTTTCATAGAGCAGTTAGGAAACACTCTGTTTGTAAAGTCTGCAAGTAGATATTCAGACATCCTTGAGGCTTTCGTTGGAAACGGGATTTCTTCATATTCTGCTAGAAAGAAGAATTCTCAGTAACTTCTTTGTGTTGTGTGTATTCAACTCACAGAGTTGAACGATCCTTTACACAGAGCAGACTTGAAACACTCCTTTTGTGGAATTTGCAAGTGGAGATTTCAGCCGCTTTGAGGTCAATGGTAGAATAGGAAATATCTTCCTATAGAAACTAGACAGAATGATTCTCAGAAACTCCTTTGTGATGTGTGTGTTCACCTCACAGAGTTTAACCTTTCTTTTCATAGAGCAGTTAGTAAACACTCTGTTTATAAAGTCTGCAAGTGGATATTCCGACCCCTTTGAGGCCTTCGTTGGAAACGGGATTTCTTCATATTATGCTAGACAGAAGAATTCTCAGTAACTTCCTTGTGTTGTGTGTATTCAACTGACAGAGTTGAACTTTCATTTAGAGAGAGCAGATTAGAAACACTGTTTTTGTGGAATTTGCAAGTGCAGATTTCAAGCGCTTTGTGGCCAAAGGCAGAAAAGGAAATATCTTCGTATGAAAACTAGCCAGAATCATTCTCAGCAAACTGCTCTGCGATGTGTGCGTTCAACTCTCAGAGTTTAACTTTTCTTTTCATTCAGCAGTTTGGAAACACTCTGTTTGTAAAGTCTGCACGTGGATATTTTGACCACTTAGAGGCCTTCGTTGGAAACGGGTTTTTTTCCTGTAAGGCTAGACAGAAGAATTCCCAGTAACTTCCTTGTGTTGTGTACATTCAACTCACAGAGTTGAACGTTCCCTTAGACAGAGCAGATGTGAAACACTCTTTTTGTGCAATTGGCAAGTGGAGATTTCAAGCGCTTTAAGGTCAATGGCAGAAAAGGAAATATCTTTGTTTCAAAACTAGACAGAATCATTCCCACAAACTGCGTTGTGATGTGTTCGTTCAACTCACACAGTTTAACCTTTCTTTTCATAGAGCAGTTAGGAAACAGTCTGTTTGTAAATTCTGTAAGTGGATATTCTGACATCTTGTGGCCTTCGTTGGAAACGGGATTTCTTCATATTCTGCTAGACAGAAGAATTCTCAGTAACTTCCTTGTGTTGTGTGTATTCAACTCACAGAGTTGAACGATCGTTTACACAGAGCAGACTTGAAACACTCTTTTTGTGGAATTTGCAAGTGGAGATTTCAGCCGCTTTGAGGTCAATGGTAGAAAAGGAAACTATCTTCATATAAAGACTAGACAGAATGATTCTCAGAAACTCCTTTGTGATGTGTGCGTTCAACTCACAGAGTTTAACCTTTCTTTTCATAGAGCAGTTAGGAAACACTCTGTTTGTAAAGTCTGCAAGTGGATATTCAGACCTCTTTGAGGCCTTCGTTGGAAACGGGTTTTTTTCATATCAGGCTAGACAGAAGAATTCCCAGTAACTTCCTTGTGTTGTGTGTGTTCAACTCACAGAGTTGAACTTTCATTTACACAGAGCAGATTTGAAACACTCTTTTTGTGGAATGTGCAAGTGGAGATTTCAAGCGCTTTGAGGCCAAAGGCAGAAAAGGAAATATCTTCGTATAAAAACTAGACAGAATCATTCTCAGAAACTGCTGCGTGATGTGTGCGTTCAACTCTCAGAGTTTAACTTTTCTTTTCATTCAGCGGTTTGGAAACACTCTGTTTGTAAAGTCTGCACGTAGAAATTTTGACCACTTAGAGGCCTTCGTTGGAAACGGGTTTTTTTCATGTAAGGCTAGACAGAAGAATTCCCAGTAACTTCCTTGTGTTGTGTGCATTCAACTCACAGAGTTGAACGTTCCCTTAGACAGAGCAGATTTGAAACACTCTATTTGTGCAATTTGCAATTGTAGATTTCAAGCGCTTTAAGGTCAACGGCAGAAAAGGAAATATCTTCGTTTCAAAACTAGACAGAATGATTGTCATAAACTCCTTTGTGATGTGTGCGTTCAACACACAGAGTTTAACCTTTCTGTTCATAGAGCAGTTAGGAAACATTCTGTTTGTAAAGTCTGTAAGTGGATATTCTGACATCTTGTGGCCTTCGTTGGAAACGGGATTTCTTCATATTCTGCTAGACAGAAGAATTCTCAGTAACTTCCGCGTGTTGTGTGTATTCAACTCACAGAGTTGAACGATCCTTTACACAGAGCAGACTTGTAACACTCTTTTTGTGGAATTTGCAAGTGGAGATTTCAGCCGCTTTGAAGTCAAAGGTAGAAAAGGAAATATCTTCCTATAAAAACTAGACAGAATGATTCTCAGAAACTCCTTTGTTATGTGTGCGTTCAACTCACAGAGTTTAACCTTTCTTTTCATAGAGCAGTTAGGAAACACTCTGTATGTAAAGTCTGCAAGTGGATATTGAGACCTCTTTGAGGCCTTCGTTGGAAACGGGAATTCTTCATATTATGCTAGACAGAAGAATTCCCAGTAACTTCCTTGTGTTGTGTGTGTTCAACTCACAGAGTTGAACATTCATTTACCCAGAGCAGATTTGAAACACTCTTTTTGTGGAATTTGCAAGTGGAGATTTCAAGCGCTTTGAGGCCAAAGGCAGAAAAGGAAATATCTTCGTTTCAAAACTAGACAGAATCATTATCAGAAACTGCTGCGTGATGTGTGCGTTCAACTCTCAGAATTTAAGTTTTCTTTTCATTCAGCGGTTTGGAAACACTCTGTTTGTAAAGTCTGCACGTGGATATATTGACCACTTAGAGGCCTTCGTTGGAAACGGGTTTTTTTCATGTAAGGCTAGACAGAAGAATTCCCAGTAACTTCCTTGTGTTGTGTGCATTCAACTCACAGAGTTGAACGTTCCCTTAGACAGAGCAGATTTGAAACACTCTATTTGTGCAATTTGCAAGTGTAGATTTCAAGCGCTTTAAGGTCAACGGCAGAAAAGGAAATATCTTCGTTTCAAAACTAGGCAGAATCATTCCCACAAACTGCGTTGTGATGTGGTCGTTCAACTCACAGAGTTTAACTTTTCTTTTCATAGAGCAGTTAGGAAACACCTCTGTTTGTAAAGTCTGTAAGTGGATATTCTGACATCTTGTGGCCTTCGTTGGAAACGGGATTTCTTCATATTCTGCTAGACAGAAGAATTCTTAGAATCTTCCTTGTGTTGTGTGTATTCAACTCACACAGTTGAACGATGGTTTACACAGAGCAGATTTGAAACACTCTTTTTGTGGAATTTGCAAGTGGAGATTTCAGCCGCTTTGAGGTCAATGGTAGAAAAGGAAATATCTTCGTATAAAAACTAGACAGAATGATTCTCAGAAACTCCTTTGTGATGTGTGCGTTCAACTCACAGAGTTTAACCTTTCTTTTCATAGAGCAGTTAGGAAACACTCTGTTTGTAAACTCTGCAAGTGGATATTCAGACCTCTTTGAGGCCTTCGTTGGAAACGGGATATCTTCATACTGTGCTAGACAGAAGAATTCCCAGTAACTTCCTTGCGTTGTGTGTGTTCAACTCACAGAGTTCAACTTTCATTTACACAGAGCAGATTTGAAACACTGTTTTTGTGGAATTTGCAAGTGGAGATTTCAAGCGCTTTGAGGCCAAAGGCAGAAAAGGAAATATCTTCGTTTCAAAACCAGACAGAATGATTCTCAGAAACTCCTTTGTGATGTGTGCGTTCAACTCACAGAGTTTAACCTTTCTTTTCATAGAGCACTTAGGAAACACTCTGTTTGTAAAGTCTGCAAGTGGATATTCAGACCTCTTTGAGGCCTTCGTTGGAAACGGGTTTTTTTCATATAAGGCTAGACAGAAGAATTCCCAGTAACTTCCTTGTGTTGTGTACATTCAACTCACAGAGTTGAAAGTTCCCTTAGACAGAGCAGATTTGAAACACTCTTTTTGTGCAATTGGCAAGTGGAGATTACAAGCACTTTAAGGTCAATGGCAGAAAAGGAAATATCTTCGTTTCAAAACTAGACAGAATCATTCCCACAAACTGCGTTGTGATGTGTTCGTTCAACTCACAGTAGTTTAACCTTTCCGTTCATAGAGCAGTTAGGAAACACACTGTTTGTAAAGTCTGTAAGTGGATATTCTGACATCTTGTGGCCTTCGTTGGAAACGGGATTTCTTCATATTCTGCTAGACAGAAGAATTCTCAGTAACTTCCGCGTGTTGTGTGTATTCAACTCACAGAGTTGAACGATCCTTTACACAGAGCAGACTTGAAACACTCTTTTTGTGGAATTTGCAAGTGGAGATTTCAGCCTCTTTGAAGTCAATGGTAGAAAAGGAAATATCTTCCTATAAAAACTAGACAGAATGATTCTCAGAAACTCCTTTGTGATGTGTGCGTTCAACTCACAGAGTTCAACTTTTCTTTTCATAGAGCAGTTAGGAAACACTCTGTTTGTAAAGTCTGCAAGTGGATATTCAGACCTCTTTGAGGCCTTCGTTGGAAACGGGATTTCTTCATATTCTGCTAGACAGAAGAATTCCTAGTAACTTCCTTGTTTTGTGTGTGTTCAACTCACAGAGTTGAACTTTGATTTACACAGAGCAGATTTGAATCACTCTTTTTGTGGAATTTGCAAGTGGAGATTTCAAGCGCTTTGAGGCCAAAGGCAGAAAAGGAAATATCTTCGTATAAAAACTAGACAGAGTAATCATTCTCAGAAACTGCTGCGTGATGTGTGCGTTCAACTCTCACAGTTTAACTTTTCTTTTCATTCAGCGGTTTGGAAACACTCTGTTTGTAAAGTCTGCACGTGGATATTTTGACCACTTAGAGGCCTTCGTTAGAAACTGGTTTTTTTCATGTAAGGCTAGACAGAAGAATTCCCAGTAACTTCCCTTGTGTTGTGTGCATTCAACTCACAGAGTTGAACGTTCCCTTAGACAGAGCAGATTTGAAACACTCTATTTGTGCAATTTGCAAGTGTAGATTTCAAGCGCTTTAAGGTCAACGGCAGAAAAGGAAATATCTTCGTTTCAAAACTAGACAGAATCATTCCCACAAACTGCGTTGTGATGTGTTCGTTCAACTCACAGAGTTTAACCTTTCTGTTCATATAGCAGTTAGGAAACACTCTCAAAAGTCTGTAAGTGGATATTCTGACATCTTGTGGCCTTCGTTGGAAACGGGATTTCTTCATATTCTGCTAGACAGAAGAATTCTCAGTAACTTCCTTGTGTTGGGTGTATTCAACTCACAGAGTTGAAGGATCCTTTACAGAGAGCAGGCTTGAAACACTCTTTTTGTCGAATTTGCAAGTGGAGATTTCAGCCGCTTTGAGGTCAATGGTAGAATAGGAAATATCTTCTTATAGAAACTAGACAGAATGATTCTCAGAAACTCCTTTGTGATGTGTGCGTTCAACTCACAGAGTTTAACCTTTCTTTTCATAGAGCAGTTAGGAAACACTCTGTTTGTAAAGTCTGCAAGTGGATATTCAGACCTCCTTGAGGCCTTCGTTGGAAACAGGTTTTTTTCATATAAGGCTAGACAGAAGAATTCTCAGTAACTTCCTTGTGTTGTGTGTATTCAACTGACAGAGTTGAACTTTCATTTAGAGAGAGCAGATTTGAAACACTGTTTTTGTGGAATTTGCAAGTGGAGATTTCAAGCGCTTTAGGGCCAAAGGCAGAAAAGGAAATATCTTCGTATAAAAACTAGACAGAAATGATTCTCAGAAACTCCTTTGTGATGTGTGAGTTCAACTCACAGAGTTTATCCTTTCTTTTCATAGAGCAGTTAGGAAACACTCTGTTTGTAAAGTCTGCAAGTGGATATTCAGACCTCTTTGAGGCCTTCGTTGGAAACGGGATTTCTTCATATTCTGCTAGACAGAAGAATTCCCAGTAACTTCCTTGTGTTGTGTGCATTCAACTCACAGAGTTGAACATTCCCTTGACAGAGCAGATTTGAAACACTCTATTTGTGCAATTTGCAAGTGTAGATTTCAAGCGCTTTAAGGTCAATGGCAGAAAAGGGAATATCTTCGTTTCAAAACTAGACAGAATGATTCTGAGAAACTCCTTTGTGATGTGTGCGTTCAACTGACAGAGTTTAACCTTTCTTTTCATAGAGCAGTTAGGAAACACTCTGTTTGTAAAGTCTGCAAGTGGATATTCAGACATCCTTGAGGCTTTCGTTGGAAACGGGATTTCTTCATATTCTGCTAGAAAGAAGAATTCTCAGTAACTTCCTTGTGTTGTGTGTATTCAACTCACAGAGTTGAATGATCCTTTACACAGAACAGTCTTGAAACACTCTTTTTGTGGAATTTGCAAGTGGAGATTTCAGCCGCTTTGAGGTCAATGGTAGAATAGGAAATATCTTCATATAGAAACTAGACAGAATGATTCTCAGTAACTCCTTTGTGATGTGTGCGTTCAACTCACAGAGTTTAACCTTTCTTTTCATAGAGCAGTTAGGAAACACTCTGTTTGTAAAGTCTCCAAGTGGATATTCAGACCTCTTTGAGGCCTTCGTTGGAAACGGGTTTTTTTCATATAAGGCTAGACAGAAGAATTCCCAGTAACTTCCTTGTGTTGTGTGTGTTCAGCTCACAGAGTTGAACTTTCATTTACACAGAGCAGATTTGAAACACTCTTTTTGTGGAATTTGCAGGTGGAGATTTCAAGCGCTTTGAGGCCAAAGGCAGAAAAGGAAATATCTTCGTATAAAAACTAGACAGAAGCATTCTCAGAAACTGCTCTGCGATGTGTGCGTTCAACTCTCAGAGTTTAACTTTTCTTTTCATTCAGCAGTTTGGAAACACTCTGTTTGTAAAGTCTGCACGTGGATAACTTGACCACTTAGAGGCCTTCGTTGGAAACGGGTTTTTTTCATGTAAGGCTAGACAGAAGAATTCCCAGTAACTTCCTTGTGTTGTGTACATTCCACTCACAGAGTTGAACGTTCCCTTAGACAGAGCAGATGTGAAACACTCTTTTTGTGCAATTGGCAAGTGGAGATTTCAAGCGCTTTAAGGTCAAAGGCAGAAAAGGAAATATCTTCGTTTCAAAACTAGACAGAATCATTCCCACAAACTGCGTTGTGATGTGTTCGTTCAACTCACAGGGATTAACCTTTCTTTTCATAGAGCAGTTAGGAAACAGTCTGTTTGTCAATTCTGTAAGTGGATATTCTGACATCTTGTGGCCTTCGTTGGAAACGGGATTTCTTCATATTCTGCTAGACAGAAGAGTTCTCAGAAACTTCCTTGTGTTGTGTGTATTCAACTCACAGAGTTGAACTATCGTTTACACAGAACAGACTTGAGACACTCTTTTTGTGGAATTTGTAAGTGGAGATTTCAGCCGCTTTGAGGTCAATGGTAGAAAAGGAAATATCTTCATATAAAAACTAGACAGAATGATTCTCAGAAACTCCTTTGTGATGTGTGCGTTCAACTCACAGAGTTTAACCTTTCTTTTCATAGAGCAGTTAGGAAACACTCTGTTTGTAAAGTCTGCAAGTGGATATTCAGACATCTTTGAGGCTTTCGTTGGAAACAGGATTTCTTCATATTCTGCTAGACAGAAGAATTCCAGTAACTTCCTTGTGTTGTGTGTGTTCAACTCACAGATTTGAACTTTCATTTACACAGAGCAGATTTGAAACACTCTTTTTGTGGAATTTGCAAATGGAGATTTCAAGCGCTTTGAGGCCAAAGGCAGAAAAGGAAATATCTTCGTATAAAAACTAGACAGAATCATTCTCAGAAACTGCTCTGCGATGTGTGCGTTCAACTCTCAGAGTTTAACTTTGCTTTTCATTCAGCAGTTTGGAAACACTCTGTTTGTAAAGTCTACACGTGGATATTTTGACCACTTAGAGGCCTTCGTTGGAAACGGGTTTCTTTCCTATAAGGCTAGACAGAAGAGTTCTCAGTAACTTCCTTGTGTTGTGTGTATTCAACTCACACAGTTGAACGATCCTTTATAGAGAGCAGACTTGTAACACTCTTTTTGTGGAATTTGCAAGTGGAGATTTCAGCCGCTTTGAAGTCAAAGTAGAAAAGGAAATATCTTCCTATAAAAACTAGACAGAATCATTCCCACAAACTGCGTTGTGATGTGTTCGTTCATCTCACAGAGTTTAACCTTTCTTTTCATAGAGCAGTTAGGAAACACTCTGTTTGTAAATTCTGTAAGTGGATATTCTGACATCATGTGGCCTTCGTTGGAAACGGGATTTCTTCATATTCTGCTAGACAGAAGAATTCTCAGTAACTTCCTTGTGTTGTGTGTATTCAACCCACAGAGTTGAACGATCCTTTACACAGAGCAGACTTGAAACACTCTTTTTGTGGAATTTGCAAGTGGAGATTTCAGCCGCTTTGAGGTCAATGGTAGAAAAGGAAATATCTTCGTATAAAGACTAGACAGAATGATTCTCAGAAACTCCTTTGTGATGTGTGCGTTCAACTCACAGAGTTTAACCTTTCTTTTCATAGAGCAGTTAGGAAACACTCTGTGTGTAAAGTCTGCAAGTGGATATTCAGACCTCCTTGAGGCCTTCGTTGGAAACGAGATTTCTTCATAATATGCTAGACAGAAGAATTCTCAGTAACTTCCTTGTGTTGTGTGTATTCAACTCACAGAGTTGAACCATCCTTTACAGAGAGCAGACTTGAAACACTCTTTTTGTGGAATTTGCAAGTGGAGATTTCAGCCGCTTTGAGGTCAATGGTAGAATAGGAAATATCTTCCTATAGAAACTAGACAGAATGATTCTCAGAAACTCCTTTGTGATGTGTGCATTCAACTCACAGAGTTTAACTTTTCTTTTCATAGAGCCGTTAGGAAACACTCTGTTTGTAAAGTCTGCAAGTGGATATTCAGACCTCTTTGAGGCCTTCGTTGGAAACGGGATTTCTTCATATTATGCTAGACAGAAGAATTCCCGGTAACTTCCTTGTGTTGTGTGTGTTCAACTCACAGAGTTGAACTTTGATTTACACAGAGCAGATTTGAAACACTCTTTTTGTGGAATTTGCAAGTGGAGATTTCAAGCGCTTTGAGGCCAAAGGCAGAAAAGGAAATATCTTCGTATAAAAACTAGACAGAATCATTCTCAGAAACTGCTCTGCGATGTGTGCGTTCAACTCTCAGAGTTTAACTTTTCTTTTCATTCAGCAGTTTGGAAACACTCTGTTTGTAAAGTCTGCACGTGGATATTTTGACCACTTAGAGGCCTTCGTTGGAAACGGGTTTTTTTCCTGTAAGGCTAGACAGAAGAATTCCCAGTAACTTCCTTGTGTTGTGTGCATTCAACTCACAGAGTTGAACGTTCCCTTAGACAGAGCAGATTTGAAACACTCTATTTGTGCAATTTGCAAGTGTAGTTTTCAAGCTCTTTAAGGTCAACGACAGAAAAGGAAATATCTTGGTTTCAAAACTAGACAGAATCATTCCCACAAACTGCGTTGTGATGTGTTCGTTCAACTCACAGAGTTTAACCTTTCTGTTCATAGAGCAGTTAGGAAACACTCTGTTTGTAAAGTCTGTAAGTGGATATTCTGACATCTTGTGGCCTTCGTTGGAAACGGGATTTCTTCCTATTCTGCTAGACAGAAGAATTCTCAGTAACTTCCTTGTGTTGTGTGTATTCAACTAACAGAGTTGAACGATCCTTTACACAGAGCAGACTTGAAACACTCTTTTTGTGGAATTTGCAAGTGGAGATTTCAGCCGCTTTGAGGTCAATGGTAGAAAAGGAAACTATCTTCATATAAAGACTAGACAGAATGATTCTCAGAAACTCCTTTGAGATGTGTGTGTTCAACTCACAGAGTTTAACCTTTCTTTTCATAGAGCAGTTAGGAATCACTCTGTTTGTAAAGTCTGCAAGTGGATATTCAGACCTCTTTGAGGCCATCGCTGGAAACGGGTTTTTTTCATATAAGGCTAGACAGAAGAATTCCCAATAACTTCCTTGTGTTGTGTGTGTTCAACTCACAGAGTTGAACTTTCATTTACACAGAGCAGATTTGAAACACTCTTTTTGTGGAATTTGCAAGTGGAGATTTCAAGCGCTTTGAGGCCAAAGGCAGAAAAGGAAATACCTTCGTATAAAAACTAGACAGAATGATTCTCAGAAACTCCTTTGTGATGTGTGCGTTCAACTCACAGAGTTTAACCTTTCTTTTCATTCGGCGGTTTGGAAACACTCTGTTTGTAAAGTCTGCACGTGGATATTCAGACCTCTTTGAGGCCTTCGTTGGAAACGGGTTTTTTTCATGTAAGGCTAGACAGAAGAATTCCCAGTAACTTCCTTGTGTTGTGTGCATTCAACTCACAGAGTTGAACGTTCCCTTAGACAGAGCAGATTTGAAACACTCTATTTGTGCAATTTGCAAATGTAGATTTCAAGCGCTTTAAGGTCAACGGCAGAAAAGGAAATATCTTCGTTTCAAAACTAGACAGAATCATTCCCACAAACTGCGTTGTGATGTGTTCGTTCAACTCACAGAGTTTAACCTTTCTTTTCATAGAGCAGTTAGGAAACAGTCTGTTTGTCAATTCTGTAAGTGGATATTCTGACATCTTGTGGCCTTCGTTGGAAACGGGATTTCTTCATATTCTCCTAGACAGAAGAATTCTCAGTAACTTCCTTGTGTTGTGTGTATTCAACTCACAGAGTTGAACGATCCTTTACACAGAGCAGACTTGAAACACTCGTTTTGTGGAATTTGCAAGTGGAGATTTCAGCCGCTTTGAAGTCAATGGTAGAAAAGGAAATATCTTCGTATAAAAACTAGACAGAAAGATTCTCATAAACTCCTTTGTGATGTGTGCGTTCAACTCACAGAGTTTAACCTTTCTTTTCATAGAGCAGTTAGGAAACACTCTGTTTGTAAAGTCTGCAAGTGGATATTCAGACCTCTTTGAGGCCTTCGTTGGAAACGGGATTTCTTCATATTATGCTAGACGGGAAGAATTCTCAGTAACTTCCTTGTGTTGTGTGTATTCAACTGACAGAGTTGAACTTTCATTTAGAGAGAGCAGATTTGAAACACTGTTTTTGTGGAATTTGCAAGTGGAGATTTCAAGCGCTTTGGGGCCAAAGGCAGTAAAGGAAATATCTTCGTATAAAAACTAGACAGAATCATTCTCAGAAACTGCTCTGCGATGTGTGCGTTCAACTCTCAGAGTTTAACTTTTCTTTTCATTCAGCAGTTTGGAAACACTCTGTTTGTAAAGTCTGCACGTGGATATTTTGACCACTTAGAGGCCTTCGTTGGAAACGTGTTTTTTTCCTGTAAGGCTAGACAGAAGAATTCCCAGTAACTTCCTTGTGTTGTGTACATTCAACTCACAGAGTTGAACGTTCCCTTAGACAGAGCAGATTTGAAACACTCTTTTTGTGCAATTGGCAAGTGGAAATTTCAAGCGCTTTGAGGTCAATGGCAGAAAAGGAAATATCTTCGTTTCAAAACTAGACAGAAATCATTCCCACAAACTGCGTTGTGATGTGTTCGTTCAACTCACAGAAGTTTAACCTTTCTTTTCATAGAGCAGTTAGGAAACACTCTGTTGGTAAAATCTGTAAGTGGATATTCTGACATCTTGTGGCCTTCGTTGGAAACGGGATTTCTTCATATTCTGCTAGACAGAAGAATTCTCAGTAACTTCCTTGTGTTGTGTGTATTGAACTCGCAGAGTTGAACGATCCTTTACACAGAGCAGACTTGAAACACTCTTTTTGTGGAATTTGCAAGTGGAGATTTCAGCCGCTTTGAGGTCAATAGTAGAAAAGGTAATATCTTCGTAGAAAAACTAGACAGAATGATTCTCAGAAACTCCTTTGTGATGTGTGCGTTCAACTCACAGAGTTTGACCTTTCTTTTCACAGAGCAGTTAGGAAACACTCTGTTTGTAAAGTCTGCAAGTGGATATTCAGACCTCTTTGAGGCCATAGTTGGAAACGGGATTTCTTCATATTCTGCTAGACAGAAGAATTCTCAGTAACTTCCTTGTGTTGTGTGTATTCAACTGACAGAGTTGAACTTTCATTTAGAGAGAGCAGATTTGAAACACTGTTTTTGTGGAATTTGCAAGTGGAGATTTCAAGCACTTTGGGGCCAAAGGCAGAAAAGGAAATATCTTCGTATAAAAACTAGACAGAATCATTCTCAGAAACTGCTCTGCGATGTGTGCGTTCAACTCTCAGAGTTTAACTTTTCTTTTCATTCAGCAGTTTGCAAACACTCTGTTTGTAAAGTCTGCACGTGGATATTTTGACCACTTAGAGGCCTTCGTTGGAAACGGGTTTTTTTCCTGTAAGGCTAGACAGTAGAATTCCCAGTAACTTCCTTGCGTTGTGTACATTCAACTCACAGAGTTGAACGTTCCCTTAGACAGAGCAGATTTGAAACACTCTTTTTGTGCAATTGGCAAGTGGAGATTTCAAGCGCTTTAAGGTCAATGGCAGAAAAGGAAATATCTTCGTTTCAAAACTAGACAGAATCATTCCCACAAACTGCGTTGTGATGTGTTCGTTCAACTCACAGTAGTTTAACCTTTCTGTTCATAGAGCTGTTAGGAAACACTCTGTTTGTAAAGTCTGTAAGTGGATATTCTGACATCTTGTGGCCTTCGTTGGAAACGGGATTTCTTCATATTCTGCTAGACAGAAGAATTCTCAGTAACTTCCTTGTGTTGTGTGTATTCAACTCACAGAGTTGAACGATCCTTTACACAGAGCATACTTGAAACACTCTTTTTGTGGAATTTGCAAGTGGAGATTTCAGCCGCTTTGATGTCAATGGTAGAAAAGGAAATAACTTCGTATAAAGACTAGACAGAATGATTCTCAGAAACTCCTTTGTGATGTGTGCGTTCAACTCACAGAGTTTAACCTTTCTTTTCATAGAGCAGTTAGGAAACACTGTGTTTGTAAAGTCTGCAAGTGGATATTCAGACCTCTTTGAGGCCTTCGTTGGAAACGGGTTTTTTTCATATAAGGCTAGACAGAAGAATTCTCAGTAACTTGCTTTTGTTGTGTGTATTCAACTGACAGAGTTGAACTTTCATTTAGACAGAGCAGATTTGAAACTCTCTTTTTCTGGAATTTGCAAGTGGAGATTTCAAGCGCTTTGAGGCCAAAGGCAGAAAAGGATATATCTTCGTATAAAAACTAGACAGAATCATTCTCAGAAACTGCTCTGCGATGTGTGCCTTCAACTCTCAGAGTTTAACTTTTCTTTTCATTCAGCAGTTTGGAAACACTCTGTTTGTAAAGTCTGCACGTGGATAATTTGACCACTTAGAGGCCTTCGTTGGAAACGGGTTTTTTTCATGTAAGGCTAGACAGAAGAATTCCCAATAACTTCCTTGTGTTGTGTGCATTCAACTCACAGAGTTGAACGTTCCCTTAGACAGAGCAGATTTGAAACACTCTATTTGTGCAATTTGCAAGTGTAGATTTCAAGCGCTTTAAGGTCAATGGCAGAAAAGGAAATATCTTCGTTTCAAAACTAGACAGAATGATTCTCAGAAACTCCTCTGTGATGTGTGCGTTCAACTCACAGAGTTTAACTTTTCTTTTCATAGAGCAGTTAGGAAACACTCTATTTGTAAAGTCTGCAAGGGGATATTCAGACCTCTTTGAGGCCTTCGTTGGAAACGGGATTTCTTCATATTCTGCTAGACAGAAGAATTCTCAGTAACTTCCTTGTGTTGTGTGTATTCAACTCACAGAGTTGAACGATCCTTTACACAGAGCAGACTTGAAACACTCTTTTTGTGGAATTTGCAAGTGGAGATTTCAGCCGCTTTGAGGTCAATGGTAGAAAAGGAAATATCTTCGTATAGAAACAAGACAGAATGATTCTCAGAAACTCCTTTGAGATGTGTGCGCTCAACTCACAGAGTTTAACCTTTCTTTTCATAGAGCAGTTAGGAAACACTCTGTTTGTAAAGTCTGCAAGTGGATATTCAGACCTCTTTGAGGCCTTCGTTGGAAACGGGTTTTTTTCAAATAAGGCTAGACAGAAGAATTCTCAGTAACTTCCCTGTGTTGTGTGTATTCAACTGACAGAGTCGAACTTTCATTTAGAGAGAGCAGATTTGTAACATTGTTTTTGTGGAATTTGCAAGTGGAGATTTCAAGCGCTTTGGGGCCAAAGGCAGAAAATGAAATATCTTCGTATAAAAACTAGACAGAATCATTCTCAGAAACTGCTCTGCGATGTGTGCGTTCAACTCTCAGAGTTTAACTTTTCTTTTCATTCAGCAGTTTGGAAACACTCTGTTTGTAAAGTCTGCACGTGGATATTTTGACCACTTAGAGGCCTTCGTTGGAAACGGGTTTTTTTGCCTGTAAGGCTAGACAGAAAGAATTCCCAGTAACTTCCTTGTGTTGTGTACATTCAACTCACGGAGTTGAACGTTCCCTTAGACAGAGCAGATTTGAAACACTCTTTTTGTGCAATTGGCAAATGGAGATTTCAAGCGCTTTAAGGTCAATGGCAGAAAAGGAAATATCTTCGTTTCAAAACTAGACAGAATGATTCTCAGAAACTCCTTTGTGATGTGTGCGTTCAACTCACAGAGTTTAACCTTTCTTTTCATAGAGCAGTTGGGAAACACTCTGTTTGTAAAGTCTGCAAGTGGATATTCAGACATCCTTGAGGCTTTCGTTGGAAAAGGGATTTCTTCATATTCTGCTAGACAGAAGAATTCTCAGTAACTTCCTTGTGTTGTGTGTATTCAACTCACACAGTTGAACGATCCTTTACACAGAGCAGACTTGAAACACTCTTTTTGTGGAATTTGCAAGTGGAGATTTCAGCCGCTTTGAGGTCAATGGTAGAATAGGAAATATCTTCCTATAGAAACTAGACAGAAAGATTCTCAGAAACTCCTTTGTGATGTGTGCGTTCAACTCACAGAGTTTAACCTTTCTTTTCATAGAGCAGTTAGGAAACACTCTGTTTGTAAAGTCTGCAAGTGGATATTCAGACCTCTTTGAGGCCTTCGTTGGAAACGGGTTTTTTTCATATAAGGCTAGACAGAAGAATTCTCAGTAACTTCCTTGTGTTGTGTGTATTCAACTGACAGAGTTGAACTTTCATTTAGAGAGAGCAGATTTGAAACACTGTTTTTGTGGAATTTGCAAGTGGAGATTTCAAGCGCTTTGGGACCAAAGGCAGAAAAGGAAATATCTTCGTATATAAACTAGACAGAATCATTCTCAGAAACTGTTCTGCGATGTGTGCGTTCAACTCTCAGAGTTTAACTTTTCTTTTCATTCAGCAGTTTGGAAACACTCTGTTTGTAAAGTCTGCACGTGGATATTTTGACCACTTAGAGGCCTTCGTTGGAAACGGGTTTTTTTCCTGTAAGGCTAGACAGAAGAATTCCCAGTAACTTCCTTGTGTTGTGTACATTCAACTCACAGAGTTGAACGTTCCCTTAGACAGAGCAGATTTGAAACACTCTTTTTGTGCAATTGGCAAGTGGTGATTTCAGCCGCTTTGAGGTCAATGGTAGAAAAGGAAATATCTTCGTATAAAAACTAGACAGAATCATTCCCACAAACTGCGTTGTGATGTGTTCGTTCAACTCACAGAGTTTAACCTTTCTTTTCCTAGAGCAGTTAGGAAACAGTCTGTTTGTAAATTCTGTAAGTGGATATTCTGACATCTTGTGGCCTTCGTTGGAAACGGGATTTCTTCATATTCTGCTAGACAGAAGAATTCTCAGTAACTTTCCTTGTGTTGTGTGTATTCAACTCACAGATTTGAACGATCCTTTACACAGAGCAGACTTGTAACACTCTTTTTGTGGAATTCGCAAGTGGAGATTTCAGCAGCTTTGAAGTCAAAGGTAGAAAAGGAAATATCTTCCTATAAAAACTAGACAGAATGATTCTCAGAAACTCCTTTGTGATGTGTGTGTTCAACTCACAGAGTTTAACTTTTCTTTTCCTAGAGCAGTTAGTAAACACTCTGTTTAAAAAGTCTGCAAGTGGATATTCAGACCCCTTTGAGGCCTTCGTTGGAAACGGGATTTCTTCATATTATGGTAGACAGAAGAATTCTCAGTAACTTCCTTGTGTTGTGTGTATTCAACTCACAGAGTTGAACGATCCTTTTCACAGAGCAGACTTGAAACACTCTTTTTGTGGAATTTGCAAGTGGAGATTTCAGCCGCTTTGAGGTCAATGGTAGAAAAGGGAATATCTTCGTATAGAAACTAGACAGAATCATTCTCAGAAACTGCTCTGCGATGTGTACGTTGAACTCTCAGAGTTTAACTTTTCTTTTCATTCAGCAGTTTGGAAACACTCTGTTTGTAATGTCTGCACGTGGATAATTTGACCACTTAGAGGCCTTCGTTGGAAACGGGTTTTTTTCATGTAAGGCTAGACAGAAGAATTCTCAGAAACTTCCTTGTGTTGTGTGTACTCAACTCACAGAGTTGAACGATCCTTTACACAGAGCAGACTTGAAACACTCTTTTTGTGGAATTTGCAAGTGTAGATTTCAAGCGCTTTAAGGTCAATGGCAGAAAAGGAAATATCTTCGTTTCAAAACTAGACAGAATCATTCCCACAAACTGCGTTGTGATGTGTTCGTTCAACTCACAGAATTTAACCTTTCTGTTCATAGAGCAGTTAGGAAACACTCTGTTTGTAAAGTCTGTAAGTGGATATTCTGACGTCTTGTGGCCTTCGTTGGAAACGGGATTTCTTCATATTCTGCTGGACAGAAGAATTCTCAGTAACTTCCTTGTGTTGTGTGTATTCAACTCACAGAGTTGAACGATCCTTTACAGAGAGCAGACTTGAAACACTCTTTTTGTGGAATTTGCAAGTGGAGATTTCAGCCTCTTTGAGGTCAATGGTAGAATAGGAAATATCTTCCTATAGAAACCAGACAGAATGATTCTCAGAAACTCCTTTGTGATGTGTGCGTTCAACTCACAGAGTTTAACCTTTCTTTTCATAGGGCAGTTAGGAAACACTCTGTTTGTAAAGTCTGCAAGTGGATATTCAGACATCCTTGAGGCTTTCGTTGGAAACGGGATTTCTTCATATTCTGCTAGAAAGAAGAATTCCCAGTAACTTCCTTGTGTTGTCTGTGTTCAACTCACAGAGTTGAACTTTCATTTACACAGAGCAGATTTGAAACACTCTTTTTGTGGAATTTGCAAATGGAGATTTCAAGCGCTTTGAGGCCAAAGGCAGAAAAGGAAATATCTTTGTATAAAAACTAGACAGAATCATTCTCAGAAACTGCTCTGTGATGTGTGCGTTCAACTCTCAGAGTTTAACTTTTCTTTTCATTCAGCAGTTTGGAAACACTCTGTTTGTAAAGTCTGCACGTGGATAATTTGACCACTTAGAGGCCTTCGTTGGAAACGGGTTTTTTTCATGTAAGGCTAGACAGAAGAATTCTCAGTAACTTCCCTTGTGTTGTGTGTATTCAACTCACAGAGTTGAACGATCCTTTACACAGAGCAGACTTGTAACACTCTTTTTGTGGAATTTGCAAGTGGAGATTTCAGCCGCTTTGAAGTCAAAGGTAGAAAAGGAAATATCTTCCTATTAAAACTAGACAGAATGATTCTCAGAAAATCATTTGTGATGTGTGCGTTCAACTCACAGAGTTTAACTTTTCTTCTCATAGAGCAGTTAGGAAACACTCTGTTTGTAAAGTCTGCAAGTGGATATTCAGACCTCTTTGAGGCCTTCGTTGGAAACGGGATTTCTTCATATTCTGCTAGACAGAATAATTCCCAGTAACTTCCTTGTGTTGTGTGTATTCAACTCACAGAGTTGAATGATCCTTTACACAGAGCAGACTTGAAACACTCTTTTTGTGGAATTTGCAAGTGGAGATTTCAGCCGCTTTGAGGTCAATGGTAGAAAAGTAAATATCTTCGTATAAAGACTAGACAGAATGATTCTCAGAAACTCCTTTGTGATGTGTGCGTTCAACTCACAGAGTTTAACATTTCTTGTCATAGAGCAGTTAGGAAACACTCTGTTTGTAAAGTCTGCAAGTGGATATTCAGACCTCCTTGAGGCCTTCGTTGGAAACGAGATTTCTTCATATTATGCTAGACAGAAGAATTCTCAGTAACTTCCCTTGTGTTGTGTGTATTCAACTGACAGATTTGAACTTTCATTTAGAGAGAGCAGATTTGAAACACTGTTTTTGTGGAATTTGCAAGTGGAGATTTCAAGCGCTTTGGGGCCAAAGGCAGAAAAGGAAATATCTTCGTATAAAAACTAGACAGAATCATTCTCAGAAACTGCTGCGTGATGTGTGCGTTCAACTCTCAGAGTTTAACTTTTCTTTTCATTCAGCGGTTTGGAAACACTCTGTTCGTAAAGTCTGCACGTGGATATTTTGACCACTTAGGGGCCTTCGTTGGAAACGGGTTTTTTTCATGTTAGGCTAGACAGAAGAATTCCCAGTAACTTCCTTGTGTTGTGTACATTCAACTCACAGAGTTGAACGTTCCCTTAGACAGAGCAGATTTGAAACACTCTTTTTGTGCAATTGGCAAATGGTGATTTCAAGCGCTTTAAGGTCAATGGCAGAAAAGGAAATATCTTCGTTTCAAAACTAGACAGAATCATTCCCACAAACTGCGTTGTGATGTGTTCGTTCAACTCACAGAGTTTAACCTTTCTGTTCATAGAGCAGTTAGGAAACACTCTGTTTGTAAAGTCCGTAAGTGGATATTCTGACATCTTGTGGCCATCTTTGGAAACGGGATTTCTTCATAGTCTGCTAGACAGAAGAGTTCTCAGTAACTTCCTTGTGTTGTGTGTATTCAACTCACACAGTTGAACGATCCTTTACAGAGAGCAGACTTGTAACACTCTTTTTGTGGAATTTGCAAGTGGAGATTTCAGCCGCTTTGAAGTCAAAGTAGAAAAGGAAATATCTTCCTATAAAAACAAGACAGAATGATTCTCAGAAACTCCTTTGTGATGTGTGAGTTCAACTCACAGAGTTTAACCTTTCTTTTCATAGAGCAGTTAGGAAACACTCTGTTTGTAAAGTCTGCAAGTGGATATTCAGACCTCTTTGAGGCCTTCGTTGGAAACGGGTTTTTTTCATATAAGGCTAGACAGAAGAATTCCCAGTAACTTCCTTGTGTTGTGTGTGTTCAACTCACAAAGTTGAACTTTCATTTACACAGAGCAGATTTGAAACACTCTTTTTGTGGAATTTGCAAATGGAGATTTCAAGCGCTTTGAGGCCAAAGGCAGAAAAGGAAATATCTTCGTATAAAAACTAGACAGAATCATTCTCAGAAACTGCTCTGCGATGTGTGCGTTCAACTCTCAGAGTTTAACTTTTCTTTTCATTCAGCAGTTTGGAAACACTCTGTTTGTAAAGTCTGCACGTGGATAATTTGACCACTTGGAGGCCTTCGTTGGAAACGGATTTTTTTCATGTAAGGCTAGACAGAAGAATTCCCAGTAACTTCCTTGTGTTGTGTGTGTTCAACTCACAGAGTTGAACTTTCATTTACACAGAGCAGATTTGAAACACTCTTTTTGTGGAATTTGCAAGTGGAGATTTCAAGCGCTTTAAGGTCAATGGCAGAAAAGGAAATATCTTCGTTTCAAAACTAGACAGAATCATTCCCACAAACTGCGTTGTGATGTGTTCGTTCAACTAACAGAGTTTAACCTTTCTGTTCATAGAGCAGTTAGGAAACACTCTGTTTGTAAAGTCTGTAAGTGGATATTCTGACATCTTGTGGCCTTCGTTGGAAACGGGATTTCTTCATATTCTGCTAGACAGAAGAATTCTCAGAAACTTCCTTGTGTTGTGTGTATTCAACTCACAGAGTTGAACGATCGTTTACACAGAGCAGACTTGAGACACTCTTTTTGTAGAATTTGTAAGTGGAGATTTCAGCCGCTTTGAGGTCAATGGTAGAAAAGGAAATATCTTCATATAAAAACTAGACAGAATGATTCTCAGAAACTCCTTTGTGATGTGTGTGTTCAACTCACAGAGTTTAACCTTTCTTTTCATAGAGCAGTTAGTAAACACTCTGTTTATAAAGTCTGCAAGTGGATATTCAGACCCCTTGGAGGCCTTCGTTGGAAACGGGATTTCTTCATATTATGCTACACAGAAGAATTCCCGGTAACTTCTTTGTGTTGTGTGTGTTCAACTCACACAGTTGAACTTTCATTTACACAGAGCAGATTTGAAACACTCTTTTTGTGGAATTTGCAAGTGGAGATTTCAAGCGCTTTGAGGCCAAAGGCAGAAAAGGAAATATCTTCGTTTCAAAACTAGACAGAATCATTCTCAGAAACTGCTGCGTGATGTGTGCGTTCAACTCTCAGAGTTTAACTTTTCTTTTCATTCAGCGGTTTGGAAACACTCTGTTTGTAAAGTCTGTGCGTGGATATTTTGACCACTTAGAGGCCTTCGTTGGAAACGGGTTTTTTTCATGTAAGGCTAGACAGAAGAATTCCCACTAACTTCCTTGTGTTGTGTGCATTCAACTCACAGACTTGAACGTTCCCTTAGACAGAGCAGATTTGAAACACTCTATTTGTGCAATTTGCAAGTGTAGATTTCAAGCGCTTTAAGGTCAATGGCAGAAAAGGAAATATCTTCGTTTCAAAACTAGACAGAATGATTCTCAGAAACTTCTTTGTGATGTGTGCGTTCAACTCACAGAGTTTAACCTTTCTTTTCATAGAGCAGTTAGGAAACACTCTGTTTGTAAACTCTGCAAGTGGATGTTCAGACCTGTTTGAGGCCTTCGTTGGAAACGGGATTTCTTCATACTATTCTAGACAGAAGAATTCTCAGTAACTTCCTTGTGTTGTGTGTATTCAACTCATAGAGTTGAACGATCCTTTACACAGAGCAGACTTGTGACACTCTTTTTGTGGAATTTGCAAGTGGAGATTTCACCCGCTTTGACGTCAAAGGTAGAAAAGGAAATATCTTCCTATAAAAACTAGACAGAATGATTCTCAGAAACTTCTTTGTGATGTGTGCGTTCAACTCACAGAGTTTAACCTTTCTTTTCATAGAGCAGTTAGGAAACACTCTGTTTGTAAACTCTGCAAGTGGATATTCAGACCTCTTTGAGGCCTTAGTTGGAAACGGGATTTCTTCATACTGTGCTAGACAGAAGAATTCTCAGTAACTTCCGAGTGTTGTGTGTATTCAACTCACAGAGCTGAACGATCCTTTACACAGAGCAGACTTGAAACACTCTTTTTGTGGAATTTGCAAGTGGAGATTTCAGCCGCTTTGAGGTCAATGGTAGAAAAGGAAATATCTTCGTATAAAAACTAGACAGAAGCATTCTCAAAAACTGCTCTGTGATGTGTGCGTTCAACTCTCAGAGTTTAATTTTCTTTTCATTCAGCAGTTTGTAAACACTCTGTTTGTAAAGTCTGCACGTGGATATTTTGACCACTTAGAGGCCTTCGTTGGAAACGAGTTTTTTTCATGTAAGGCTAGACAGAAGAATTCCCAGTAACTTCCTTGTGTTGTGTGTATTCAACTCACAGAGTTGAACGTTCCCTTAGACAGAGCAGATTTGAAACACTCTATTTGTGCAATTTGCAAGTGTAGATTTCAAGCGCTTTAAGTTCAATGGCAGAAAAGGAAATATCTTCGTTTCAAAACTAGACAGAATCATTCTCAGAAACTGCTGTGCGATGTGTGTGTTCAACTCTCAGAGTTTAACTTTGCTTTTCATTCAGCAGTTTGGAAACACTCTGTTTGTAAAGTCTGCACGTGGATAATTTGACCACTTAGAGGCCTTCGTTGGAAACGGGTTTTTTTCATGTAAGGCTGGACAGAAGAATTCTCAGTAACTTCCTTGTGTGGTGTGTATTCAACTCACAGAGTTGAACGATCCTTTACACAGAGCAGACTTGTAACACTCTTTTTGTGGAATTTGCAAGTGGAGATTTCAGCCGCTTTGAAGTCAAAGGTAGAAAAGGAAATATCTTCCTATAAAAACTACACAGAATGATTCTCAGAAAATCTTTTGTGATGTGTGCGTTCAACTCACAGAGTTTAACTTTTCTTCTCATAGAGCAGTTAGGAAACACTCTGTTTGTAAAGTCTGCAAGTGGATATTCAGACCACTTTGAGGCCTTCGTTGGAAACGGGATTTCTTCATATTATGCTAGACAGAAGAATTCCCAGTAACTTCCTTGTGTTGTGTGTGTTCAACTCATAGAGTTGAACTTTGATTTACACAGAGCAGATTTGAAACACTCTTTTTGTGGAATTTGCAAGTGGAGATTTCAAGCGCTTTGAGGCCAAAGGCAGAAAAGGAAATATCTTCGTATAAAAACTAGACAGAATCATTCTCAGAAACTGCTCTGCAATGTGTGCGTTCAACTCTCAGAGTTTAACTTTTCTTTTCATTCAGCAGTTTGGAAACACTCTGTTTGTAAAGTCTGCACGTGGATATTTTGACCACTTAGAGGCCTTCGTTGGAAACGGGTTTTTTTCCTGTAAGGCTAGACAGAAGAATTCCCAGTAACTTCCTTGTGTTGTGTACATTCAACTCACAGAGTTGAACGTTCCCTTAGACAGAGCAGATTTGAAACACTCTTTTTGTGCAATTGGCAAATGGAGATTTCAAGCGCTTTAAGTTCAATGGCAGAAAAGGAAATATCTTCGTTTCAAAACTAGACAGAATCATTCCCACAAACTGCGTTGTGATGTGTTCGTTCAACTCACAGAGTTTAACCTTTCTTTTCATAGAGCAGTTAGGAAACAGTCTGTCAATTCTGTAAGTGGATATTCTGACATCTTGTGGCATTCGTTGGAAACGGGATTTCTTCATATTCTGCTAGACAGAAGAATTCTCAGAATCTTCCTTGTGTTGTGTGTATTCAACTCACAGAGTTGAACGATCCTTTACACAGAGCAGACTTGAAACACTCTTTTTGTGGAATTTGCAAGTGGAGATTTCAGCTGCTTTGAGGTCCATGGTAGAAAAGGAAATATCTTCGTATAAAAACTAGACAGAATGATTCTCAGAAACTCCTTTGTGATGTGTGTGTTCAACTCACAGAGTTTAAACTTTCTGTTCATAGAGCAGTTAGGAAACACTCTGTTTGTAAAGTCTGCAAGTGGATATTCAGACCTCCTTGAGGCCTTCGTTGGAAACGGGATTTCTTCATATTCTGCTAGACAGAAGAATTCTCAGTAACTTCCTTGTGTTGTGTGTATTCAACTGACAGAGTTGAACTTTCATTTACACAGAGCAGATTTGAAACACTCTTTTTGTGGAATTTGCAAATGGAGATTTCAAGCGATTTGAGGCCAAAGGCAGAAAAGGAAATATCTTCGTATAAAAACTAGACAGAATCATTCTCAGAAACTGCTGCGTGATGTGTGCGTTCAACTCTCAGAGTTTAACTTTTCTTTTCATTCAGCGGTTTGGAAACACTCTGTTTGTAAAAACTGCACGTGGATATTTTGACCACTTAGAGGCCTTCGTTGGAAACGGGTTTTTTTCATGTAAGGCTAGACAGAAGAATTCCCAGTAACTTCCTTGTGTTGTGTGCATTCAACTCACAGAGTTGAACGTTCCCTTAGACAGAGCAGATTTGAAACACTCTATTTGTGCAATTTGCAAGTGTAGTTTTCAAGCTCTTTAAGGTCAACGGCAGAAAAGGAAATATCTTCGTTTCAAAACTAGACAGAATGATTCTCATAAACTCCTTTGTGATGTGTGCGTTCAACTCACAGAGTTTAACCTTTCTTTTCATAGAGCAGTTAGGAAACACTCTGTTTGTAAAGCCTGCAAGTGGATATTCAGACCTCCTTGAGGCCTTCTTTGGAAACGGGATTTCTTCATATTCTGATAGACAGAAGAATTCTCAGTAACTTCCTTGTGTTGTGTGTATTCAACTCACAGAGTTGAACGATCCTTTACCCAGAGCAGACTTGAAACACCCTTTTTGTGGAATTTGCAAGTGGAGATTTCAGCCGCTTTGAGGTCAATGGTAGAAAAGGAAATATCTTCGTATAAAGACTAGACAGAATGATTCTCAGAAACTCCTTTGTGATGTGTGTGTTCAACTCACAGAGTTTAACCTTTCTTTTCATAGAGCAGTTCGTAAACACTCTGTTTATAAAGTCTGCAAGTGGATATTCAGACCCCTTTGAGGCCTTCTTTGGAAACGGGATTTCTTCATATTATGCTAGACGGAAGAATTCCCCGTAACTTCCTTGTGTTGTGTGTGTTCAACTCACAGAGTTGAACTTTCATTTACATAGAGCAGATTTGAAACACTCTTTTTATGGAATTTGCAAGTGGAGATTTCAAGCGCTTTGAGGCCAAAGGCAGAAAAGGAAATATCTTCGTATAAAAACTAGACAGAATCATTCTCAGAAACTGCTCTGCGATGTGTGCGTTCAACTCTCAGAGTTTAACTTTTCTTTTCATTCAGCAGTTTGGAAACACTCTGTTTGTAAAGTCTGCACGTGGATAATTTGACCACTTAGAGGCCTTCTTTGGAAACGGGTTTTTTTCATATAAGGCTAGACAGAAGAATTCCCAGTAACTTCCTTGTGTTGTGTACATTCAACTCACAGATTTGAACGCTCCCTTAGACAGAGCAGATTTGAAACACTCTTTTTGTGCAATTGGCAATTGGAGATTTCAAGCGCTTTAAGGTCAATGGCAGAAAAGGAAATATCTTCGTTTCAAAACTAGACAGAATGATTCTCAGAAACTTCTTTGTGATGTGTGCGTTCAACTCACAGAGTTTAACCTTTCTTTTCATAGAGCAGTTAGGAAACACTCTGTTTGTAAACTCTGCAAGTGGATATTTAGACCTCTTTGAGGCCTTCGTTGGAAACGGGATTTTTTCATACTGTACTAGACAGAAGAATTCTCAGTAACTTCCTTGTGTTGTGTGTATTCAACTCACAGAGTTGAAAGATCCTTTACACAGAGCAGACTTGAAACACTCTTTTTGTGGAATTTGCAAGTGGAGATTTCAACCGCTTTGAGGTCAATAGTACAAAAGGAAATATCTTCGTAGAAAAACTAGACAGAATGATTCTCAGAAACTCCTTTGTGATGTGTGCGTTCAACTCACAGAGTTCAACCTTTCTTTTCATAGAGCAGTTGGGAAACACTCTGTTTGTAAAGTCTGCAAGTGGATATTCAGACCTCCTTGAGGCCTTCGTTGGAAGCGGGATTTCTTCATCTTCTGCTAGACAGAAGAATTCTCAGTAACTTCCTTGTGTTTTGTGTATTCAACTGACAGAGTTGAACTTTCATTTAGAGAGAGCAGATTTGAAACACTGTTTTTGTGGAATTTGCAAGTGGAGATTTCAAGCGCTTTGGGGCCAAAGGCAGAAAAGGAAATATCTTCGTATAAAAACTAGACAGAATGATTCTCAGAAACTTCTTTGTGATTTATGCGTTCAACTCACAGAGTTAAAACTTTCTTTTCATAGAGCAGTTAGGAAACACTCTGTTTGTAAAGACTGCACGTGGATATTCAGACCTCTTTGAGGCCTTCGTTGGAAACGGGTTTTTTTCCTGTAAGGCTAGACAGAAGAATTCCCAGTAACTTCCTTGTGTTGTGTGCATTCAACTCACAGAGTTGAACGTTCCCTTAGACAGAGCAGATTTGAAACACTCTATTTGTGCAACTTACAAGTGTAGTTTTCAAGCTCTTTAAGGTCAACGGCAGAAAAGGAAATATCTTCGTTTCAAAACTAGACAGAATCATTACCACAAACTGCGTTGTGATGTGTTCGTTCAACCCACAGAGTTTAAGCTTTCTCTTCATAGAGCAGTTAGGAAACACTCTGTTTGTGAAGTCTGTAAGTGGATATTCTGACATCTTGTGGCCTTCGTTGGAAACGGGATTTCTTCATATTCTGCTAGACAGAAGAATTCTCAGTAACTTCCTTGTGTTGTGTGTATTCAACTCACAGAGTTGAACGATCCTTTACACAGAGCAGAGTTGAAACATTCTTTTTGTGGAATTTGCAAGTGGAGATTTCAGCCGCTTTGAGGTCAATGGTAGAATAGCAAATATCTTCCTATAGAAACTAGACAGAATGATTCTTAGAAACTCCTTTGTGATGTGTGTGTTCAACTCACAGAGTTTAACCTTTCTTTTCATAGAGCAGTTAGTAAACACTCTGTTTATAAAGTCTGCAAGTGGATATTCAGACCCCTTTGAGGCCTTCGTTGGAAACGGGATTTCTTCATATTATGCTAGACAGAAGAATTCTCAGTAACTTCCTTGTGTTGTGTGTATTCAACTCACAGAGTTGAACGATCCTTTACACAGAGCAGACTTGAAACACTCTTTTTGTGGAATTTGCAAGTGGAGATATCAAGCGCTTTGGGGCCAAAACTAGACAGAATCATGCTCAGAAACTGCTCTGCGATGTGTGCGTTCAACTCTCAGAGTTTAACTTTTCTTTTCATTCAGCAGTTTGGAAACACTCTGTTTGTAAAGTCTGCACTTGCATAATTTGACCGCTTAGAGGCCTTCGTTGGAAACGGGTTTTTTTCATGTAAGGCTAGACAGAAGAATTCCCAGTAACTTCCTTGTGTTGTGTGCATTCAACTCACAGAGTTGAACGTTCCCTTAGACAGAGCAGATTTGAAACACTCTATTTGTGCAATTTGCAATTGTAGTTTTCAAGCTCTTTAAGGTCAACGGCAGAAAAGGAAATATCTTCGTTTCAAAACTAGACAGAATCATTCCCACAAACTGCGTTGTGATGTGTTCGTTCAACTCACAGAGTTTAACCTTTCTGTTCATAGAGCAGTTAGGAAACACTCTTTTTGTAAAGTCTGTAAGTGGATATTCTGACATCTTGTGGCCTTCGTTAGAAACGGGATTTTTTCATATTCTGCTAGACAGAAGAATTCTCAGTAACTTCCTTGTGTTGTGTGTATTCAACTCACAGAGTTGAACGATCCTTTACACAGAGCAGACTTGTAACACTCTTTTTGTGTAATTTGCAAGTGGAGATTTCAGCCGCTTTGAAGTCACAGGTAGAAAAGGAAATATCTTCCTATAAAAACTAGACAGAATGATTCTCAGAAACTCCTTTGTGATGTGTGCGTTCAGCTCACAGAGTTTAACCTTTCTTTTCATAGAGCAGTTCGGAAACACTCTGTTTGTAAAGTCTGCAAGTGGATATTCAGACCTCTTTGAGGCCTTCGTTGGAAACGGGATTTCTTCATATTCTGCTAGACAGAAGATTCCCAGTAACTTCCTTGTGTTGTGTGTGTTCAACTCACAGAGTTGAACTTTGATTTACACAGAGCAGATTTGAAACACTCTTTTTGTGGAATTTGCAAGTGGAGATTTCAAGCGCTTTGAGGCCAAAGGCAGAAAAGGAAATATCTTCGTATAAAAACTAGACAGAATCATTCTCAGAAACTGCTCTGCGATGTGTGCGTTCAACTCTCAGAGTTTAACTTTTCTTTTCATTCAGCAGTTTGGAAACACTCTGTTTGTAAAGTCTGCAGGTGGATACTTTGACCACTTAGAGACCTTCGTTGGAAACGGGTTTTTTTCCTGTAAGGCTAGACAGAAGAATTCCCAGTAACTTCCTTGTGTTGTGTGCATTCAACTCACAGAGATGAACGTTCCCTTAGACAGAGCAGATTTGAAACACTCTATTTGTGCAATTTGCAAGTGTAGATTTCAAGCGCTTTAAGGTCAATGGCAGAAAAGGAAATATCTTCGTTTCAAAACTAGACAGTATCATTCCCACAAACTGCGTTGTGATGTGTTCGTTCAACTCACAGAGTTTAACCTTTCTTTTCATAGAGCAGTTAGGAAACAGTCTGTTTGTAAATTCTGTAAGTGGATATTCTGACATCTTGTGGCCTTCGTTGGAAACGCGATTTCTTCATATTCTGCTAGACAGAAGAATTCTCAGAATCTTCCTTGTGTTGTGTGTATTCAACTCAAAGAGTTGAACGATCCTTTACACAGAGCAGACTTGAAACTCTCTTTTTGTGGAATTTGCAAGTGGAGATTTCAGCCGCTTTGAGGTCCATGGTAGAAAAGGAAATATCTTCGTATAAAAACTAGACAGAATGATTCTGAGAAACTCCTTTGTGATGTGTGCGTTCAACTCACAGAGTTTAACCTTTCTTTTCATAGAGCAGTTAGGAAACACTCTGTTTTTAAAGTCTGCAAGTGGATATTCAGACCTCCTTGAGGCCTTCGTTGGAAACGGGATTTCTTCATATTATGCTAGACAGAAGAATTCCAGTAACTTCCTTGTGTTTTGTGTGTTGAACTCACAGAGTTGAACTTTCATTTACACAGAGCAGATTTGAAACACTCTTTTTGTGGAATTTGCAAGTGGAGATTTCAAGGGCTTTGAGGCCAAAGGCAGAAAAGGAAATATCTTCGTTTCAAAACTAGACAGAATCATTCTCAGAAACTGCTGCGTGATGTGTGCGTTCAACTCTCAGAGTTTAAGTTTTCTTTTCATTCAGCGGTTTGGAAACACTCTGTTTGTAAAGTCTGCACGTGGAAATTTTGACCACTTAGAGGCCTTCGTTGGAAACGGGTTTTTTTCATGTAAGGCTAGACAGAAGAATTCCCAGTAACTTCCTTGTGTTGTGTGCATTCAACTCACAGAGTTGAACGTTCCCTTAGACAGAGCAGATTTGAAACACTCTATTTGTGCAATTTGCAAGTGTAGTTTTCAAGCTCTTTAAGGTCAATGGCAGAAAAGGAAATATCTTCGTTTCAAAACTAGACAGAATGATTCTCAGAAACTCCTCTGTGATGTGTGCGTTCAACTCACAGAGTTTAACTTTTCTTTTCATAGAGCAGTTAGGAAACACTCTGTTTGTAAAGTCTACAAGTGGATATTCAGACCTCTGTGAGGCCCTCGTTGGAAACGGGATTTCTTCATATTATGCTAGACAGAAGAATTCTCAGTAACTTCCTTGTGTTGTGTGTATTCAACTCACAGAGTTGAACGATCCTTTACACAGAGCAGACTTGAAACACTCTTTTTGTGGAATTTGCAAGTGGAGATTTCAGCCACTTTGAGGTCAATAGTAGAAAAGGAAATATCTTCGTAGAAAAACTAGACATAATGATTCTCAGAAACCCATTTGTGATGTGTGCGTTCCACTCACAGAGTTTAACCTTTCTTTTCATAGAGCAGTTAGGAAACACTCTGTTTGTAAAGTCTGCAAGGGGATATTTAGACCTCTTTGAGGCCTTCGTTGGAAACGGGATTTCTTCATATTCTGCTAGACAGAAGAATTCTCAGTAACTTCCTTGTGTTGTGTGTATTCAACTCACAGAGTTGAACTTTCATTTAGAGAGAGCAGATTTGAAACACTGTTTTTGTGGAATTTGCAAGTGGAGATTTCAAGCGCTTTGTGGCCAAAGGCAGAAAAGGAAATATCTTCGTATAAAAACTAGACAGAATCATTCTCAGAAACTGCTCTGCGATGTGTGCGTTCAACTCTCAGAGTTTAACTTTTCTTTTCATTCACCAGTTTGGAAACACTCTGTTTGTAAAGTCTGCACGTGGATATTTTGACCACTTAGAGGCCTTCGTTGGAAACGGGTTTTTTTCCTGTAAGGCTAGACAGAAGAATTCCCAGGAACTTCCTTGTTTTGCGTACATTCAACTCACACATTTGAACGTTCCCTTAGACAGAGTAGATTTGAAACACTCTTTTTGTGCAATTGGCAAGTGGTGATTTCAGCCGCTTTGAGGTCAATGGTAGAAAAGGAAATATCTTCGTATAAAAACTAGACAGAATGATTCTGAGAAACTCCTTTGTGATGTGTGCGTTCAACTCACACAGTTTAACCTTTCTTTTCATAGAGCAGTTAGGAAACACTCTGTTTGTAAAGTCTGCAAGTGGATATTCAGACGTCCTTGAGGCCTTCGTTGGAAACGGGATTTCTTCATATTCTGCTAGACAGAAGAATTCTCAGTAAATTCCTTGTGTTGTGTGTATTCAACTCACAGAGTTGAACGATCCTTTACACAGAGCAGACTTGAAACTCTCTTTTTGTGGAATTTGCAAGTGGAGATTTCAGCCGCTTTGAGGTCAATGGTAGAAAAGGAAATATCTTCGTATAGAAACAAGACAGAATGATTCTCAGAAACTTCTTTGTGATGTGTGCGTTCAACTCACAGAGTTTAACCTTTCTTTTCATGGAGCAGTTAGGAAACACTCTGTTTGTAAACTCTGCAAGTGGATATTCAGACCTATTTGAGGCCTTCGTTGGAAACGGGATTTCTTCATACTGTGCTAGACAGAAGAATTCTCAGTAACTTCCTTGTGTTGTGTGTTTTTAACTGACAGAGTTGAACTTTCATTTAGAGAGAGCAGATTTGAAACACTGTTTTTGTGGAATTTGCAAGTGGAGATTTCAAGCGCTGTGGGGCCAAAGGCAGAAAAGGAAATATCTTCGTATAAAAACTAGACAGAATCATTCTCAGAAACTGCTCTGCGATGTGTGCGTTCAACTCTCAGAGTTTAACTTTTCTTTTCATTCAGCTGTTTGGAAACACTCTGTTTGTAAAATCTGCACGTGGACAATTTGACCACTTAGAGGCCTTCGTTGGAAACGGGTTTTTTTCATGTAAGGCTAGACAGAAGAATTCTCAGTAACTTCCTTGTGTCGTGTGTATTCAACTCACAGAGTTGAACGATCCTTTACACAGAGCAGACTTGTAACACTCTTTTTGTGGAATTTGCAAGTGGAGATTTCAGCCGCTTTGATGTCAAAGGTAGAAAAGGAAATATCTTCCTATAAAAACTAGACAGAATCATTCCCACAAACTGCGTTGTGATGTGTTCGTTCAACTCACAGAGTTTAACCTTTCTGTTCATAGAGCAGTTAGGAAACACTCTGTTTGTAAAGTCTGTAAGTGGATATTCTGACATCTTGAGGCCTTCGTTGGAAACGGGATTTCTTCATATTCTGCTAGACAGAAGAATTCCCAGTAACTTCCTTGTGTTGTGTGCATTCAACTCACAGAGTTGAACGATCCTTCACACAGAGCAGATTAGAAACACTCTTTTTATTGGAATTTGCAAGTGGAGATTTCAGCCGCTTTGAGGTCAATGGTAGAAAAGGAAATATCTTCGTATAAAAACTAGACAGAATGATTCTCAGAAACTCCTTTGTGATGTGTGCGTTCAACTCACAGAGTTCAACCTTTCTTTTCATAGAGCAGTTGGGAAACACTCTGTTTGTAAAGTCTGCAAGTGGATATTCAGACTTCTTTGAGGCCTTCGTTGGAAGTGGGATTTCTTCATGTTCTGCTAGACAGAAGAATTCTCAGTAACTTCCTTGTGTTGTGTGTATTCAACTCACAGAGTTGAACGATGCTTTACACAGAGCAGACTTGAAACACTCTTTTTGTGGAATTTGCAAGTGGAGATTTCAGCCGCTTTGTGGTCAATAGTAGAATAGGAAATATCTTCCTATAGAAACTAGACAGAATGATTCTCAGAAACTCCTTTGTGATGTGTGCGTTCAACTCACAGAGTTTACCCTTTCTTTTCATAGAGCAGTTAGGAAACACTCTGTTTGTAAAGTCTGCAAGTGGATATTCAGACATCCTTGAGGCTTTCGTTGGAAACGGGATTTCTTCATATTCTGCCAGAAAGAAGAATTCTCAGTAACTTCCTTGTGTTGTGTGTATTCAACTCACAGAGTTGAACGATCCTTTACACAGTAGCAGACTTGAAACACTCTTTTTGTGGAATTTGCAAGTGGAGATTTCAGCCGCTTTGAGGTCAATGGTAGAATAGGAAATATCTTCCTATAGAAACTAGACAGAATCATTCTCAGAAACTGCTGCGTGATGTGTGCGTTCAACTCTCAGAGTTTAACTTTTCTTTTCATTCAGCGGTTTGGAAACACTCTGTTTATAAAGTCTGCACGTGGATATTTTGACCACTTAGAGGCCTTCGTTGGAAACGGGTTTTTTTTCATGTAAGGCTACACAGAAGAATTTCCAGTAACTTCCTTGTGTTGTGTGCATTCAACTCACAGAGTTGAACGTTCCCTTAGACAGAGCAGATTTGAAACACTCTATTTGTGCAATTTGCAAGTGTAGATTTCAAGCGCTTTAAGGTCAAAGGCAGAAAAGGAAATATCTTCGTTTCTAAACTAGACAGAATCATTCCCACAAACTGCGTTGTGATGTGTTCGTTCAACTCACAGAGTTTAACCTTTCTGTTCATAGAGCAGTTAGGAAACACTCTGTTTGTAAAGTCTGTAAGTGGATATTCTGACATCTTGCGGCCTTCGTTGGAAACGGGATTTCTTCATATTATGCTAGACAGAATAATTCTCAGTAACTTCCTTGTGTTTTGTGTATTCAACTCACAGAGTTGAACGATCCTTTACAGAGAGCAGAGTTGAAACACTCTTTTTGTGGAATTTGCAAGTGGAGATTTCAGCCGCTTTGAGGTCAATGGTAGAAAAGGAAATATCTTCGTATAAAGACTAGACAGAATGATTCTCAGAAACTCCTTTGTGATGTGTGAGTTCAACTCACAGAGTTTAACCTTTCTTTTCATAGAGCAGTTAGGAAACACTCTGTTTGTAAAGTCTGCAAGTGGATATTCAGACCTCTTTGAGGCCTTCGTTGGAAACGGGATTTCTTCATATTCTGCTAGACAGAAGAATTCTCAGTAACTTCCTTGTATTGTGTGTATTCAACTGACAGAGTTGAACTTTCATTTAGAGAGAGCAGATTTGAAATACTGTTTTTGTGGAATTTGCAAGTGGAGATTTCAAACGCTTTGGGGCCAAAGGCAGAAAAGGAAATATCTTCGTATGAAAACTAGACAGAATCATTCTCAGAAACTGCTCTGCGATGTGTGCGTTCGAACTCTCAGAGTTTAACTTTTCTTTTCATTCAGCAGTTTGGAAACACTCTGTTTGTAAAGTCTGCACGTGGATATTTTGACCACTTAGAGGCCTTCGTTGGAAACGGGTTTTTTTCCTGTCAGGCTAGACAGAAGAATTCCCAGTAACTTCCGTGTGTTGTGTACATTCAACTCACAGAGTTGAACGTTCCCTTAGACAGAGCAGACTTGTCACACTCTTTTTGTGGAATTTGCAAGTGGAGATTTCAGCCGCTTTGAAGTCAAAGGTAGAAAAGGAAATATCTTCCTATAAAAACTAGACAGAATGATTCTCAGAAACTCGTTTGTGATGTGTGTGTTCAACTCACAGAGTTTAACCTTTCTTTTCATAGAGCAGTTAGGAAACACTCTGTTTGTAAAGTCTGCAAGTGGATATTCAGACCTCTTTGAGGCCTTCGTTGGAAACGGGGTTTTTTCATATAAGGCTAGACAGAAGAATTCTCAGAAACTTCCTTGTGTTGTGTAATTTCAACTCACAGAGTTGAACGATGCTTTACACAGAGTAGACTTGAAACACTCTTTTTGTGGAATTTGCAAGTGGAGATTTCAGCCGCTTTGAGGTCAATTGTTGAAAAGGAAATATCTTCGTATAAAAACTAGACAGAATGATTCTCAGAAACTCCTTTGTGATGTGTGCGTTCAACTCACAGAGTTTAACCTTTCTTTTCATAGAGGAGTTAGGAAACACTCTGTTTGTAAAGTCTGCAAGTGGATATTCAGACCTCTTTGAGGCCTTCGTTGGAAACGGGTTTTTTTCATATAAGGCTAGACAGAAGAATTCTCAGTAACTTCCTTGTGTTGTGTGTATTCAACTGACAGAGTTGAACTTTCATTTAGAGAGAGCAGATTTTAAACACTGTTTTTGTGGAATTTGCAAGTGGAGATTTCAAGCGCTTTGGGGCCAAAGGCAGAAAAGGAAATATCTTCGTATAAAAACTAGACAGAATCATTCTCAGAAACTGCTCTGCGATGTGTGCGTTCAACTCTCAGAGCTTAACTTTTCTTTTCATTCAGCAATTTGGAAACACTCTGTTTGTAAAGTCTGCACGTGGATAACTTGACCACTTAGAGGCCTTCGTTGGAAACGGGTTTTTTTCATGTAAGGCTAGACAGAAGAATTCTCAGTAACTTCCTTGTGTTGTGTGTATTCAACTCACAGAGTTGAACGATCCTTTACACAGAGCAGACTTGTAACACCCTTTTTGTGGAATTTGCCAGTGGAGATTTCAGCCGCTTTGAAGTCAAAGGTAGAAAAGGAAATATCTTCCTATAAAAACTAGACAGAATCATTCCCACAAACTGCGTTGTGATGTGTTCGTTCAACTCACGGAGTTTAACCTTTCTTTTCATAGAGCAGTTAGGAAACAGTCTGTTTGAAAATTCTGTAAGTGGATATTCTGACAGCTTGTGGCCTTCGTTGGAAACGGGATTTCTTCATATTCTGCTAGACAGAAGAATTCTCAGTAACTTCCTTTTGTTGTGTGTATTCAACTCACGGAGTTGAACGATCCTTTACACAGAGCAGAGTTGAAACACTCTTTTTGTGGAATTTGCAAGTGGAGATTTCAGCCGCTTTGAGGTCAATAGTAGAAAAGGAAATATCTTCGTAGAAAAACTAGACAGAATGATTTTCAGAAACTCCTTTGTGATGTGTGCGTTCAACTCACAGAGTTTAACCTTTCTTTTCATAGAGCAGTTAGGAAACACTCTGTTTGTAAAGTCTGCAAGTGGATATTCAGATATCCTTGAGGTTTTCGTTGGAAACGGGATTTCTTCATATTCTGCTAGAAAGAAGAATTCCCAGTAACTTCCTTGTGTTGTGTGTGTTCAACTCACAGAGTTCAACTTTCATTTACCCAGAGCAGATTTGAAACACTCTTTTTGTGGAATTTGCAAGTGGAGATTTCAAGCGCTTTGAGGCCAAAGGCAGAAAAGGAAATATCTTCGTTTCAAAACTAGACAGAATCATTCTCAGAAACTGCTCTGCGATGTGTGCGTTCAACTCTCAGAGTTTAACTTTGCTTTTCATTCAGCAGTTTGGAAACACTCTGTTTGTAAAGTCTGCACGTGGATAATTTGACCACTTAGAGGCCTTCGTTGGAAACGGGTTTTTTTCATGTAAGCCTAGACAGAAGAATTCCCCGTAACTTCCTTGTGTTGTGTACATTCAACTCACAGAGTTGAACGTTCCCTTAGACAGAGCAGATTTGAAACACTCTTTTTGTGCAATTGGCAAATGGAGATTTCAAGCGCTTTAAGGTCAATGGCAGAAAAGGAAATATCTTCGTTTCAAAACTAGACAGAATCATTCCCACAAACTGCGTTGTGATGGGTTCGTTCAACTCACAGAGTTTAACCTTTCCGTTCATAGAGCAGTTAGGAAACACACTGTTTGTAAAGTCTGTAAGTGGATATTCTGACATCCTTGTGGCCCTCGTTGGAAACGGGATTTCTTCATATTCTGCTAGACAGAAGAATTCTCAGTAACTTCCTTGTGTTGTGTGTATTCAACTCACAGAGTTGAACGATCCTTTACACACAGCAGACTTGAAACACTCTTTTTGTGGAATTTGCAAGTGGAGATTTCAGCCGCTTTGAGGTCAATGGTAGAATAGGAAATATCTTCCTATAGAAACTAGACAGAATGATTCTCAGAAACTCCTTTGTGATGTGTGCGCTCAACTCACAGAGTTTAACCTTTCTTTTCATAGAGCAGTTAGGAAACACTCTGTTTGTAAAGTCTGCAAGTGGATATTCAGACCTCTTTGAGGCCTTCGTAGGAAACGGGATTTCTTCATATTATGCTAGAGAGAAGAATACTCAGTAACTTCCTTGTGTTGTGTGTATTCAACTGACAGAGTTGAACTTTCATTTAGAGAGAGCAGATTTGAAATACTGTTTTTGTGGAATTTGCAAGTGGAGATTTCAAACGCTTTGGGGCCAAAGGCAGAAAAGGAAATATCTTCGTATAAAAACTAGACAGAATCATTCTCAGAAACTGCTCTGCGATGTGTGCGTTCAACTCTCAGAGTTTAACTTTTCTTTTCATTCAGAAGTTTGGAAACACTCTGTTTGTAAAGTCTGCACGTGGATAACTTGACCACTTAGAGGCCTTCGTTGGAAACGGGTTTTTTTCATGTAAGGCTAGACAGAAGAATTCCCAGTAACTTCCTTGTGTTGTGTACATTCAACTCACAGAGTTGAACGTTCCCTTAGAGCAGATTTGAAACACTCTTTTTGTGCAATTGGCAAATGGAGATTTCAAGCGCTTTAAGGTCAATGGCAGAAAAGGAAATATCTTCGTTTCAAAACTAGACAGAATCATTCCCACAAACAGCGTTGTGATGTGTTCGTTCAACTCACAGAGTTTAACCTTTCTTTTCATAGAGCAGTTAGGAAACAGTCTGTTTGAAAATTCTGTAAGTGGATATTCTGACATCTTGTGGCCTTCGTTGGAAACGGGATTTCTTCATATTCTGCTAGACAGAAGAATTCTCAGTAACTTCCGCGTGTTGTGTGTATTCAACTCACAGAGTTGAACGATCCTTTACACAGAGCAGACTTGAAACACTCTTTTTGTGGAATTTGCAAGTGGAGATTTCAGCCGCTTTGAGGTCAATGGTAGAAAAGGAAATATCTTCGTATAAAAACTAGACAGAATGATTCTCAGAAACTCCTTTGTGATGTGTGCGTTCAACTCACAGAGTTTAACCTTTCTTTTCATAGAGCAGTTAGGAAACACTCTGTTTGTAAAGTCTGCAAGTGGATATTCAGACATCTTTGAGGCTTTCGTTGGAAACGGGATTTCTTCATATTCTGCTAGAAAGAAGAATTCCCAGTAACTTCCTTGTGTTGTGTGTGTTCAACTCACAGAGTTGAACTTTCACTTACACAGAGCAGATTTGAAACACTCTTTTTGTGGAATTTGCAAGTGGAGATTTCAAGCGCTTTGAGGCCAAAGGCAGAAAAGGAAATATCTTCGTTTCAAAACTAGACAGAGTCATTCTCAGAAACTGCTGCGTGATGTGTGCGTTCAACTCTCAGAGTTTAACTTTTCTTTTCATTCAGCGGTTTGGAAACACTCTGTTTGTAAAGTCTGCATGTGGAAATTTTGACCACTTAGAGGCCTTCGTTGGAAACGGGTTTTTTTCATGTAAGGCTAGACAGAAGTATTCCCAGTAACTTCCTTCTGTTGTGTGCATTCAACTCACAGAGTTGAACGTTCCCTTAGACAGAGCAGATTTGAAACACTCTATTTGTGCAATTTGCAAGTGTAGATTTCAAGCGCTTTAAGGTCAACGGCAGAAAAGGAAATATCTTCGTTTCAAAACTAGACAGAATCATTCCCACAAACTGCGTTGTGATGTGTTCGTTCAACTCACAGAGTTTAACCTTTCTTTTCATAGAGCAGTTAGGAAACAGTCTGTTTGAAAACTCTGTAAGTGGATATTCTGACATCTTGTGGCCTTCGTTGGAAACGGGATTTCTTCATATTCTGCTAGACAGAAGAATTCTCAGTAACTTCCCTTGTGTTGTGTGTATTCAACTCACAGAGTTGAACGATCCTTTACACAGAGCAGACTTGAAACACACTTTTTGTGGAATTTGCAAGTGGAGATTTCAGCCGTTTTGAGGTCAATGGTAGAAAAGGAAATATCTTCGTATAAAGACTAGACAGAAATGATTCTCAGAAACTCCTTTGTGATGTGTGCGTTCAACTCACAGAGTTTAACCTTTCTTTTCATAGAGCAGTTAGGAAACACTCTGCTTGTAAAGTCTGCAAGTGGATATTCAGCCCTCTTTGAGGCCTTCGTTGGAAATGGGTTTTTTTCATATAAGGCTAGACAGAAGAATTCTCAGTAACTTCCTTGTGTTGTGTGTATTCAACTGACAGAGTTGAACTTTCATTTAGACAGAGCAGATTTGAGACACTCTTTTTGTGGAATTTGCAAAGGTAGATTTCATGCGCTTTGAGGCCAAAGGCAGAAAAGGAAATATCTTCGTATAAAAACTAGACAGAATCATTCTCAGAAACTGCTCTGCGATGTGTGCGTTCAACTCTCAGAGTTTAACTTTTCTTTTCATTCAGCAGTTTGGAAACACTCTGTTTGTAAAGTCTGCACGTGGATAATTTGACCACTTAGAGGCCTTCGTTGGAAACGGGTTTTTTCCTGTAAGGCTAGACAGAAGAATTCCCAGTAACTTCCTTGTGTTGTGTGCATTCCACTCACAGAGTTGAACGTTCCTTTAGACAGAGCAGATTTGAAACACTCTATTTGTGCAATTTGCAAGTGTAGATTTCAAGCGCTTTAAGGTCAATGGCAGAAAAGGAAATATCTTCGTTTCAAAACTAGACAGAATCATTCCCAAAAACTGCGTTGTGATGTGTTCGTTCAGCTCACAGAGTTTAACCTTTCTTTTCATAGAGCAGTTAGGAAACAGTCTGTTTGTAAATTCTGTAAGTGGATATTCTGACATCTTGTGGCCTTCGTTGGAAACGGGATTTCTTCATATTCTGCTAGACAGAAGAATTCTCAGTAACTTCCTTGTGTTGTGTGTATTCAACTCACAGAGTTGAACGATCCTTTACACAGAGCAGACTTGAAACACTCTTTTTGTGGAATTTGCAAGTGGAGATTTCAGCCGCTTTGAGGTCAATGGTAGAAAAGTAAATAACTTCGTATAAAGACTAGACAGAATGATTCTCAGAAACTCCTTTGTGATGTGTGCGCTCAACTCACAGAGTTTAACCTTTCTTTTCATAGAGCAGTTAGGAAACACTCTGTTTGTAAAGTCTGCAAGTGGATATTCAGACCTCTTTGAGGCCTTCGTAGGAAACGGGATTTCTTCATATTATGCTAGACAGAAGAATTCTCAGTAACTTCCTTGTGTTGTGTGTATTCAACTGACAGAGTTGAACTTTCATTTAGAGAGAGCAGATTTGTAACACTGTTTTTGTGGAATTTGCAAGTGGAGATTTCAAGCGCTTTGCGGCCAAAGGCAGAAAAGGAAATATCTTCGTATAAAAACTAGACAGAATCATTCTCAGAAAATCCTCTGTGATGTGTGCGTTCAACTCTCAGAGTTTAACTTTTCTTTTCATTCAGCAGTTTGGAAACACTCTGTTTGTAAAGTCTGCACGTGGATATTTTGACCACTTAGAGGCCTTCTTTGGAAACGGGTTTTTTTCATGTAAGTGTAGACAGAAGAATTCCCAGTAACTTCCTTGTGTTGTGTGCATTCAACTCACAGAGTTGAACGTTCCCTTAGACAGAGCACATTTGAAACACTCTATTTGTGTAATTTGCAAGTGTAGATTTCAAGCGCTTTAAGGTCAACGGCAGAAAAGGAAATATCTTCGTTTCAAAACTAGACAGAATCATTCTCAGAAACTGCTCTGCGATGTGTGCGTTCAACTCTCAGAGTTTAACTTTTCTTTTCATTCAGCAGTTTGGAAACACTCTGTTTGTAAAGTCTGCAAGTGGATATTCAGACCTCTTTGAGGCCTTCGTTGGAAACGGGATTTCTTCATACTATGCTAGACAGAAGAATTCTCAGTAACTTCCTTGTGTTGTGTGTATTCAACTCACAGAGTTGAATGATCCTTTACACAGAGCAGACATGAAACACTCTTTTTGTGGAATTTGCAAGTGGAGATTTCAGCCGCTTTGAGGTCAATGGTAGAAAAGGGAATATCTTCGTATAGAAACTAGACAGAATGATTCTCAGAAACTCCTTTGTGATGTGTGCGTTCAGCTCACAGAGTTTAACCTTTCTTTTCATAGAGCAGTTAGGAAACACTCTGTTTGTAAAGTCTGCAAGTGGATATTCAGACCTCTTTGAGGCCTTCGTTGGAAACGGGATTTCTTCATATTCTGCTAGACAGAACAATTCTCAGTAACTTCCTTGTGTTGTGTGTGTTCAACTCACAGAGTTGAACTTTCATTTACACAGAGCAGATTTGAAACACTCTTTTTGTGGAATTTGCAAGTGGAGATTTCAAGCGCTTTGAGGCCAAAGGCAGAAAAGGAAATATCTTCGTATAAAAACTAGACAGAATCATTCTCAGAAACTGCTGCGTGATGTGTGCGTTCAACTCTCAGAGTTTAACTTTTCTTTTCATTCAGCGGTTTGGAAACACTCTGTTTGTAAAGTCTGCACGTGGATATTTTGACCACTTAGAGGCCTTCGTTGGAAACGGGTTTTTTTCATATAAGGCTAGACAGAAGAATTCTCAGTAACTTCCTTGTGTTGTGTGTATTCAACTCACACAGTTGAACGATCCTTTACACAGAGTAGACTTGTAACACTCTTTTTGTGGAATTTGCAAGTGGAGATTTCAGCCGCTTTGAAGTCAAATGTAGAAAAGGAAATATCTTCCTATAAAAACTAGACAGAACGATTCTCAGTAAACTCCTTTGTGATGTGTGCGTTCAACTCACAGAGTTTAACCTTTCTTTTCATAGAGCAGTTAGGAAACACTCTGTTTGTAAAGTCTGCAAGTGGATATTCAGACCTCTTTGAGGCCTTCGTTGGAAACGGGATTTCTTCATATTCTGCTAGACAGAAGAATTCTCAGTAACTTCTTTGTGTTGTGTGTATTCAACTCACAGAGTTGAACGATCCTTTACACAGAGCAGACTTGAAACACTCTTTTTGTGGAATTTGCAAGTGGAGATTTCAGCCGCTTTGAGGTCAATAGTAGAAAAGGAAATATCTTCGTAGAAAAACTAGACAGAATGATTCTCAGAAACTCCTTTGTGATGTGTGCGTTCAACTCACAGAGTTCAACCTTTCTTTTCATAGAGCAGTTGGGAAACACTCTGTTTGTAAAGTCTGCAAGTGGATATTCAGACTTCTTTGAGGCCTTCGTTGGAAGCGGGATTTCTTCATGTTCTGCTAGAAAGAAGAATTCCCAGTAACTTCCTTGTGTTGTGTGTGTTCAACTCACAGAGTTGAACTTTCATTTACCCAGAGCAGATTTGAAACTCTCTTTTTGTGGAATTTGCAAGTGGAGATTTCAAGCGCTTTGAGGCCAAAGGCAGAAAAGGAAATATCTTCGTTTCAAAACTAGACAGAATCATTCTCAGAAACTGCTGCGTGATTTGTGCGTTCAACTCTCAGAGTTTAACTTTTCTTTTCATTCAGCGGTTTGGAAACACTCTGTTTGTAAAGTCTGCACGTGGATATTTTGACCACTTAGAGGCCTTCGTTGGAAACGGGTTTTTTTCATGTAAGGCTAGACAGAAGAATTCCCAGTAACTTCCTTGTGTTGTGTGCATTCAACTCACAGAGTTGAACGTTCCCTTAGACAGAGCAGATTTGAAACACTCTATTTGTTCAATTTGCAAGTGTAGATTTCAAGCGCTTTAAGGTCAACGGCAGAAAAGGAAATATCTTCGTTTCAAAACTAGACAGAATCATTCCCACAAACTGCGTTGTGATGTGTTCGTTCAACTCACAGAGTTTAACCTTTCTTTTCATAGAGCAGTTAGGAAACAGTCTGTTTGTCAATTCTGTAAGTGGATATTCTGACATCTTGTGGCCTTCGTTGGAAACGGAATTTCTTCATATTCTGCTAGACAGAAGAATTCTCAGTAACTTCCTTGTGTTGTGTGTATTCAACTCACAGAGTTGAACGATCCTTTACACAGAGCAGACTTGAAATACTCTTTTTGTGGAATTTGCAAGTGGAGATTTCAGCCGCTTTGAGGTCAATGGTAGAAAAGGGAATATCTTCGTATAGAAACTAGACAGAATGATTCTCAGAAACTCCTTTGTGATGTGTGCGTTCAACTCACAGAGTTTAACCTTTCTTTTCATAGAGCAGTTAGGAAACACTCTGTTTGTAAAGTCTGCACGTGGATATTTGGACTTCTTTGAGGCCTTCGTTGGAAACGGGTTTTTTTCATGTAAGGCTAGACAGAAGAATTTTCAGTAACTTCCTTGTGTTGTGTGTATTCAACTGACAGAGTTGAACTTTCATTTAAAGAGAGCAGATTTGTAACACTGTTTTTGAGGAATTTGCAAGTGGAGATTTCAAGCGATTTGCGGCCAAAGGCAGAAAAGGAAATGTCTTCGTATAAAAACTAGACAGAATCATTCTCAGAAACTGCTGCATGATGTGTGCGTTCAACTCTCAGAGTTTAACTTTTCTTTTCATTCAGCGGTTTGGAAACACTCTGTTTGTAAAGTCTGCACCTGGATATTTTGACGACTTAGACGCCTTCGTTGGAAACGGGTTTTTTTCATGTAAGGCTAGACAGAAGAATTCCCAGTAACTTCCTTGTGTTGTGTGCATTCAACTCAAAGAGTTGAACGTTCCATTAGACAGAGCAGATTTGAAACACTCTATTTGTGCAATTTGCAAGTGTAGATTTCAAGCGCTTTAAGGTCAATGGCAGAAAAGGAAATATCTTCGTTTCAACACAAGACAGAATCATTCTCACAAACTGCGTTGTGATGTGTTCGTTCAACTCACAGAGATTAACCTTTCTGTTCATAGAGCAGTTAGGAAACACTCTGTTTGTAAAGTCTGTAAGTGGATATTCTGACATCTTGTGGCCTTCGTTGGAAACGGGATTTCTTCATATTCTGCTAGACAGAAGAATTCTCAGTAACTTCCTTGTGTTGTGTGTATTCAACTCACAGAGTTGAACGATCCTTTACACAGGGCAGACTTGAAACACTCTTTTTGTGGAATTTGCAAGTGGAGATTTCAGCCGCTTTGAGGTCAATGGTAGAAAAGGGAATATCTTCGTTTAGAAACTAGACTGAATGATTCTCAGAAACTCCTTTGTGATGTGTGCGTTCAACTCACAGAGTTTAACCTTTCTTTTCATAGAGCAGTTAGGAAATACTCTGTTTGTAAAGTCTGCAAGTGGATATTCAGACATCCTTGAGGCTTTCGTTGGAAACGGGATTTCTTCATATTCTGCTAGAAAGAATAATTCTCAGTAACTTCCTTGTGTTGTGTGTATTCAACTCACAGTGTTGAACGATCCTTTACAGAGAGCAGACTTGAAACACTCTTTTTGTGGAATTTGCAAGTGGAGATTTCAGCCGCTTTGAGGTCAATGGTAGAATAGGAAATATCTTCCTATAGAAACTAGACAGAATCATTCTCAGAAACTGCTCTGTGATGTGTGCGTTCAACTCTCAGAGTTTAACTTTTCTTTTCATTCAGCAGTGTGGAAAAACTCTGTTTCTAAAGTCTGCACGTGGATATTCTGACCACTTAGAGGCCTTCGTTGGAAACGGGTTTTTTTCCTGTAAGGCTAGACAGAAGAATTCCCAGTAACTTCCTTGTGTTGTGTGCATTCAACTCACAGAGTTGAACGTTCCCTTAGACAGAGCAGATTTGAAACACTCTATTTGTGCAATTTGCAAGTGTAGATTTCCAGCTCTTTATGGTCAACGGCAGAAAAGGAAATATCTTCGTTTCAAAACTAGACAGAATGATTCTCAGAAACTCCTTTGTGATGTGTGCGTTCAACTCACAGAGTTTAACCTTTCTTTTCATAGAGCAGTTAGGAAACACTCTGTTTGTAAAGTCTGCAAGTGGATATTCAGACATCCTTGAGGCTTTCGTTGGAAACGGGATTTCTTCATATTCTGCTGGAAAGAAGAATTCTCAGAATCTTCCTTGTGTTGTGTGTATTCAACTCACAGAGTTGAACGATGATTTACACAGAGCAGATTTGAAACACTCTTTTTGTGGAATTTGCAAGTGGAGATTTCAGCCGCTTTGAGGTCAGTGGTAGAAAAGGAAATATCTTCATATAAAAATTAGACAGAATGATTCTCAGAAACTCCTTTGTGATGTGTGCGTTCAACTCACAGAGTTTAACCTTTCTTTTCATAGAGCAGTTAGGAAACACTCTGTTTGTAAAGTCTGCAAGTGGATATTCTGACCTCCTTGAGGCCTTCGTGGGAAACGGGATTTCTTCATATTCTGCTAGACAGAAGAATTCTCAGTAACTTCCTTGTGTTGTGTGTATTCAACTGACAGAGTTGAACTTTCATTTAGAGAGAGCAGATTTATAACACTGTTTTTGTGGAATTTGCAAGTGGAGATTTCAAGCGCTTTGGGGCCAAAGGCAGAACAGGAAATATCTTCGTATAAAAACTAGACAGAATCATTCTCAGAAAATGCTCTGTGATGTGTGCATTCAACTCTCAGAGTTTAACGTTTCTTTTCATTCAGCAGTTTGGAAACACTCTGTTTGTAAAGTCTGCACGTGGATATTTTGACCACTTAGAGGCCTTCGTTGGAAACGGGTTTTTTTCATGTAAGGGTAGACAGAAGAATTCCCAGTAACTTGCCTTGTGTTGTGTGCATTCAACTCACAGAGCTGAACGTTCCCTTAGACAGAGCAGATTTGAAACACTCTATTTGTGCAATTTGCAAGTGTAGATTTCAAGCGCTTTAAGGTCAATGGCAGAAAAGGAAATATGCTTCGTTTCAAAACTAGACAGAATGATTCTCAGAAACTCCTTTGTGATGTGTGCGTTCAACTCACAGAGTTTAACCTTTCTTTTTATAGAGCAGTTAGGAAACACTCTCTAAAGTCTGCAAGTGGATATTCAGACCTCCTTGACGTCTTCGTTGGAAACGGGATTTCTTCATATTCTGCTAGACAGAAGAATTCTCAGTAACTTCCTTGTATTGTGTGTATTCAACTCACAGAGTTGAACGATCCTTTACACAGAGCAGACTTGAAACACTCTCTTTGTGGAATTTGCAAGTGGAGATTTCAGCCGCTTTGAGGTCAATGGTAGAATAGGAAATATCTTCCTATAGAAACAAGACAGAATGATTCTCAGAAACTCCTTTGTGATGTGTGCGTTCAACTCACAGAGTTTAACCTTTCTTTTCATAGAGCAGTTAGGAAACACTCTGTTTGTAATGTCTGCAGGTGGATATTCAGACATCTTTGAGGCTTTCGTTGGAAACGGGATTTCTTCATATTCTGCTATACAGAAGAATTCTCATTAACTTCCTTGTGTTGTGTGTATTCAACTGACAGAGTTGAACTTTCATTTAGAGAGAGCAGATTTGAAACACTGTTTTTGTGGAATTTGCAAGTGGAGATTTCAAGCGCTTTGGGGCCAAAGGCAGAAAAGGAAATATCTTCGTATAAAAACTAGACAGAATCATTCTCAGAAAACTGCTGCGTGATGTGTGCGTTCAACTCTCAGAGTTTAACTTTTCTTTTCATTCAGCGGTTTGGAAACACTCTGTTTGTAAAGTCTGCACGTGGATATTTTGACCACTTAGAGGCCTTCGTTGGAAACGGGTTTTTTTTCATGTAAGGCTAGACAGAAGAATTCCCAGTAACTTCCTTGTGTTGTGTACATTCAATTCACAGAGTTGAACGTTCCCTTAGACAGAGCAGATTTGAAACACTCTTTTTGTGCAATTGGCAAGTGGAGATTTCAAGCGCTTTAAGGTCAATGGCAGAAAAGGAAATATCTTCGTTTCAAAACTAGACAGAATCATTCCCACAAACTGCGTTGTGATGTGTTCGTTCAACCCACAGAGTTTAACCTTTCTGTTCATAGAGCAGTTAGGAAACACTCTGTTTGTAAAGTCTGAAAGTGGATATTCTGACATCTTGTGGCCTTCGTTGGAAACGGGATTTCTTCATATTCTGCTAGACAGAAGAATTCTCAGTAACTTCCTTGTGTTGTGTGTATTCAACTCACAGAGTTGAACGATCCTTTACAGAGAGCAGACTTGAAACACTCTTTTTGTGGAATTTGCAAGTGGAGATTTCAGCCGCTTTGAGGTCAATAGTAGAATAGGAAATATCTTCGTAGAAAAACTAGACAGAATGATTCTCAGTAACTCCTTTGTGATGTGTGCGTTCAACTCACAGAGTTTAACCTTTCTTTTCATAGAGCAGTTAGGAAACACTCTGTTTGTAGAGTCTGCAAGTGGATATTCAGACCTCCTTGAGGCCTTCGTTGGAAACGGGATTTCTTCCTATTATGCTAGACAGAAGAATTCTCGGGAACTTCCTTGTGTTGTGTGTATTCAACTGACAGAGTTGAACTTTCATTTAGAGAGAGCAGATTTGAAACACTGTTTTTGTGGAATTTGCAAGTGGAGATTTCAAACGCTTTGGGGCCAAAGGCAGAAAAGGAAATATATTCCTATAAAAACTAGACAGAATCATTCTCAGAAACTGCTGCGTGATGTGTGCGTTCAACTCTCAGAGTTTAACTTTTCTTTTCATTCAGCGGTTTGGAAACACTCTGTTTGTAAAGTCTGCCCGTGGATATTTTGACCACTTAGAGGCCTTCGTGGGAAACGGGTTTTTTTCACGTAAGGCTAGACAGAAGAATTCCCAGTAACTTCCTTGTGTTGTGTGCATTCAACTCACAGAGTTGAACGTTCCCTTAGACAGAGCAGATTTGAAATACTCTATTTGTGCAATTTGCAAGTGTAGATTTCAAGCGCTTTAAGGTCAACGGCAGAAAAGGAAATATCTTCGTTTCAAAACTAGACAGAATGATTCTCAGAAACTTCATTGTGACGTGTGCGTTCAACTCACAGAGTTTAACCTTTCTTTTCATAGAGCAGTTAGGAAACACTCTGTTTGTAAAGTCTGCATGTGGATATTCAGACCTCTTTGAGGCCTTCGTTGGAAACGGGATTTCTTCATACTGTGCTAGACAGAAGAATTCTCAGTAACTTCCTTGTGTTGTGTGTATTCAACTCACAGAGTTGAACGATCCTTTACACAGAGCGGACTTGAAACACACTTTTTGTGGAATTTGCAAGTGGAGATTTCAGCCGCGTTGAGGTCAATGGTAGAAAAGGAAATATCTTCGTATAAAAACTAGACAGAATGATTCTCAGAAACTCCTTTGTGATGTGTGCGTTCAACTCACAGAGTTTAACCTTTCTTTTCATAGAGCAGTTAGGAAACACTCTGTTTGTAAAGTCTGCAAGTGGATTCTCAGTCCTCTTTGAGGCTTTCTTTGGAAACGGCATTTCTTCATATTATGCTAGACAGAAGAATTCCCAGTAACTTCATTGTGTTGTGTGTGTTCAACTCACAGAGTTGAACTTCCATTTACACAGAGCAGATTTGAAACACTCTTTTTGTGGAATTTGCAAGTGGAGATTTCAAGCGATTTGAGGCCAAAGGCAGAAAAGGAAATATCTTCGTTTCAAAACTAGACAGAATCATTCTCAGAAACTGCTGCGTGATGTGTGCGTTCAACTCTCAGAGTTTAACTTTTCTTTTCATTCAGCGGTTTGGAAACACTCTGTTTGTAAAGTCTGCACGTGGAAATTTTGACCACTTAGATGCCTTCGTTGGAAACGGGTTTTTTTCATGTAAGGCTAGACAGAAGAATTCCCAGTAACTTCCTTGTGTTGTGTGCATTCAACTCACAGAGTTGAACGTTCCCTTAGACAGAGCAGATTTGAAAAACTCTATTTGTGCAATTTGCAAGTGTAGATTTCAAGCGCTTTAAGGTCAACGGCAGAAAAGGAAATATCTTCGTTTCAAAACTAGACAGAATCATTCCCACAAACTGCGTTGTGAAGTGTTCGTTCAACTCACAGAGTTTAACCTTTCTGTTCATAGAGCAGTTAGGAAACACTCTGTTTGTAAAGTCTGTAAGTGGATATTCTGACATCTTGTGGCCTTCGTTGGAAAAGGGATTTCTTCATATTCTGCTAGACAGAAGAATTCTCAGTAACTTCCTTGTGTTGTGTGTATTCAACTCACAGAGTTGAACGATCCTTTACACAGAGCAGACTTGAAACACTCTTTTTGTGGAATTTGCAAGTGGAGATTTCAGCCGCTTTGGGGTCAATGGTAGAAAAGGAAATATCTTCGTATAAAAACTAGACAGAATGATTCTCAGAAACTCCTTTGTGATGTGTGCGTTCAACTCACAGAGTTCAACCTTTCTTTTCATAGAGCAGTTGGGAAACACTCTGTTTGTAATGTCTGCAAGTGGATATTCAGACTTCTTTGAGGCCTTCGTTGGAAGCGGGATTTCTTCATGTTCTGCTAGACAGAAGAATTCTCAGTAACTTCCTTGTGTTGTGTGTATTCAACTCACACAGTTGAACGATCCTTTACACAGAGCAGACTTGTAACACTCTTTTTGTGGAATTTGCAAGTGGAGATTTCAGCCGCTTTGAAGTCAAAGGTAGAAAAGGAAATAACTTCCTATAAAAACTAGACAGAATGATTCTCAGAAACTCCTTTGTGATGTGGGTGTTCAACTCACAGAGTTTAACCTTTCTTTTCGTAGAGCAGTTAGGAAACACTGTGATTGTAAAGTCTGCAAGTGGATATTCCGACCTCTTTGAGGCCTTCGTTGGAAACGGGTTTTTTTCATATAAGACTAGACAGAAGAATTCTCAGTAACTTCCTTGTGTTGTGTGTATTCAACTGACAGAGTTGAACTTTCATTTAGAGAGAACAGATTTGAAACACTGTTTTTGTGGAATTTGCAAGTGGAGATTTCAAGCGCTTTGGGGCCAAAGGCAGAAAAGGGAATATCTTCGTAGAAAAACAAGACAGAATCATTCTCAGAAACTGCTCTGCGATGTGTGCGTTCAACTCTCAGAGTTTAACTTTTCTTTTCATTCAGCAGTTTGGAAACACTCTGTTTGTAAAGTCTGCACGTGGATATTTTGACCACTTAGAGGCCTTCGTTGGAAACGAGTTTTTTTCCTGTAAGGCTAGACAGAAGAATTCCCCGTAACTTCCTTGTGTTGTGTGCATTCAACTCACAGAGTTGAACGTTCCCTTAGACAGAGCAGATTTGAAACACTCTATTTGTGCAATTTGCAAGTGTAGATTTCAAGCGCTTTAAGGTCAATGGCAGAAAAGGAAATATCTTCGTTTCAAAACTAGACAGAATCATTCCCACAAACTGCGTTGTGATGTGTTCGTTCAACTCACAGAGTTTAACCTTTCCGTTCATAGAGCAGTTAGGAAACACTCTGTTTGTAAAGTCTGTAAGTGGATATTCTGACATCTTGTGGCCATCGTTGGAAACGGGATTTCTTCATATTCTGCTAGACAGAAGAATTCTCAGTAACTTCCTTGTGTTGTGTGCATTTAACTCACAGAGTTGAACGATCCTTTACACAGAGCAGACTTGAAACACTCTTTTTGTGGAATTTGCAAGTGGAGATTTCAGCCGCTTTGAGGTCAATGGTAGAAAAGGAAATATCTTCGTATAAAGACTAGACAGAATCATTCTCAGAAAGTCCTTTGTGATGTGTGTGTTCAACTCACAGAGTTTAACCTTTCTTTTCATAGAGCAGTTAGTAAACACTCTGTTTATAAAGTCTGCAAGTGGATATTCAGACCCCTTTGAGGCCTTCGTTGGAAACGGGATTTCTTCATATTATGCTAGACAGAAGAATTCCCAGTAACTTCCTTGTGTTGTGTGTGTTCAACTCACAGAGTTGAACTTCCATTTACACAGAGCAGATTTGAAACACTCTTTTTGTGGAATTTGCAAGTGGAGATTTCAAGCGATTTGAGGCCAAAGGCAGAAAAGGAAATATCTTCGTTTCAAAACTAGACAGAATCATTCTCAGAAACTGATGCGTGATGTGTGCGTTCAACTCTCAGAGTTTAACTTTTCTTTTCATTCAGGGGTTTGGAAACACTCTGTCTGTAAAGTCTGCACGTGGATATTTTGACCACTTAGAGGCCTTCGTTGGAAAAGGGTTTTTTTCATGTAAGGCTAGACAGAAGAATTCCCAGTAACTTCCTTGTGTTGTGTGCATTCAACTCACAGAGTTGAACGTTCCCTTAGACAGAGCACATTTGAAACACTCTATTTGTGCAATTTGCAATTGTAGATTTCAAGCGCTTTAAGGTCAATGGCAGAAAAGGAAATATCTTCGTTTTAAAACTAGACAGAATCATTCCCACAAACTGCGTTGTGATGTGTTCGTTCAACTCACAGAGTTTTACCTTTCTGTTCATAGAGCAGTTAGGAAACACTCTGTTTGTAAAGTCTGTAAGTGGATATTCTGACATCTTGTGGCCTTCGTTGGAAATGGGATTTCTTCATATTCTGCTAGACAGAAGAATTCTCAGTAACTTCCTTGTGTTGTGTGTATTCAACTCACAGAGTTGAACGATCCTTTACACAGAGCAGACTTGAAACACTCTTTTTGTGGAATTTGCAAGTGTAGATTTCAGCCGCTTTGAGGTCAATAGTAGAAAAGGAAATATCTTCGTAGAAAAACTAGACAGAATGATTCTCAGAAACTCCTTTGTGATGTGTGCGTTCAACTCACAGAGTTTAACCTTTCTTTTCATAGAGCAGTTAGGAAACACTCTGTTTGTAAAGTCTGCAAGTGGATATTCAGACCTCTTTGAGGCCTTCGTTGGAAACGGGTTTTTTTCTTGTAAGGCTAGACAGAAGAATTCCCAGTAACTTCCTTGTGTTGTATACATTCAACTCACAGAGTTGAACGTTCCCTTAGACAGAGCAGATTTGAAACACTCTTTTTGTGCAATTGGCAAGTGGTGATTTCAGCCGCTTTGAGGTCAATGGTAGAAAAGGGAATATCTTCGTATAAAAACTAGACAGAATCATTCTCAGAAACTGCTCTGCGATGTGTGCGTTCAACTCTCACAGTTTAACTTTTCTTTTCATTCAGCAGTTTGGAAACACTCTGTTTGTAAAGTCTGCACGTGGATAATTTGACCACTTAGAGGCCTTCGTTGGAAACGGGTTATTTTCATGTAAGTCTAGACAGAAGAATTCCCAGTAACTTCCTTGTGTTGTGTGCATTCAACTCACAGAGCTGAACGTTCCCTTAGACAGAACAGATTTGAAACACTCTATTTGTGCAATTTGCAAGTGTAGATTTCAAGCGCTTTAAGGTCAACGGCAGAAAAGGAAATATCTTCGTTTCAAAACTAGACAGAATCATTCCCACAAACTGCGTTGTGATGTGTTCGTTCAACTCACAGAGTTTAACCTTTCTGTTCATAGAGCAGTTAGGAAACACTCTGTTTGTAAAGTCTGCAAGTGGATATTCTGACATCTTGTGGCCTTCGTTGGAAACGGGATTTCTTCCTATTCTGCTAGACAGAAGAATTCTCAGTAACTTCCTTGTGTTGTGAGTATTCAACTCACAGATTTGAACGATCCTTTACACAGAGCAGACTTGAAACACTCTTTTTGTGGAATTTGCAAGTGGAGATTTCAGCCTCTTTGAGGTCAATGGTAGAATAGGAAATATCTTCCTATAGAAACTAGACAGAATGATTCTCAGAAACTCCTTTGTGATGTGTGCGTTCAACTCAGAGAGTTTAACCTTTCTTTTCATAGAGCAGTTAGGAAACACTCCGTTTGTAAAGACTGCAAGTGGATATTCAGACCTCTTTGAGGCCTTCTTTGGAAACGGGATTTCTTCATATTATGCTAGACAGAAGAATTCTCAGTAACTTCCTTGTGTTGTGTGTATTCAACTGACAGAGTTGAACTTTCATTTAGAGAGAGCAGATTTGAAACACTGTTTTTGTGGAATTTGCAAGTGGAGATTTCAAGCGCTTTGGGGCCAAAGGCAGAAAAGGAAATATCTTCGTAGAAAAACTAGACAGAATCATTCTCAGAAACTGCTCTGCGATGTGTGCGTTCAACTCTCAGAGTTTAACTTTTCTTTTCATTCAGAAGTTTGGAAACACTCTGTTTGTAAAGTCTGCACGTGGATAACTTGACCACTTAGAGGCCTTCGTTGGAAACGGGTTTTTTTCATGTAAGGCTAGACAGAAGTATTCCCAGTAACTTCCTTGTGTTGTGTACATTCAACTCACAGAGTTGAACGTTCCCTTAGACAGAGCAGATTTGAAACACACTTTTTGTGCAATTGGCAAGTGGAGATTTCAAGCGCTTTAAGGTCAATGGCAGAAAAGGAAATATCTTCGTTTCAAAACTAGACAGAATCATTCCCACAAACTGCGTTGTGATGTGTTCGTTCAACTCACAGAGTTTAACCTTTCTTTTCATAGAGCAGTTAGGAAACAGTCTGTTTGTAAATTCTGTAAGTGGATATTCTGACATCATGTGGCCTTCATTGGAAACGGGATTTCTTCATATTCTGCTAGACAGAAGAATTCCCAGTAACTTCCTTGTGTTGTGTGTATTCAACTCACAGAGTTGACCGATCCTTTACACAGAGCAGACTTGTAACACTCTTTTTGTGGAATTTGCAAGTGGAGATTTCAGCCGCTTTGAAGTCAAAGGTAGAAAAGGGAATATCTTCCTATAAAAACTAGACAGAATGATTCTCAGAAACTCCTTTGTGATGTGTGTGTTCAACTCACAGAGTTTAACCTTTCTTTTCATAGAGCAGCTAGTAAACACTCTGTTTATAAAGTCTGCAAGTGGATATTCAGACCCCTTTGAGGCCTTCTTTGGAAACGGGATTTCTTCATATTCTGCTAGACAGAAGAATTCTCAGTAACTTCCTTGTGTTGTGTGTATTCAACTGACAGAGTTGAACTATCATTTAGAGAGAGCAGATTTGAAACACTGTTTTTGTGGAATTGGCAAGTGGAGATTTCAAGCGCTTTGGGGCCAAAGGCAGAAAAGGAAATATCTTCGTATAAAAACTAGACAGAATCATTCTCAGAAACTGCTCTGCGATGTGTGCGTTCAACTCTCAGAGTTTAACTTTTCTTTTCATTCAGCAGTTTGGAAACACTCTGGTTGTAAAGTCTGCACGTGGATAACTTGACCACTTAGAGGCCTTCGTTGGAAACGGGTTTTTTTACCTGTAAGGCTAGACAGAAGAATTCCCAGTAACTTCCTTGTGTTGTGTACATTCAACTCACAGAGTTGAACGTTCCCTTAGACAGAGCAGATTTGAAACACTCTTTTTTTGCAATTGGCAAATGGAGATTTCAAGCGCTTTAAGGTCAATGGCAGAAAAGGAAATATCTTCGTTTCAAAACTAGACAGAATGATTCTCAGAAACTCTTTTGTGATGTGTGCGTTCAACTCACACAGTTTAACCTTTCTTTTCATAGAGCAGTTAGGAAACACTGTTTGTAAAGTCTGCAAGTGGATATTCAGACCTCCTTGAGGCCTTCGTTGGAAACGGGATTTCTTCATATTATGCTAGACAGAAGAATTCTCAGTAACTTCCTTGTGTTGTGTGTATTCAACTCACAGAGTTGAACGATCCTTTACACAGAGCAGACTTGAAACACTCTTTTTGTGGAATTTGCATATGGAGACTTCAGCCGCTTTGAGGTCAATGGTAGAATAGGAAATATCTTCCTATAGAAACTAGACAGAATGATTCTCAGAAACTTCTTTGTGATGTGTGCGTTCAACTCACAGAGTTTAACCTTTCTTTTCATAGAGCAGTTAGGAAACACTCTGTTTGTAAACTCTGCAAGTGGATGTTCAGACCTCTTTGAGGCCTTGGTTGGAAACGGGATTTCTTCATACTATGCTAGACAGAAGAATTCTCAGTAACTTCCTTGTGTTGTTTGTATTCAACTGACAGAGTTGAACTTTCATTTAGAGAGAGCAGATTTGAAACACTGTTTTTGTGGAATTTGCAAGTGGAGATTTCAAGCGCTTTGGGGCCAAAGGCAGAAAAGGAAATATCTTCGTATAAAAACTAGACAGAATCATTCTCAGAAACTGCTGCGTGATGTGTGCGTTCAACTCTCAGAGTTTAACTTTTCTTTTCATTCAGCGGTTTGGAAACACTCTGTAAAGTCTGCACGTGGATATTTTGACCACTTAGATGCCTTCGTTGGAAACGGGTTTTTTTCATGTAAGGCTAGACAGAAGAATTCCCAGTAACTTCCTTGTGTTGTGTGCATTCAACTCACAGAGTTGAACGTTCCCTTAGACAGAGCAGATTTGAAACACTCTATTTGTGCAATTTGCAAGTGTAGATTTCAAGCGCTTTAAGGTCAATGGCAGAAAAGGAAATATCTTCGTTTCAAAACTACAGAGAATCATTCCCCCAAACTGCGTTGTGATGTGTTCGTTCAACTCACAGAGTTTAACCTTTCTTTTCATAGAGCAGTTAGGAAACAGTCTGTTTGTCAATTCTGTAAGTGGATATTCTGACATCTTGTGGCCTTCGTTGGAAACGGGATTTCTTCATATTCTGCTAGACAGAAGAATTCTCAGTAACTTCCTTGTGTTGTGTGTATTCAACTCACAGGGTTGAACGATCCTTTACACAGAGCAGACTTGTAACACTCTTTTTGTGGAATTTGCAAGTGGAGATTTCAGCCGCTTTGAAGTCAAAGGTAGAAAAGGAAATATCTTCCTATAAAAACTAGACAGAATGATTCTCAGAAACTTCTTTGTGATGTGTGCGTTCAACTCACAGAGTTTAACCTTTCTTTTCATAGAGCAGTTAGGAAACACTCTGTTTGTAAACTCTGCAAGTGGATATTGAGACCTCTTTGAGGCCTTCGTTGGAAACGGGATTTCTTCATACTGTGCTAGACAGAAGAATTCTCAGTAACTTCCTTGTGTTGTGTGTATTCAGCTGACAGAGTTGAACTATCATTTAGAGAGAGCAGATTTGAAACACTGTTTTTGTGGAATTGGCAAGTGGAGATTTCAAGCGCTTTGGGGCCAAAGGCAGAAAAGGAAATATCTTCGTATAAAAACTAGACAGAATGATTCTCAGAAACTGCTCTGCGATGTGTGCGTTCAACTCTCAGAGTTTAACTTTTCTTTTCATTCAGCAGTTTGGAAACACTCTGTTTGTAAAGTCTGCACGTGGATAATTTGACCACTTAGAGGCCTTCGTTGGAAACGGGTTTTTTTCATGTAAGGCTAGACAGAAGAATTCTCAGTAACTTCCTTGTGTTGTGTGTATTCAACTCACAGAGTTGAACGATCCTTTACACAAAGCAGACTTGTAACACTCTTTTTCTGGAATTTGCAAGTGGAGATTTCAGCCGCTTTGAAGTCAAAGGTAGAAAAGGAAATATCTTCCTATAAAAACTAGACAGAAATCATTCCCACAAACTGCGTTGTGATGTGTTCGTTCAACTCACAGTAGTTTAACCTTTCTGTTCATAGAGCAGTTAGGAAACACTCTGTTTGTAAAGTCTGTAAGTGGATATTCTGACATCTTGTGGCCTTCGTTGGAAACGGGATTTCTTCATATTCTGCTAGACAGAAGAATTCTCAGTAACTTTCCTTGTGTTGTGTGTATTCAACTCACAGAGTTGAACGATCCTTTACACAGAGCAGACTTGAAACATTCTTTTTGTGGAATTTGCAAGTGGAGATTTTAGCCGCTTTGAGGTCAATGGTAGAATAGGAAATATGTTCCTATAGAAACTAGACAGAATGATTCTCATAAACTCCTTTGTGATGTGTGCGTTCAACTCACAGAATTTAACCTTTCTTTTCATAGCGCAGTTAGGAAACACTCTGTTTGTAAAGTCTGCAAGTGGATATTCAGACATCTTTTAGGCCTTCGTTGGAAACGGGATTTCTTCATATTATGCTAGACAGAAGAATTCTCAGTAACTTCCTTGTGTTGTGTTTATTCAACTCACAGATTTGAATGATCCTTTACACAGAGCAGACTTGAAACACCCTTTTTGTGGAATTTGCAAGTGGAGATTTCAGCCGATTTGAAGTCAATGGTAGAAAAGTAAATATCTTCGTATAAAGACTAGACAGAATCATTCTCAGAAACTGCTGCGTGATGTGTGCGATCAACTCTCAGAGTTTAACTTTTCTTTTCATTCAGCGGTTTGGAAACACTCTGTTTGTAAAGTCTGCACGTGGAAATTTTGACCACTTAGAGACCTTCGTTGGAAACGGGATTTTTTCATGTAAGGCTAGACAGAAGAATTCCCAGTAACTTCCTTGTGTTGTGTACATTCAACTCACAGAGTTGAACGTTCCCTTAAACAGAGCAGATTTGAAACACTCTTTTTGTGCAATTGGCAAGTGGAGATTTCAAGCGCTTTGAGGTCAATGGCAGAAAAGGAAATATCTTCGTTTCAAAACTAGACAGAATGATTCTCAGAAAACTCCTTTGTGATGTGTGCGTTCAACTCACAGAATTTAACTTTTCTTTTCATAGAGCAGTTAGGAAACACTCTGTATGTAAAGTCTGCAAGTGGATATTCAGACCTCTTTTGAGGCCTTCGTTGGAAACGGGATTTCTTCATATTCTGCTAGACAGAATAATTCTCAGTAACTTCTTTGTGTTGTGTGTATTCAACTCACAGAGTTGAAGGATCCTTTACAGAGAGCAGGCTTGAAACACTCTTTTTGTCGAATTTGCAAGTGGAGATTTCAGCCGCTTTGAGGTCAATGGTAGAATAGGAAATATCTTCTTATAGAAACTAGACAGAATGATTCTCAGAAACTTCTTTGTGATGTGTGTGTTCAACTCACAGAGTTTAACCTTTCTTTTCATAGAGCAGTTAGGAAACACTCTGCTTGTAAAGTCTGCAAGTGGATATTCAGACCTCGTTGAGGCCTTCGTTGGAAACGGGATTTCTTCATATTCTGCTAGACAGAAGAATTCTCAGTAACTTCCTTGTGTTGTGTGTATTCAACTGACAGAGTTGAACTTTCATTTAGAGAGAGCAGATTTGAAACACTGTTTTTGTGGAATTTGCAAGTGGAGATTTCAAGCGCTTTGGGGCCAAAGGCAGAAAAGGAAATATCTTCGTATAACAACTAGACAGAATCATTCTCAGAAACTGCTGCGTGATGTGTGCGTTCAACTCTCAGCAGTTTAACTTTTCTTTTCATTCAGCGGTTTGGAAACACTCTGTTTGTAAAGTCTGCACGTGGATATTTTGACCACTTAGAGACCTTCGTTGGAAACGGGTTTTTTTCATGTAAGGCTAGACAGAAGAATTCCCAGTAACTTCCTTGTGTTGTGTGCATTCAACTCACAGAGTTGAACGTTCCCTTAGACAGAGCAGATTTGAAACACTCTATTTGTGCAATTTGCAAGTGTAGTTTTCAAGCTCTTTGAGGTCAACGGCAGAAAAGGAAATATCTTCGTTTCAAAACTAGACAGAATCATTCCCACAAACTGCGTTGTGATGTGTTCGTTCAACTCACAGAGTTTAACCTTTCTGTTCATAGAGCAGTTAGGAAACACTCTGTTTGTAAAGTCTGTAAGTGGATATTCTGACATCTTGTGGCCTTCGTTGGAAACGGGATTTCTTCATATTCTGCTAGACAGAAGAATTCTCAGTAACTTCCTTGTGTTGTGTGTATTCAACTCACAGAGTTGAACGTTCCTTTACACAGAGCGGACTTGAAACACTCTTTTTGTGGAATTTGCAAGTGGAGATTTCAGCCGCTTTGAGGTCAATGGTAGAAAAGGAAATATCTTCCTATAAAAACTAGACAGAATGATTCTCAGAAACTCCTTTGTGATGTGTGCGTTCAACACACAGAGTTAAACTTTTCTTTTCATAGAGCAGTTAGGAAACACTCTGTTTGTAAAGTCTGCAAGTGGATATTCAGACCTCTTTGAGGCCTTCGTTGGAAACGAGATTTCTTCATATTATGCTAGACAGAAGAATTCTCAGTAACTTTCTTGTGTTGTGTGTATTCAACTGTGAGAGTTGAACTTTCATTTAGAGAGACCAGATTTGAAACACTGTTTTTGTGGAATTTGCAAGTGGAGATTTCAAGCGCTTTGGGGCCAAAGGCAGAAAAGGAAATATCTTCGTATAAAAACTAGACAGAATCATTCTCAGAAACTGCTCTGCGATGTGTGCGTTCAACTCTCAGAGTTTAAATTTGCTTTTCATTCAGCAGTTCGGAAACACTCTGTTTGTAAAGTCTGCACGTGGATAATTTGACCACTTAGAGGCCTTCGTTGGAAACGGGTTTTTTTCATGTAAGGCTAGACAGAAGAATTCCCAGTAACTTCCTTGTGTTGTGTGCATTCAACTCACAGAGTTGAACGTTCCCTTAGAGCAGATTTGAAACACTCTATTTGTGCAATTTGCAAGTGTAGATTTCGAGCGCTTTAAGGTCAATGGCAGAAAAGGAAATATCTTCGTTTCAAAACTAGACAGAATCATTCCCACAAACTGCGTTGTGATGTGTTCGTTCAACTCACGGAGTTTAACCTTTCTGTTCATAGAGCAGTTAGGAAACACTCTGTTTGTAAAGTCTGCAAGTGGATATTCAGACCTCCTTGAGGCCTTCGTTGGAAACGGGATTTCTTCATATTCTGCTAGACAGAATAATTCTCAGTAACTTCCTTGTGTTGTGTGTATTCAACTCACAGACTTGAACAATCCTTTACACAGAGCCGACTTGAAACACTCTTTTTGTGGAATTTGCAAGTGGAGATTTCAGCCGCTTTGAGGTCAATGGTAGAAAAGGAAACATCTCCGTATAAAGACTAGACAGAATGATTCTCAGAAAATCCTTTGTGATGTGTGCGTTCAACTCACAGAGTTTAACTTTTCTTTTCATAGAGCAGTTAGGAAACACTCTGTTTGTAAAGTCTGCAAGTGGATATTCAGATCTCTTTGAGGCCTTCGTTGGAAACGGGATTTCTTCATATTCTGCTAGACAGAAGAATTCCCAGTAACTTCCTTGTGTTGTGTGTGTTCAACTCACAGAGATGAACTCTCATTTACACAGAGCAGAGTTGAAACACTCTTTTTGTGGAATTTGCAAGTGGAGATTTCAAGCGCTTTGAGGCCAAAGGCAGAAAAGGAAATATCTTCGTATAAAAACTAGACAGAATCATTCTCAGAAACTGCTCTGTGATGTGTGCGTTCAACTCTCAGAGTTTAACTTTTCTTTTCATTCAGCAGTTTGGAAACACTCTGTTTGTAAAGTCTGCACGTGGATATTTTGACCACTTAGAGGCCTTCGTTGGAAACGGGTTTTTTTCATGTAAGGGTAGACAGAAGAATTCCCAGTAACTTCCTTGTGTTGTGTGCATTCAACTCACAGAGTTGAACGTTCCCTTAGACAGAGCAGATTTGAAACACTCTATTTGTGCAATTTACAAGTGTAGATTTCAAGCGCTTTAAGGTCAACGGCAGAAAAGGAAATATCTTCGTTTCAAAACTAGACAGAATCATTCCCACAAACTGCGTTGTGATGTGTTCGTTCAACTCACAGAGTTTAACCTTTCTGTTCATAGAGCAGTTAGGAAACACTCTGTTTGTAAAGTCTGCAAGTGGATATTCAGACCTCCTAGAGGCCTTCGTTGGAAACGGGATTTCTTCATATTCTGCTAGACAGAAGAATTCTCAGTAACTTCATTGTGTTGTGTGTATTCAACTCACAGATTTCAACGATCCTTTACACAGAGCAGACTTGAAACACTCTTTTTGTGGAATTTGCAATTGGAGATTTCAGCCGCTTTGAGGTCAATGGTAGAATAGGAAATATCTTCCTATAGAAACTAGACAGAATGATTCTCATAAACTCCTTTGTGATGTGTGCGTTGAACTCACAGAGTTTAACCTTTCTTTTCATACAGCAGTTAGGAAACACTCTGTCTATAAAGTCTGCAAGTGGATATTCAGACCCCTTTGAGGCCTTCGTTGGAAACGGGATTTCTTCATATTATGCTAGACAGAAGAATTCTCACTAACTTCCTTGTGTTGTGTGTATTCAACTGACAGAGTTGAACTTTCATTTAGAGAGAGCAGATTTGAAACACTGTTTTTGTGGAATTTGCAAGTGGAGACTTCAAGCGCTTTGGGGCCAAAGGCAGAAAAGGAAATATCTTCGTATAAAAACTAGACAGAATCATTCTCAGAAACTGCTCTGCGATGTGTGCGTTCAACTCTCAGAGTTTAACTTTTCTTTTCATTCAGCAGTTTGGAAACACTCTGTTTGTAAAGTCTGCACGTGCATAATTTGACCACTTAGAGGCCTTCGTTGGAAACGGGTTTTTTTCATGTAAGGCTAGACAGAAGAATTCTCAGTAACTACCTTGTGTTGTGTGTATTCAACTCACAGAGTTGAACGATCCTTTACACAGAGCAGACTTGTAACACTCTTTTTGTGGAATTTGCAAGTGGAGATTTCAGCCGCTTTGAAGTCAAAGGTAGAAAAGGAAATATCTTCCTATAAAAACTAGACAGAATCATTCCCACAAACTGCTTTGTGATGTGTTCGTTCAACTCACAGAGTTTAACCTTTCTTTTCATAGAGCAGTTAGGAAACAGCTCTGTTTGTAAATTCTGTAAGTGGATATTCTGACATCTTGTGGCCTTCGTTGGAAACGGGATTTCTTCATATTCTGCTAGACAGAAGAATTCTCAGTAACTTCCTTGTGTTGTGTGTATTCAACTCACAGAGTTGAACGATCCTTTACACAGAGCAGACTTGAAACACTCTTTTTGTGGAATTTGCTAGTGGAGATTTCAGCCGCTTTGAGGTCAATAGTAGAAAAGGAAATATCTTCGTAGAAAAACTAGACAGAATGATTCTCAGAAACTTCATTGTGATGTGTGCGATCAACTCACAGAGTTTAACCTTTCTTTTCATAGAGCAGTTAGGAAACACTCTGTTTGTAAACTCTGCAAGTGGATATTCAGTCCTCTTTGAGGCCTTCGTTGGAAACGGGATTTCTTCATACTGTGCTAGACAGAGAATTCCCAGTAACTTCCTTGTGTTGTGTGTGTTCAACTCACAGAGTTGAACTTTCATTTACACAGAGCAGATTTGAAACACTCTTTTTGTGGAATTTGCAAGTGGAGATTTCAAGCGCTTTGAGGCCAAAGGCAGAAAAGGAAATATCTTCGTATAAAAACTAGACAGAATCATTCTCAGAAGCTGCTCTGCGATGTGTGCGTTCAACTCTCAGAGTTTAACTTTTCTTTTCATTCAGCAGTTTGGAAACACTCTGTTTGTAAAGTCTGCACGTGGATATTTTGACCACTTAGAGGCCTTCGTTGGAAACGGGTTTTTTTCCTGTAAGGCTAGACAGAAGAATTCCCAGTAACTTCCTTGTGTTGTGTACATTCAACTCACAGAGTTGAACGTTCCCTTAGACAGAGCAGATTTGAAACACTCTTTTTGTGCAATTGGCAAGTGGAGATTTCAAGCGCTTTGAGGTCAATGGCAGAAAAGGAAATATCTTCGTTTCAAAACTAGACAGAATCATTCCCACAAACTGCGTTGTGATGTGTTCGTTCAACTCACAGAGTTTAACCTTGCTTTTCATAGAGCAGTTAGGAAACAGTCTGTTTGTAAATTCTGTAAGTGGATATTCTGACATCTTGTGGCCTTCCTTGGAAACGGGATTTCTTCATATTCTGCTAGACAGAAGAATTGTCAGTAACTTCCTTGTGTTGTGTGTATTCAACTCACAGAGTTGAACGATCCTTTACAGAGAGCAGACTTGAAACACTCTTTTTGTGGAATTTGCAAGTGGAGATTTCAGCCGCTTTGAGGTCAATAGTAGAAAAGGAAATATCTTCGTAGAAAAACTAGACAGAATGATTCTCAGAAACTCCTTTGTGATGTGTGCGTTCAACTCACAGAGTTTAACCTTTCTTTTCATAGAGCAGTTAGGAAACACTCCGTTTGTAAAGTCTGCAAGTGGATATTCAGACCTCTTTGAGGCCTTCGTTGGAAACGGGTTTTTTCCATATAAGGCTAGACAGAAGAATTCTCAGTAACTTCCTTGTGTTGTGTGTATTCAACTGACAGAGTTGAACGTTCATTTAGAGAGAGCAGATTTGAAACACTGTTTTTGTGGAATTTGCAATTGGAGATTTCAAGCGCTTTGGGGCCAAAGGCAGAAAAGGAAATATCTTCGTATAAAAACTAGACAGAATCATTCTCAGAAACTGCTCTGTGATGTGTGCGTTCAACTCTCAGAGTTTAACTTTTCTTTTCATTCAGCACTTTGGAAACACTCTGTTTGTAAAGTCTGCACGTGGATATTTTGACCACTTAGAGGCCTTCGTTGGAAACGGGTTTTTTTCCTGTAAGGCTAGACAGAAGAATTCCCAGTAACTTCCTTGTGTTGTGTGCATTCAACTCACAGAGATGAACGTTCCCTTAGACAGAGCAGATTTGAAACACTCTATTTGTGCAATTTGCAAGTGTAGATTTCAAGCGCTTTAAGGTCAACGGCAGAAAAGGAAATATCTTCGTTTCAAAACTAGACAGAATGATTCTCAGAAACTCCTTTGTGATGTGTGCGTTCAACTCACAGACTTTAACCTTTCTTTTCATAGAGCAGTTAGGAAACACTCTGTTTGTAAAGTCTGCAAGTGGATATTCAGACATCCTTGAGGCTTTCGTTGGAAACGGGATTTCTTCATATTCTGCTAGAAAGATGAATTCTCAGTAACTTCCTTGTGTTGTGTGTATTCAACTCACAGAGTTGAACGATCCTTTACACAGAGCAGATTTGAAACACTGTTTTTCTGGAATTTGCAAGTGGAGATTTCAGCCGCTTTGAGGTCAATGGTAGAAAAGGAAATATCTACGTATAAAAACTAGACAGAATGATTCTCAGAAACTCCTTTGTGATGTGTGCGTTCAACTCACAGAGTTCAAACTTTCTTTTCATAGAGCAGTTGGGAAACACTCTGTTTGTAAAGTCTGCAAGTGGATATTCAGACTTCTTTGAGGCCTTCGTTGGAAGCGGGATTTCTTCATATTATGCTAGACAGAAGAATTCCCAGTAACTTCCTTGTGTTGTGTGTGTTCAACTCACAGAGTTGAACTTTCATTTACACAGAGCAGATTTGAAACACTCTTTTTGAGGAATTTGCAAATGGAGATTTCAAGCGCTTTGAGGCCAAAGGCAGAAAATGAAATATCGTCGTATAAAAACTAGACAGAATCATTCTCAGAAACTGCTCTGCGATGTGTGCGTTCAACTCTCAGAGTTTAACTTTTCTTTTCATTCAGCAGTTTGGAAACACTCTGTTTGTAAAGTGTGCACGTGGATATTTTGACCACTTAGAGGCCTTCGTTGGAAACGGGTTTTTTTCCTGTAAGGCTAGACAGAAGAATTCCCAGTAACTTCCTTGTGTTGTGTACATTCAACTCACAGAGTTGAACGTTCCCTTAGACAGAGCAGATTTGAAACACTCTTTTTGTGCAATTGGCAAGTGGAGATTTCAAGCGCTTTAAGGTCAATGGCAGAAAAGGAAATATCTTCGTTTCAAAACTAGGCAGAATCATTCCCACAAACTGCGTTGTGATGTGTTCGTTCAACTCACAGAGTTTAACCTTTCTGTTCATAGAGCAGTTAGGAAACACTCTGTAAAGTCTGTAAGTGGATATTCTGACATCTTGTGGCCTTCGTTGGAAACGGGATTTCTTCATATTCTGCTAGACAGAAGAATTCTCAGTAACTTCCTTGTGTTGTGTGTATTCAACTCACAGAGTTGAACTATCCTTTACACAGAGCAGACTTGTAACACTCTTTTTGTGGAATTTGCAAGTGGAGATTTCAGCCGCTTTGAAGTCAAAGGTAGAAAAGGAAATATCTTCCTATAAAAACTAGACAGAATGATTCTCAGAAACTCCTTTGTGATGTGTGCGTTCAACTCACAGAGTTTAACTTTTCTTTTCATAGAGCAGTTGGGAAACACTCTGTTTGTAAAGTCTGCAAGTGGATATTCAGACCTCTTTGAGGCCTTCGTTGGAAACGGGATTTTTTCATATTATGCTAGACAGAAGAATTCCGAGTAACTTCCTTGTGTTGTGTGTGTTCAACTCACAGAGTTGAACTTTCATTTACACAGAGCAGATTTGAAACACTCTTTTTGTGGAATTTGCAAGTGGAGATTTCAAGCGCTTTGAGGCCAAAGGCAGAAAAGGAAATATACTCCGTTTCAAAACTAGACAGAATCATTCTCAGAAACCGCTCTGTGATGTGTGCATTCAACTCTCAGAGTTTAACTTTTCTTTTCATTCAGCAGTTTGGAAACACTCTGTTTGTAAAGTCTGCACGTGGATATTTTGACCACTTAGACGCCTTCTTTTGAAACGGGTTTTTTTTCATGTAAGGCTAGACAGAAGCAATTCCCAGTAACTTCCTTGTGTTGTGTACATTCAACTCACAGAGTTGAACGTTACCTTAGACAGAGCAGATTTGAAACACTCTTTTTGTGCAATTGGCAAATGGAGATTTCAAGCGCTTTAAGGTCAATGGCAGAAAAGGAAATATCTTCGTTTCAAAACTAGACAGAATCATTCCCACAAACTGCGTTGTGATGTGTTCGTTCAACTCACAGAGTTTAACCTTTCTTTTCATAGAGCAGTTAGGAAACAGTCTGTTTGTCAATTCTGTAAGTGGATATTCTGACATCTTGTGGCCTTCTTTGGAAACGGGATTTCTTCATATTCTGCTAGACAGAAGAATTCTCAGTAACTTCCTTGTGTTGTGTGTATTCAACTCACAGCAATTTAACGATCCTTTACACAGAGCAGACTTGAAACACTCTTTTTGTGGAATTTGCAAGTGGAGATTTCAGCCGCTTTGTGGTCAATGATAGAAAAGGAAATATCTTCGTATAAAAACTAGACAGAATGATTCTCAGAAACTCCTTTGTGATGTGTGCGTTCAACTCACAGAGTTTAACCTTTCTTTTCATAGAGCAGTTAGGAAACACTCTGTTTGTAAAGTCTGCAAGTAGATATTCAGACATCTTTGAGGCTTTCGTTGGAAACGGGATTTCTTCATATTCTGCTAGACAGAAGAATTCCCAGTAACTTCCTTGTGTTGTGTGTGTTCAACTTCACAGAGTTGAACTTTCATTTACACAGAGCAGATTTGAAACACTCTTTTTGTGGAATTTGCAAGTGGAGATTTCAAGCGCTTTGAGGCCAAAGGCAGAAAAGGAAATATCTTCGTTTCAAAACTAGACAGAATCATTCTCAGAAACTGCTGCGTGATGTGTGCGTTCAACTCTCAGAGTTTAACTTTTCTTTTCATTCAGCGGTTTGGAAACACTGTGTTTGTAAAGTCTGCACGTGGATATTTTGACCACTTACAGGCCTTCGTTGGAAACGGGTTTTTTTCATGTAAGGCTAGACAGAAGAATTCCCAGTAACTTCCTTGTGTTGTGTACATTCAACTCACAGAGTTGAACGTTCCCTTAGACAGAGCAGATTTGAAACACTCTTTTTGTGCAATTGGCAAATGGAGATTTCAAGCGCTTTAAGTTCAATGGCAGAAAAGGAAATATCTTCGTTTCAAAACTAGACAGAATGATTCTCAGAAACTCCTTTGTGATGTGTGCGTTCAACTCACAGAGTTTAACCTTTCTTTTCATAGAGCAGTTAGGAAACACTCTGTTTGTGAAGTCTGCAAGTGGATATTCAGACCTCCTTGAGGCCTTCGTTGGAAACGGGATTTCTTCATATTCTGCTAGACAGAAGAATTCTCAGTAACTTCCTTGTGTTGTGTGTATTCAACTCACAGAGTTGAACGATCCTTTACACAGAGCAGACTTGAAACACTCTTTTTGTGGAATTTGCAAGTGGAGATTTCAGCCGCTGTGAGTTCAATGGTAGAATAGGAAATATCTTCCTATAGAAAGTAGACAGAATGATTCTCAGAAACTCCTTTGTGATGTGTGCGTTCAACTCACAGAGTTTAACCTTTCTTTTCATAGAGCAGTTAGGAAACACTCTGTTTGTAAAGTCTGCAAGTGGATATTCTGACCTCCTTGAGGCGTTCGTTGGAAAAGGGATTTCTTCATATTCTGCTAGACAGAATCATACTCAGAAACTGCTCTGCGATGTGTGCGTTCAACTCTCAGAGTTTAACTTTTCTTTTCATTCAGCAGTTTGGAAACACTCTGTTTGTGAAGTCTGCACGTGGATATTTTGACCACTTAGTGGCCTTCGTTGGAAACGGTTTTTTTTCCTGTAAGGCTAGACAGAAGAATTCCCAGTAACTTCCTTGTGTTGTGTACATTCAACTCACAGAGTTGAACGTTCCCTTAGACAGAGCAGATTTGAAACACTCTTTTTGTGCAATTGGCAAGTGGTGATTTCAGCCGCTTTGAGGTCAATGATAGAAAAGGAAATATCTTCGTATAATAACTAGACAGAATGATTCTCAGAAACTTCATTGTGATGTGTGCGTTCAACTCACAGAGTTTAACCTTTCTTTTCATAGAGCAGTTAGGAAACACTCTGTCTGTAAAGTCTGCAAGTGGATATTCAGACCTCTTTGAGGCCTTCGTTGGAAACGGGTTTTTTTCATATAAGGCTAGACAGAAGAATTCTCAGTAACTTCCTTGTTTTGTGTGAATTCACCTCACAGATTTGAACGATCCTTTACACAGAGCAGACTTGAAACACTCTTTTTGTGGAATTTGGAAGTGGAGATTTCAGCCGCTTTGTGGTCAATAGTAGAATAGGAAATATCTTCCTATAGAAACTAGACAGAATGATTCTCAGAAACTCCTTTGTGATGTGTGCGTTCAACTCACAGAGTTTAACCTTTCTTTTCATAGAGCAGTTAGGAAACACTCTGTTTTTAAAGTCTGCAAGTGTATATTCAGACATCCTTGAGGCTTTCGTTGCAAACGGGATTTCTTCATATTCTGCTAGAAAGAAGAATTCTCAGAAACTTCCCTGTGTTGTGTGAATTCAACTCACAGAGTTGAACGATCCTTTACACAGAGCAGACTTGAAACACTCTTTTTGTGGAATTTGCAAGTAGAGATTTCAGCCGCTTTGAGGTCAATGGTAGAATAGGGAATATCTTCCTATAGAAACTAGACAGAATGATTCTCAGAATCTCCTTTGTGATGTGTGCGTTCAACTCACAGAGTTTAACCTTTCTTTTCATAGAGCAGTTGGGAAACACTCTGTTTGTAAAGTCTGCAAGTGGATATTCAGACATCCTTGAGGCTTTCGTTGGAAACGGGATTTCTTCATATTCTGCTAGAAAGAAGAATTTTCAGAAACTTCCTTGTGTTGTGTGTATTCAACTCACAGAGTTGAACGATCATTTACACAGAGCAGACTTGAGACACTCTTTTTGTGGAATTTGTAAGTGGAGATTTCAGCCGCTTTGAGGTCAATGGTAGAAAAGGAAATATCTTCGTATAAAAACTAGACAGAATGATTCTCAGAAACTCCTTTGTGATGTGTGCGTTCAACTCACAGAGTTTAACCTTTCTTTTCATAGAGCAGTTAGGAAACACTCTGTTTGCAAAGTCTGCAAGTGGATATTCAGACCTCTTTGAGGCCTTCGTTGGAAACGGTTTTTTTTCATATAAGGCTAGACAGAAGAATTCTCAGTAACTTCCTTGTGTTGTGTGTATTCAACTGACAGATTTGAACTTTCATTTAGAGAGAGCAGATTTGAAACACTGTTTTTGTGGAATTTGCAAGTGGAGATTTCAAGCGCTTTGGGGCCAAAGGCAGAAAAGGAAATATCTTCGTATAAAAACTAGACAGAATCATTCTCAGAAACTGCTCTGCGATGTGTGCGTTCAACTCTCAGAGTTTAACTTTTCTTTTCATTCAGCAGTTTGGAAACACTCTGTTTGCAAAGTCTGCACGTGGATATTTTGACCACTTAGAGGCCTTCGTTGGAAACGGGTTTTTTTCATGTAAGGCTAGACAGAAGAATTCCCAGTAACTTCCTTGTGTTGTGTACATTCAACTCACAGAGTTGAACGTTCCCTTAGACAGGAGCAGATTTGAAACACTCTTTTTGTGCAATTGGCAAGTGGTGATTTCAGCCGCTTTGAGGTCAATGGTAGAAAAGGAAATATCTTCGTATAAAAACTAGACAGAATGATTCTGAGAAACTCCTTTGTGATGTGTGCGTTCAACTCACAGAGTTCAACCTTTCTTTTCATAGAGCAGTTGGGAAACACTCTGTTTGTAAATTCTGCAAATGCATATTCAGACTTCTTTGAGGCCTTCGTTGGAAGCGGGATTTCTTCATATTCTGCTAGACAGAAGAATTCTCAGAAACTTCGATGTGTTGTGTGTTTTCAAATCACAGAGTTCAACGATCCTTTACACAGAGTAGACTTGAAACACTCTTTTTGTGGAATTGGCAGGGTGGAGATTTCAGCCGCTTTGAGGTCAATGGTAGAAAAGGAAATATCTTCGTATAAAAACTAGACAGAATGATTCTCAGAAACTTCTTTGTGATGTGTGCGTTCAACTCACAGAGTTTAACCTTTCTTTTCATAGAGCAGTTAGGAAACACTCTGTTTGTAAAGTCTGCAAGTGGATATTCAGACCTCTTTGAGGCCTTCGTTGGAAACGGGTTTTTTTCATATAAGGCTAGACAGAAGAATTCCCAGTAACTTCCTTGTGTTGTGTGTGTTCAACTCACAGCAGTTGAACTTTCATTTACACAGAGCAGATTTGAAACACTCTTTTTGTGGAATTTGCAAGTGGAGATTTCAAGCGCTTTGAGGCCAAAGGCAGAAAAGGAAATATCTTCGTATAAAAACTAGACAGAATCATTCTCAGAAACTGCTCTGCGATGTGTGCGTTCAACTCTCAGAGTTTAAGTTTTCTTTTCATTCAGCAGTTTGGAAACACTCTGTTTGTAAAGTCTGCACGTGGATATTTTGACCACTTAGAGGCCTTCGTTGGAAACGGGTTTCTTTCCTGTAAGGCTAGACAGAAGAATTCCCAGTAACTTCCTTGTGTTGTGTGCATTCAACTCACAGAGTTGAACGTTCCCTTAGACAGAGCAGATTTGAAACAGCCTATTTGTGCAATTTGCAAGTGTAGATTTCAAGCGCTTTAAGGTCAACGGCTGAAAAGGAAATATCTTCGTTTCAAAACTAGACAGAAATCATTCCCACAAACTGCGTTGTGATGTGTTCGTTCAACTCACAGAGTTTAACCTTTCTGTTCATAGAGCAGTTAGGAAACACTCTGTTTGTAAAGTCTGCAAGTGGATATTCAGACCTCCTTGAGGCCTTCGTTGGAAACGGGATTTCTTCATATTCTGCTAGACAGAATAATTCTCAGTAACTTCCTTGTGTTGTGTGTATTCAACTCACAGAGTTGAAGGATCCTTTACAGAGAGCTGGCTTGCAACACTCTTTTTGTCGAATTTGCAAGTGGAGATTTCAGCCGCTTTGAGGTCAATGGTAGAATAGGAAATATCTTCTTATAGAAACTAGACAGAATGATTCTCAGAAACTCCTTTGTGATGTGTGTGTTCAACTCACAGAGTTTAACCTTTCTTTTCCTAGAGCAGTTAGTAAACACTCTGTTTATAAAGTCTGCAAGTGGATATTCAGACCCCTTTGAGGCCTTCGTTGGAAACGGGATTTCTTCATATTATTCTAGACAGAAGAATTCTCAGTAACTTCCTTGTGTTGTGTGTATTCAACTCACAGAGTTGAACTTTCATTTAGAGAGAGCAGATTTGAAACACTGTTTTTGTGGAATTTGCAAGTGGTGACTTCAAGCGCTTTGGGGCCAAACGCAGAAAAGGAAATATCTTCGTATAAAAACTAGACAGAAATCATTCTCATAAACTGCTGCGTGATGTGTGCGTTCAACTCTCAGAGTTTAACTTTTCTTTTCATTCAGCGGTTTGGAAACACTCTGTTTGTAAAGTTTGCACGTGGATATTTTGACCACTTAGAGGCCTTCGTTGGAAACGGGTTTTTTTCATGTAAGGCTAGACAGAAGAATTCCCAGGAACTTCCTTGTGTTGTGTACATTCAACTCACAGAGTTGAACGTTCCCTTAGACAGAGCAGATTTGAAACACTCTTTTTGTGCAATTGGCAAATGGAGATTTCAAGCGCTTTAAGGTCAATGGCAGAAAAGGAAATATCTTCGTTTCAAAACTATACAGAATCATTCCCACAAACTGCGTTGTGATGTGTGCGTTCAACTCAAAGAGTTTAACCTTTCTTTTCATAGAGCAGTTAGGAAACACTCTGTTTGTAAAGTCTGCAAGTGGATATTCAGACCTCCTTGAAGCCTTCGTTGGAAACGGGATTTCTTCATATTCTGCTAGACAGAAGAATTCTCAGAAACTTCCTTCTGTTGTGTGTATTCAACTCACAGAGTTGAACGATCGTTTACACAGAGCAGACTTGAGACACTCTTTTTGTGGAATTTGTAAGTGGAGATTTCAGCCGCTTTGAGGTCAATGGTAGAAAAGGAAATATCTTCATATAAAAACTAGACAGAATGATTCTCAGAAACTCCTTTGTGATGTGTGCGTTCAACTCACAGAGTTCAACCTTTCTTTTCATAGAGCAGTTGGGAAACACTCTGTTTGTAAAGTCTGCAAGTGGATATTCAGACTTCTTTGAGGCCTTCGTTGGAAGCGGGATTTCTTCATGTTCAGCTAGACAGAAGAATTCTCAGAAACTTCCTTGTGTTGTGTGTATTCAACTCACAGAGTTGAACGATCCTTTACACAGAGCAGACTTGAAACACTCCTTTTGTGGAATTTGCAAGTGGAGATTTCAGCCGCTTTGAGGTCAATGGTAGAATAGGAAATATCTTCCTATAGAAACTAGACAGAATCATTCTCAGAAACTGCTCTGCGATGTGTGCGTTCAACTCTCAGTGTTTAACTTTTCTTTTCATTCAGCAGTTTGGAAACACTCTGTTTGTAAAGTCTGCACGTGGATAACTTGACCACTTAGAGGCCTTTGTTGGAAACGGGTTTTTTTCATGTAAGGCTAGACAGAAGAATTCTCAGTAACTTCCTTGTGTTGTGTGTATTCAACTCACAGAGTTGAACGATCCTTTACACAGAGCAGACTTTTAACACTCTTTTTGTGGAATTTGCAAGTGGAGATTTCAGCCACTTTGAAGTCAAAGGTAGAAAAGGAAATAACTTCCTATAAAAACTAGACAGAATGATTCTCAGAAACTCCTTTGTGATGTGTGCGTTCAACTCACAGAGTTTCACCTTTCTTTTCATAGAGCAGATAGGAAACACTCTGTTTGTAAAGTCTGCAAGTGGATATTCAGACATCCTTGAGGCTTTCGTTGGAAACGGGATTTCTTCATATTCTGCTAGAAAGAAGAATTCTCAGTAACTTCCTTGTGTTGTGTGTATTCAACTCACAGAGTTGAACGATCCTTTACACTCAGCAGACTTGAAACACTCTTTTTGTGGAATTTGCAAGTGGAGATTTCAGCCGCTTTGAGGTCAATGGTAGAATAGGAAATATCTTCCTATAGAAACTAGACAGAATGATTCTCAGAAACTCCTTTGTGATGTGTGTGTTCAACTCACAGAGTTTAACCTTTCTTTTCATAGAGCAGTTAGGAAACACTCTGTTTGTAAAGTCTGCAAGTGGATATTCAGACCTCTTTGAGGCCTTCGTTGGAAACGCGTTTTTTTCATATAAGGCTAGACAGAAGAATTCCCAGTAACTTCCTTGTGTTGTGTGTGTTCAAGTCACAGAGTTGAACTTTCCTTTACACAGAGAAGATTTGAAACACTCTTTTTGTGGAATTTGCAAGTGGAGATTTCAAGCGCTTTGAGGCCAAAGGCAGAAAAGGAAATATCTTCGTTTCAAAACTAGACAGAATCATTCTCAGAAACTGCTGCGTGATGTGTGCGTTCAACTCTCAGAGTTTAACTTTTCTTTTCATTCAGCGGTTTGGAAACACTCTGTTTGTAAAGTCTGCACGTGGACACTTTGACCACTTAGAGGCCTTCTTTGGAAACGGGTTTTTTTTATTTAAGGCTAGACAGAAGAATTCCCAGTAACTTCCTTGTGTTGTGTGCATTCAACTCACAGAGTTGAACGTTCCCTTAGACAGAGCAGATTTGAAACACTCTATTTGTGCAATTTGCAAGTGTAGATTTCAAGCGCTTTAAGGTCAATGGCAGAAAAGGAAATATTTTCGTTTCAAAACTAGACAGAATCATTCTCAGAAACTCCTTTGTGATGTGTGCGTTTAACTCACAGAGTTTAACCTTTCTTTTCATAGAGCAGTTAGGAAACACTCTGTTTGTAAAGTCTGCAAGTGGATATTCAGACCTCTTTGAGGCCTTCGTTGGAAACGGGATTTCTTCATATTCTGCTAGACAGAAGAATTCTTAGTAACTTCCTTGGGTTGTGTGTATTCAACTCACAGAGTGGAACGATCCTTTACACAGAGCAGACTTGAAACACTCTTTTTGTGGAATTTGCAAGTGGAGATTTCAGCCGCTTTGAGGTCAATGGTAGAAAAGGAAATATCTTCGTATAAAAACTAGACAGATAATGATTCTCAGAAAGTCCTTTGTGATGTGTGTGTTCAAATCACAGAGTTTAACCTTTCTTTTCATAGAGCAGTTAGTAAACACTCTGTTTATAAAGTCTGCAAGTGGATAATCAGACCCCTTTGAGGCCTTCGTTGGAAACGGGATTTCCTCATATTATGCTAGACAGAAGAATTCCCAGTAACTTCCTTGTGTTGTGTGTGTTCAACTCACAGAGTTGAACTTTCATTTACACAGAGCAGATTGGAAACACTCTTTTTGTGGAATTTGCAAGTGGAGATTTCAAGCGCTTTGAGGCCAAAGGCAGAAAAGGAAATATCTTCATATAAAAACTAGACAGAATCATTCTCAGAAACTGCTCTGCGATGTGTGCGATCAACTCTCAGAGTTTAACTTTTCTTTTCATTCAGCAGTTTGGAAACACTCTGTTTGTAAAGTCTGCACGTGGATATTTTGACCACTTAGAGGCCTTCGTTGGAAACGGGTTTCTTTCCTGTAAGGCTAGACAGAAGAATTCACAGTAAGTTCCTTGTGTTGTGTGCATTCACCTCACAGGGTTGAAGGTTCCTTTAGACAGAGCAGATTGGAAACACTCTTTTTGTGCAATTTGCAAGTGGAGATTTCAAGCGCTTTAAGGTCAATGGCAGAAAAGGAAATATCTTCGTTTCAAAACTAGACAGAATCATTCCCACAAACTGCGTTGTGATGTGTGAGTTCAAGTCAAAGAGTTTAACCTTTCTTTTCATAGAGCAGTTAGGAAACACTCTGTTTGTAAAGTCTGCAAGTGGATATTCAGACCTCCTTGAGGCCTTCGTTGGAAACGGGATTTCTTCATATTCTGCTAGACAGAAGAATTCTCAGTAACTTCCTTGTGTTGTGTGTATTCAACTCACAGAGTTGAACGATCCTTTACACAGAGCAGACTTGAAACACTCTTTTTGTGGAGTTTGCAAGTGGAGATTTCAGCCGCTTTGAGGTCAATAGTAGAAAAGGAAATATCTTCGTAGAAAAACTAGACAGAATGATTCTCAGAAACTCCTTAGTGATGTGTGTGTCCAACTCACAGGGTTTAACCTTTCTTTTCATAGAGCAGTTAGCAAACACTCTGTTTGTAAAGTCTGCAAGAGGATATTCAGACCTCTTTGAGGCCTTCGTTGGAAACGGGTTTTTTTCATATAAGGCTAGACAGAAGAATTCCCAGTAACTTCCTTGTGTTGTGTGTGTTCAACTCACACAGTTGAACTTTCATTTACAGAGAGCAGATTTGAAACACTCTTTTTGTGGAATTTGCAAATGGAGATTTCAAGCGCTTTGAGGCCAAAGGCAGAAAAGGAAATATCTTCGTATAAAAACTAGACAGAATCATTCTCAGAAACTGCTGCGTGATGTGTGCGTTCAACTCTCAGAGTTTAACTTTTCTTTTCATTCAGCGGTTTGGAAACACACTGTTTGTAAAGTCTGCACGTGGATATTTTGACCACTTAGAGGCCTTCGTTGGAAACGGGATTTTTTCATGTAAGGCTAGACAGAAGAATTCCCAGTAATTTCCTTGTGTTGTGTGCATTCAGCTCACAGAGTTGAACGTTCCCTTAGACAGAGCAGATTTGAAACACTCTATTTGTGCAATTTGCAAGTGTAGATTTCAAGCGCTTTAAGGTCAATGGCAGAAAAGGAAATATCTTCGTTTCAAAACTAGACAGAATCATTCCCACAAACTGCGTTGTGATGTGTTCGTTCAACTCACAGAGTTTAACCTTTCTGTTCATAGAGCAGTTAGGAAACACTCTGTTTGTAAAGTCTGCAAGTGGATATTCAGACCTCTTTGAGGCCTTCGTTGGAAACGGGATTTCTTCATATGATGCTAGACAGAAGAATTCTCAGTAACTTCCTTGTGTTGTGTGTATTCAACTTACAGAGTTGACCGATCCTTTACACAGAGCAGACTTGTAACACTCTTTTTGTGGAATTTGCAAGTGGAGATTTCAGCCGCTTTGAAGTCAAAGGTAGAAAAGGAAATATCTTCCTATAAAAACTAGACAGAATGATTCTCAGAAACTCCTTTGTGATGTGTGTGTTCAACTCACAGAGTTTAACCTTTCTTTTCATAGAGCAGTTAGGAAACACTCTGTTTCTAAAGTCTGCAAGTGGATATTCAGACCTCTTTGAGGTCTTCGTTGGAAACGGGTTTTTTTCATATAAGGCTAGACAGAAGAATTCCCAGTAACTTCCTTGTGTTGTGTGTGTTCAACTCACAGTGTTGAACTTTCATTTACACAGAGCAGATTTGAAACACTCTTTTTGTGGAATTTGCAAGTGGAGATTTCAAGCGCTGTGAGGCCAAAGGCAGAAAAGGAAATATCTTCGTATAAAAACTAGACAGAATCATTCTCAGAAACTGCTCTGCGATGTGTGCGTTCAACTCTCAGAGTTTAACTTTGCTTTTCATTCAGCAGTTTGGAAACACTCTGTTTCTAAAGTCTGCACGTGGATAATTTGACCACTTAGAGGCCTTCGTTGGAAACGGGTTTTTTTCCTGTAAGGCTAGACAGAAGAATTCCCAGTAACTTCCTTGTGTTGTGTGCATTCAACTCACAGAGTTGAACGTTCCCTTAGACAGAGCAGATTTGAAACACTCTATTTGTGCAATTTGCAAGTGTATATTTCAAGCGCTTTAAGGTCAAAGGCAGAAAAGGAAATATCTTCGTTTCAAAACTAGACAGAATCATTCCCACAAACTGCGTTGTGATGTGTTCGTTCAACTCACAGAGTTTAACCTTTCTGTTCATAGAGCAGTTAGGAAACACTCTGTTTGTAAAGTATGCAAGTGGATATTCAGACCTCCTTGAGGCCTTCATTGGAAACGGGATTTCTTCATATTCTGCTAGACTGAAGAATTCTCAGTAACTTCCTTGTGTTGTGTGTATTCAACTCACAGAGTTGAACGATCCTTTACACAGAGCAGACTTGAAACACTCTTTTTGTGGAATTTGCAAGTGGAGATTTCAGCCGCTTTGAGGTCAATAGTAGAAAAAGAAATATCTTCGTAGAAAAACTAGACAGAATGATTCTCAGAAACTCCTTTGTGATGTGTGCGTTCAACTCACAGAGTTTAACCTTTCTGTTCATAGAGCAGTTAGGAAACACTCTGTTTGTAAAGTCTGCAAGTGGATATTCAGACCTCCTTGAGGCCTTCGTTGGAAACGGTATTTCTTCATATTCTGCTAGACAGAAGAATTCTCAGTCACTTCCTTGTGTTGTGTGTATTCAACTGACAGAGTTGAACTTTCATTTAGAGAGAGCAGATTTGAATCACTGTTTTTGTGGAATTTGCAAGTGGAGATTTCAAGCGCTTTGGGGCCAAAGGCAGAAAAGGATATATCTTCGTATAAAAACTGGACAGAATCATTCTCAGAAACTGCTCTGCGATGTGTGCGTTCAACTCTCAGAGTTTAACTTTTCTTTTCATTCAGCAGTTTGGAAACACTCTGTTTGTAAAGTCTGCACGTGGATAACTTGACCACTTAGAGGCCTTCGTTGGAAACGGGTTTTTTTCATGTAAGGCTATACAGAAGAATTCCCAGTAACTTCCTTGTGTTGTGTACATTCAACTCACAGAGTTGAACGTTCCCTTAGACAGAGCAGATTTGAAACACTCTTTTTGTGCAATTGGCAAATGGAGATTTCAAGCGCTTTAAGTTCAAAGGCAGAAAAGGAAATATCTTCGTTTCAAAACTAGACAGAATCATTCCCACAAACTGCGTTGTGATGTGTTCGTTCAACTCACAGAGTTTAACCTTTCTGTTCATAGAGCAGTTAGGAAACACTCTGTTTGTAAAGTCTGTAAGTGGATATTCAGACATCTTGTGGCCTTCGTTGGAAACGGGATTTCTTCATATTCTGCTAGACAGAAGAATTCTCAGTAACTTCCTTGTGTTGTGTGTATTCATCTTACAGAGTTGAACGATCCTTTACACAGAGCAGACTTGTAAAACTCTTTTTGTGGAATTTGCAAGTGGAGATTTCAGCCGCTTTGAAGTCAAAGGTAGAAAAGGAAATATCTTCCTATAAAAACTAGACAGAACGATTCTCAGAAACTCCTTTGTGATGTGTGCGTTCAACTCACAGAGTTTAACCTTTCTTTTCATAGAGCAGTTAGGAAACAGTCTGTTTGTAAAGTCTGCAAGTGGATATTCAGACCCCTTTGAGGCCTTCGTTGGAAACGGGATTTCTTCCTATTCTGCTAGACAGAAGAATTCCCAGTAACTTCCTTGTGTTGTGTGTGTTCAACTCACAGAGTTGAACTTTCATTTACACAGAGCAGATTTGAAACACTCTTTTTGTGGAATTTGCAAATGGAGATTTCAAGCGCTTTGCGGCCAAAGGCAGAAAAGGAAATATCTTCGTATAAAAACTAGACAGAATCATTCTCAGAAACTGCTCTGCGATGTGTGCGTTCAACTCTCAGAGTTTAACTTTTCTTTTCATTCAGCAGTTTGGAAACACTCGGTTTGTAAAGTCTGCACGTGGATATTTTGACCACTTAGAGGCCTTCGTTGGAAACGGGTTTTTTTCCTGTAAGGCTAGACAGAAGAATTCTCAGTAACTTCCTTGTGTTGTGTGTATTCAACTCACAGAGTTGAACGATCCTTTACACAGAGCAGACTTGTAACACTCTTTTTGTGGAATTTGAAAGTGGAGATTTCAGCCGCTTTGAAGTCAAAGGTAGAAAAGGAAATATCTTCCTATAAAAACTAGACAGAATGATTCTCAGAAACTCCTTTGTGATGTGTGCGTTCAACTCACAGAGTTTAACTTTTCTTTTCATAGAGCAGTTAGGAAACACTCAGTTTGTAAAGTCTGCAAGTGGATATTCAGACCTCCTTGAGGCCTTCGTTGGAAAAGGGATTTCCTCATATTATGCTAGACAGAAGAATTCTCAGTAACTTCCTTGTGTTGTGTGTATTCAACTCACAGAGTTGAACGATCCTTACAGAGAGCAGACTTGAAACACTCTTTTTGTGGAATTTGCAAGTGGAGATTTCATCCGCTTTGAGGTCAATGGTAGAATAGGAAATATCTTCCTATAGAAACTAGACAGAATGATTCTCAGAAACTCCTTTGTGATGTGTGTGTTCAACTCACAGAGTTTAACCTTTCTTTTCATAGAGCAGTTAGGAAACACTCTGTTTGTAAAGTCTGCAAGTGGATATTCAGACCTCTTTGAGGCCTTCGTTGGAAACGGGTTTTTTTCATATAAGGCTACACAGAAGAATTCCCAGTAACTTCCTTGTGTTGTGTGTGTTCAACTCACAGAGTTGAACTTTCATTTACACAGAGCAGATTTGAAACACTCTTTTTGTGGAATTTGCAAGTGGAGATTTCAAGCGCTTTGAGGCCAAAGGCAGAAAAGGAAATATCTTCGTATAAAAATTAGACAGAATCATTCTCAGAAACTGCTCTGCGATGTGTGCGTTCAACTCTCAGAGTTTAACTTTTCTTTTCATTCAGCAGTTTGGAAACACTCTGGTTGTAAAGTCTGCACGTGGATAACTTGACCACTTAGAGGCCTTCGTTGGAAACGGGTTTTTTTCCTGTAAGGCTAGACAGAAGAATTCCCAGGAACTTCCTTGTGTTGTGTACATTCAACTCACAGAGTTGAACGTTCCCTTAGACAGAGCAGATTTGAAACACTCTTTTTGTACAATTGGCAAGTGGTGATTTCAGCCGCTTTGAGGTCAATGGTAGAAAAGGAAATATCTTCGTATAAAAACTAGACAGAATGATTCTCAGAAACTTCATTGTGACGTGTGCGTTCAACTCACAGAGTTTAACCTTTCTTTTCATAGAGCAGTTAGGAAACACCCTGTTTGTAAAGTCTGCAAGTGGATATTCAGACCTCTTTGAGGCCTTCGTTGGAAACGGGATTTCTTCATACTGTGCTAGACAGAAGAATTCTCAGTAACTTCCTTGTGTTGTGTGTATTCAACTCACAGAGTTGAACGATCCTTTACACAGAGCAGATTACAAACACTCTTTTTGTGGAATTTGCAAGTGGAGATTTCAGCCGCTTTGAGGTCAATAGTAGAAAAGGAAATATCTTCGTATAAAAACTAGACAGAATGATTCTCAGAAACGGCTTTGTGATGTGTGTGTTCAACTCACAGAGTTTAACCTTCCTTTTCATAGAGCAGTTAGTAAACACTCTGTTTATAAAGTCTGCAAGTGGATATTCAGACCCCTTTGAGGCCTTCGTTGGAAACGGGATTTCTTCATATTATGCTAGACAGAAGAATTCCCAGTAACTTCCTTGTGTTGTGTGTGTTCAACCCACAGAGTTGAACTTTCATTTACACAGAGCAGATTTGAAACACTCTTTTTGTGGAATTTGCAAGTGGAGATGTCAAGCGCTTTGAGGCCAAAGGCAGAAAAGGAAATATCTTCGTTTCAAAACTAGACAGAATCATTCTCAGAAACTGCTCTGCGATGTGTGCGTTCAACTCTCAGAGTTTAACTTTTCTTTTCATTCAGCAGTTTGGAAACATTCTGTTTGTAAAGTCTGCACGTGGATATTTTGACCACTTAGAGGCCTTCGTTGGAAACGGGTTTTTTTCCTGTAAGGCTAGACAGAAGAATTCCCAGTAACTTCCTTGTGTTGTGTACATTCAACTCACAGAGTTGAACGTTCCCTTAGACAGAGCAGATTTGAAACACTCTTTTTGTGCAATTGGCAAGTGGAGATTTCAAGCGCTTTAAGGTCAATGGCAGAAAAGGAAATATCTTCGTTTGAAAACTAGACAGAATCATTCCCACAAACTGCGTTGTGATGTGTTCGTTCAACTCACAGAGTTTAACCTTTCTTTTCATAGAGCAGTTAGGAAACAGTCTGTTTGTCAATTCTGTAAGTGGATATTCTGACATCTTGTGGCATTCGTTGGAAACGGGATTTCTTCATATTACTGCTAGACAGAAGAATTCTCAGTAACTTCCTTGTGTTGTGTGTATTCAACTCACAGAGTTGAACGATCCTTTACACAGAGCAGACTTGAAACACTCTTTTTGTGGTATTTGCAAGTGGAGATTTCAGCCGCTTTGAGGTCAATGGTAGAATAGGAAATATCTTCCTATAGAAACTAGACAGAATGATTCTCAGAAACTCCTTTGTGATGTGTGTGTTCAACTCACAGAGTTCAACCTTTCTTTTAATAGAGCAGTTGGGAAACACTCTGTTTGTAAAGTCTGCAAGTGGATATTCAGACTTCTTTGAGGCCTTCGTTGGAAACGGGATTTCTTCATATTATGCTAGACAGAAGAATTCTCAGTAACTTCCTTGTGTTGTGTGTATTCAACTGACAGAGTTGAACTTTCATTTAGAGAGAGCAGATTTGAAACACTGTTTTTGTGGAATTTGCAAGTGGAGATTTCAAGCGCTTTGGGGCCAAAAGCAGAAAAGGAAATATCTTCGTATAAAAACTAGACAGAATCATTCTCAGAAACTGCTCTGCGATGTGTGCGTTCAACTCTCAGAGTTTAACTTTTCTTTTCATTCAGCAGTTTGGAAACACTCTGTTTGTAAAGTCTGCACGTGGATATTTTGACAACTTAGAGGCCTTCGTTGGAAACGGGTTTTTTTCCTGTAAGGCTAGACAGAAGAATTCCCAGTAAATTCCTTGTGTTGTGTGCATTCAACTCACAGAGTTGAACGTTCCCTTAGACAGAGCAGATTTGAAACACTCTATTTGTGCAATTTGCAAGTGTAGATTTCAAGCGCTTTAAGGTCAATGGCAGAAAAGGAAATATCTTCGATTCAAAACTAGACAGAATCATTCCCTCAAACTGCGTTGTGATGTGTTCGTTCAACTCACAGAGTTTAACCTTTCTTTTCATAGAGCAGTTAGGAAACAGTCTGTTTGTAAATTCTGTAAGTGGATATTCTGACATCTTGTGGCCTTCGTTGGAAACGGGATTTCTTCATATTCTGCTAGACAGAAGAATTCTCAGTAACTTCCTTGTGTTGTGTGTATTCAACTCACAGACTTGAACGATCCTTTACACAGAGCAGACTTGTAACACTCTTTTTGTGGAATTTGCAAGTGGAGATTTCAGCCGCTTTGAAGTCAAAGGTAGAAAAGGAAATATCTTCCTATAAAAACTAGACAGAATGATTCTCAGAAACTCCTTTGTGATGTGTGCGTTCAACTCACAGAGTTTATCTTTTCTTTTCATAGAGCAGTTAGGAAACACTCTGTTTGTAAAGTCTGCAAGTGGATATTCAGACCTCTTTGAGGCCTTCGTTGGAAACGGGATTTCTTCATATTCTGCTAGACAGAAGAATTCCCAGTAACTTCCTTGTGTTGTGTGTGTTCAACTCACAGAGTTGAACTCTCATTTACACAGAGCAGATTTGAAACACTCTTTTTGTGGAATTTGCAAGTGGAGATTTCAAGCGCTTTGAGGCCAAAGGCAGAAAAGGAAATATCTTCGTATAAAAACTAGACAGAATCATTCTCAGAAACCGCTCTGTGATGTGTGCGTTCAACTCTCAGAGTTTAACTTTTCTTTTCATTCAGCAGTTTGGAAACACTCTGTTTGTAAAGTCTCCACGTGGATATTTTGACCACTTAGAAGCCTTCGTTGGAAACGTGTTTTTTTTTCATGTAAGGCTAGACAGAAGAATTCCCAGGAACTTCCTTGCGTTGTGTACATTCAACTCACAGAGTTGAACGTTCCCTTAGACAGAGCAGATTTGAAACACTCTTTTTGTGCAATTGGCAAGTGGAGATTTCAAGCGCTTTAAGGTCAATTGCAGAAAAGGAAATATCTTCGTTTCAAAACTAGACAGAATGATTCTCAGAAACTTCTTTGTGATGTGTGCGTTCAACTCACAGAGTTTAACCTTTCTTTTCATAGAGCAGTTAGGAAACACTCTGTTTGTAAACTCTGCAAGTGGATATTCAGACGTCTTTGAGGCCTTCGTTGGAAACGGGATTTCTTCATACTGTGCTAGACAGAAGAATTCTCAGTAACTTCATTGTGTTGTGTGTATTCAACTCACAGATTTCAACGATCCTTTACACAGAGCAGACTTGAAACACTCTTTTTCTGGAATTTGCAATTGGAGATTTCAGCCGCTTTGAGGTCAATGGTAGAATAGGAAATATCTTCCTATAGAAACTAGACAGAATGATTCTCAGAAACTCCTTTGTGATGTGTGTGTTCAACTCACAGATTTTAACCTTTCTTTTCATAGAGCAGTTAGTAAACACTCTGTTTATAAAGTCTGCAAGTGGATATTCAGACCCCTTTGAGGCCTTCGTTGGAAACGGGATTTCTTCATATTCTGCTAGACAGAAGAATTCTCAGTAACTTCCTTGTGTTGTGTGTAGTCAACTCACAGAGTTGAACGATCCTTTACAGAGAGCAGACTTGAAACACTCTTTTTGTGGAATTTGCAAGTGGAGATTTCAGCCGCTTTGAGGTCAATGGAAGAAAAGGAAACTATCTTCGTATAAAGACTAGACAGAATCATTCTCAGAAACTGCTCTGCGATGTGTGCGTTCAACTCTCAGAGTTTAACCTTTCTTTTCATTCAGCAGTTGGGAAACACTCTGTTTGTAAAGTCTGCACGTGGATAACTTGACCACTTAGAGGCCTTCGTTGGAAACGGGTTTTTTTCATGTAAGGCTAGACAGAAGAATTCTCAGTAACTTCCTTGTGTTGTGTGTATTCAACTCACAGAGTTGAACGATCCTTTACACAGAGCAGACTTGTAACACTCTTTTTGTGGAATTTGCAAGTGGAGATTTCAGCCGCTTTGAAGTCAAAGTTAGAAAAGGAAATAACTTCCTATAAAAACTAGACAGAATCATTCCCACAAACTGCGTTGTGATGTGTTCGTTCAACTCACAGAGTTTAACCTTTCTTTTCATAGAGCAGTTAGGAAACAGTCTGTTTGTCAATTCTGTAAGTGGATATTCTGACATCTTGTGGCCTTCGTTGGAAACGGGATTTCTTCATATTCTGCTAGACGGAAGAATTCTCAGAATCTTTCCTTGTGTTGTGTGTATTCAACTCACAGAATTGAACGATCCTTTACACAGAGCAGACTTGAAACACTCTTTTTGTGGAATTTGCAAGTGGAGATTTCAGCCGCTTTGAGGTCCATGGTAGAAAAGGAAATATCTTCGTATAAAAACTAGACAGAATGATTCTCAGAAACTCCTTTGTGATGTGTGCGTTCAACTCACAGTTTAACCTTTCTTTTCATAGAGCAGTTAGGAAACACTCTGTTTGTAAAGTCTGCAAGTGGATATTCAGACATCTTTGAGGCTTTCGTTGGAAACGGAATTTCTTCATATTCTGCTAGACAGAAGAATTCTCAGTAACTTCCTTGTGTTGTGTGTATTCAACTGACAGAGTTGAACTTTCATTTAGAGAGAGCAGATTTGAAACACTGTTTTTGTGGAATTTGGAAGTGGAGATTTCAAACGCTTTGGGGCCAAAGGCAGAAAAGAAAATATATTCGTATAAAAACTAGACGGAATCATTCTCAGAAACTGCTGCGTGATGTGTGCGTTCAACTCTCAGAGTTTAACTTTTCTTTTCATTCAGCGGTTTGGAAACACTCTGTTTGTAAAGTCTGCACGTGGATATTTTGACCACTTAGAGGCCTTCGTTGGAACCGGGTTTTTTGCATGTAAGGCTAGACAGAAGAATTCCCAGGAACTTCCTTGTGTTGTGTACATTCAACTCACAGAGTTGAACGTTCCCTTAGACAGAGTAGATTTGAAACACTCTTTTTGTGCAATTGGCAAGTGGTGATTTCAGCCGCTTTGAGGTCAATGGTAGAAAAGGAAATATCTTCGTATAAAAACTAGACAGAATCATTCCCACAAACTGCGCTGTGATGTGTTCGTTCATCTCACAGAGTTTAACCTTTCTTTTCATAGAGCAGTTAGGAAACACTCTGTTTGTAAATTCTGTAAGTGGATATTCTGACATCTTGTGGCCTTCGTTGGAAACGGGATTTCTTCATATTCTGCTAGACAGAAGAATTCTCAGAAACTTCCTTGTGTTGTGTGTTTTCAACTCACAGAGTTGAACCGATCCTTTACACAGAGCAGACTTGAAACACTCCTTTTGTGGAATTTGCAAGTGGAGATTTCAGCCGCTTTGAGGTCAATGGTAGAATAGGAAATATCTTCCTATAGAAAGTAGACAGAATGATTCTCAGAAACTCCTTTGTGATGAGTGCGTTCAACTCACAGAGTTTAACCTTTCTTTTCATAGAGCAGTTAGGAAACACTCTGTTTTTAAAGTCTGCACGTGGATATTTTGACCTCTTTGAGGCCTTCCTTGGAAACGGGATTTTTTCATATAAGGCTAGACAGAAGAATTCTCAGTAACTTCCTTGTGTTGTGTGTATTCAACTGACAGAGTTGAACTTTCATTTAGACCGAGCAGATTTGAAACACTATTTATGTGGAATTGGCAATTGGAGATTTCAAGCTCTTTGAGGCCAAAGGCAGAAAAGGAAATATCTTCGTTTCAAAACTAGACAGAATCATTCTCAGAAACTGCTCTGCGATGTGTGCGTTGAACTCTCAGAGTTTAACTTTTCTTTTCATTCAGCAGTTTGGAAACACTCTGTTTGTAAAGTCTGCACGTGGATATTTTGACCACTTAGAGGCCTTCGTTGGAAACGGGTTTTTTTCCTGTAAGGCTAGACAGAAGAATTCCCAGTAACTTCCTTGTGTTGTGTGCATTCAACTCACAGAGTTGAACGTTCCCTTAGACAGAGCAGATTTGAAACACTCTATTTGTGCAATTTGCAAGTGTAGATTTCAAGCGCTTTATGGTCAACGGCAGAAAAGGAAATATCTTCGTTTCAAAACTAGACAGAATCATTCCCACAAACTGCGTTGTGATGTGTTCGTTCAACTCACAGAGTTTAACCTTTCTGTTCATAGAACAGTTAGGAAACACTCTGTAAAGTCTGTAAGTGGATATTCTGACATCTTGTGGCCTTCGTTGGAAACGGGATTTCTTCATATTCTGCTAGACAGAAGAATTCTCAGTAACTTCCTTGGGTTGTGTGTATTCAACTCACCGAGTTGAAGGATCCTTTACAGAGAGCAGGCTTGAAACACTCTTTTTGTCGAATTTGCAAGTGGAGATTTCAGCCGCTTTGAGGTCAATGGTAGAATAGGAAATATCTTCATATAAAGACTAGACAGAATGATTCTCAGAAACTCCTTTGTGATGTGTGCGTTCAACTCACAGAGTTTAACTTTTCTTTTCATAGAGCAGTTAGGAAACACTCTGTTTGTAAAGTCTGCAAGTGGATATTCCGACCTCTTTGAGGCCTTCGTTGGAAACGGGATTTCTTCATATTATGCTGGACAGAAGAATTCTCAGTAACTTCCTTGTGTTGTGTGTATTCAACTGACAGAGTTGAACTTTCATTTAGAGAGAGCACATTTGAAACACTGTTTTTGTGGAATTTGCAAGTGGAGATTTCAAGCGCTTTGGGGCCAAAGGCAGAAAAGGAAATATCTTCGTATAAAAACTAGACAGAATCATTCTCAGAAACTGCTGCGTGATGTGTGCGTTCAACTCTCAGAGTTTAACTTTTCTTTTCATTCAGCGGTTTGGAAACACTGTGTTTGTAAAGTCTGCACGTGGATATTTTGACCACTTAGAGGCCTTCGTTGGAAACGGGTTTTTTTCATGTAAGGCTAGACAGAAGAATTCCCAGTAACTTCCTTGTGTTGTGTGCATTCCACTCACAGAGTTGAACGTTCCCTTAGACAGAGCAGATTTGAAACACTCTATTTGTGCAATTTGCAAGTGTAGATTTCAAGCGCTTTAAGGTCAATGGCAGAAAAGGAAATATCTTCGTTTCAAAACTAGACAGAATCATTCCCACAAACTGCGTTGTGATGTGTTCGTTCAAGTCACAGAGTTTAACCTTTCTTTTCATAGAGCAGTTAGGAAACAGTCTGTTTGTCAATTCTGTAAGTGGATATTCTGACATCTTGTGGCCTTCGTTGGAAACGGGATTTCTTCATATTCTGCTAGACAGAAGAATTCTCAGTAACTTCCTTGTGTTGTGTGAATTCAACTCACAGAGTTGAACGATCCTTTACACAGAGCAGACTTGAAACACTGTTTTTGTGGAATTTGCCAGTGGAGATTTCAGCCGCTTTGAGGTCAATGGTAGAATAGGAAATATCTTCCTATAGAAACTAGACAGAATGATTCTCAGAAACTCCTTTGTGATGTGTGCGTTCAACTCACAGAGTTTAACCTTTTTTTTCATAGAGCAGTTAGGAAACACTCTGTTTGTAAAGTCTGCAAGTGGATATTCAGACCTCTTTGAGGCCTTCGTTGGAAACGGGTTTTTTACATATAAGGCTAAACAGAAGAATTCCCAGTAACTTCCTTGTGTTGTGTGTGTTCAACTCACAGAGTTGAACTTTCATTTACCCAGAGCAGATTTGAAACACTCTTTTTGTGGAATTTGCAAGTGGAGATTTCAAGCGCTTTGAGGCTAAAGGCAGAAAAGGAAATATCTTCGTTTCAAAACTAGACAGAATCATTCTCAGAAACTGCTCTGCGATGTGTGCGTTCAACTCTCAGAGTTTAACTTTTCTTTTCATTCAGCAGTTTGGAAACACTCTGTTTGTAAAGTCTGCACGTGGATATTTTGATAGAGGCTTTCGTTGGAAACGGGTTTTTTTCTTGTAAGGCTAGAAAGAAGAATTCCCAGTAACTTCCTTGTGTTGTGTGCATTCAACTCACAGAGTTGAACGTTCCCTTAGACAGAGCAGATTTGAAACACTCTATTTGTCCAATTTGCAAGTGTAGATTTCAAGCGCTTTAAGGTCAACGGCAGAAAAGGAAATATCTTCGTTTCAAAACTAGACAGAATGATTCTCAGAAACTCCTTTGTGATGTGTGCGTTCAACTCACAGAGTTTAACCTTTCTTTTCATAGAGCAGTTAGGAAACACTCTGTTTGTAAAGTCTGCAAGTGGATATTCACACCTCCTTGAGGCCTTCGTTGGAAACGGGATTTCTTCACATTCTGCTAGACAGAAGAATTCTCAGTAACTTCCTTGTGTTGTGTGTATTCAACTCACTGAGTTGAACGATCCTTTACACAGAGCAGACTTGAAACACTCTTTTTGTGGAATTTGCAAGTGGAGATTTCAGCCGCTTTGAGGTCAATGGTAGAAAAGGAAACTATTTTCGTATAAAGACTAGACAGAATGATTCTCAGAAACTCCTTTGTGATGTGTGCGTTCAACTCACAGAGTTTAACCTTTCTTTTCATAGAGCAGTTAGGAAACACTCTGTTTGTAAAGTCTGCACGTGGATATTTGGACTTCTTTGAGGCCTTCGTTGGAAACGGGGTATTTTCATGTAAGGCTAGACAGAAGAATTCCCAGTAACTTCCTTGTGTTTTGTGTGTTCAACTCACAGAGTTGAACTTTCATTTACACAGAGCAGATTTGAAACACTCTTTTTGTGGAATTTGCAAATGGAGATTTCAAGCGCTTTGAGGCCAAAGGCAGAAAAGGAAATATCTTCGTATAAAAACTAGACAGAATCATTCCCAGAAACTGCTCTGCGATGTGTGCGTTCAACTCTCAGAGTTTAACTTTTCTTTTCATTCAGCAGTTTGGAAACACTCTGTTTGTAAAGTCTGCACGTGGATATTTTGACCATTTAGAGGCCTTCGTTGGAAACGGGTTTTTTTCTTGTAAGGCTAGACAGAAGAATTCCCAGTAACTTCCTTGTGTTGTGTACATTCAACTCACAGAGTTGAACGTTCCCTTAGACAGAGCAGATTTGAAACACTCTTTTTGTGCAATTGGCAAGTGGAGATTTCAAGCGCTTTGAGGTCAATGGCAGAAAAGGAAATATCTTCGTTTCAAAACTAGACAGAATCATTCCCACAAACTGCGTTGTGATGTGTTCGTTCAACTCACAGAGTTTAACCTTTCTGTTCATAGAGCAGTTAGGAAACACTCTGTTTGTAAAGTCTGTAAGTGGATATTCTGACATCTTGTGGCCTTCGTTGGAAACGGGATTTCTTCATATTCTGCTAGAGAGAAGAATACTCAGTAACATCCGCGTGTTGTGTGTATTCAACTCAGAGAGTTGAACGATCCTTTACACAGAGCAGACTTGAAACACTCTTTTTGTGGAATTTGCAAGTGGAGATTTCAGCCGCTTTGAAGTCAATGGTAGAAAAGGAAATATCTTCCTATAAAAACTAGACAGAATGATTCTCAGAAACTTCATTGTGATGTGTGCGTTCAACTCACAGAGTTTAACCTTTCTTTTCATAGAACAGTTAGGAAACACTCTGTTTGTAAACTCTGCAAGTGGATATTCAGACCTCTTTGAGGCCTTCGTTGGAAACGGGTTTTTTCATGTAAGGCTAGACAGAAGAATTCTCAGTAACTTCCTTGTGTTGTGTGTATTCAACTCACAGAGTTGAATGATCCTTTACACAGAACAGTCTTGAAACACTCTTTTTGTGGAATTTGCAAGTGGAGATTTCAGCCGCTTTGAGGTCAATGGTGGAATAGGAAATATCTTCCTATAGAAATTAGACAGAATGATTCTCAGAAACTCCTTTGTGATGTGTGTGTTCAACTCACAGAGTTTAACCTTTCTTTTCATAGAGCAGTTAGGAAACACTCTGTTTGTAAAGTCTGCAAGTGGATATTCAGACCTCTTTGAGGCCTTCGTTGGAAACGGGATTTCTTCATATTATGCTAGACAGAAGAATTCCCAGTAACTTCCTTGTGTTGTGTGTGTTCAACTCACAGAGTTGAACTTTCATTTACACAGAGCAGATTTGAAACACTCTTTTTGTGGAATTTGCAAGTGGAGATTTCAAGCGCTTTGAGGCCAAAGGCAGAAAAGGAAATATCTTCGTATAAAAACTGGACAGAATCATTCTCAGAAACTGCTGCGTGATGTGTGCGTTCAACTCTCAGAGTTTAACTTTTCTTTTCATTCAGCGGTTTGGAAACACTCTGTTTGTAAAGTCTGCACGTGGAAATTTTGACCACTTAGAGGCCTTCGTTGGAAACGGGTTTTTTTCATATAAGGCTAGACAGAAGAATTCCCAGTAACTTCCTTGTGTTGTGTGCATTCAACTCACAGAGTTGAACGTTCCCTTAGACAGAGCAGATTTGAAACACTCTATTTGTCCAATTTGCAAGTGTAGATTTCAAGCGCTTTAAGGTCAACGGCAGAAAAGGAAATATCTTCGTTTCAAAACTAGACAGAATGATTCTCAGAAAATCTTTTGTGATGTGTGCGTTCAACTCACAGAGTTTAACTTTTCTTCTCATAGAGCAGTTAGGAAACACTCTGTTTGTAAAGTCTGCAAGTGGATATGCATACCTCTTTGAGGCCTTCGTTGGAAACGGGATTTCTTCATATTCTGCTAGACAGAAGAATTCTCAGTAACTTCCTTGTGTTGTGTGTATTCAACTCACAGAGTTGAAGGATCCTTTACAGAGAGCAGGCTTGAAACACTCTTTTTGTCGAATTTGCAAATGGAGATTTCAGCCGCTTTGAGGTCAATGGTAGAAGAGGAAATATCTTCTTATAGAAACTAGACAGAATGATTCTCAGAAACTTCTTTGTGATGTGTGCGTTCAACTCACAGAGTTTAACCTTTCTTTTCATAGAGCAGTTAGGAAACACTGTGTTTTTAAACTGTGCAAGTGGATATTGAGACCTCTTTGAGGCCTTCTTTGGAAACGGGATTTCTTCATACTGTGCTAGACAGAAGAATTCCCAGTAACTTCCATGTGTTGTGTGTGTTCAACTCACAGAGTTGAACTTTCATTTACACAGAGCAGATTTGAAACACTCTTTTTGTGGAATTTGCAAATGGAGATTTCAAGCGCTTTGAGGCCAAAGGCAGAAAGGGAAATATCTTCGTCTAAAAACTAGACAGAATCATTCTCAGAAACTGCTCTGCGATGTGTGCGTTCAACTCTCAGAGTTTAACTTATCTTTTCATTCAGCAGTTTGGAAACACTCTGTTTGTAAAGTCTGCACGTGGATAATTTGACCACTTAGAGGTCTTCGTTGGAAACGGGTTTTTATCATGTAAGGCTAGACAGAAGAATTCTCAGTAACTTCCTTGTGTTGTGTGTATTCAACTGACAGAGTTGAACTTTCATTTAGACAGAGCAGATTTGAAAAACTCTTTATGTGGAATTTGCAAGTGGAGATTTCAAGCGCTTTGAGGCCAAAGACAGAAAAGGAAATATCTTCGTATAAAAACTAGACAGAATCATTCCCTCAAACTGCGTTGTGATGTGTTCGATCAACTCACGGAGTTTAACCTTTCTTTTCATAGAGCAGTTAGGAAACACTCTGTTTGTAAACTCTGCAAGTGGATATTCAGACCTCTTTGAGGACTTCGTTGGAAACGGGATTTCTTCATATTATGCTAGACAGAAGAATTCTCAGTAACTTCTTTGTGTTGTGTGTATTCAACTCACAGAGTTTACCGATCCTTTACACAGAGCTGACCTGAAACACTCTTTTTGTCGAATTTGCAAGTGGAGATTTCAGCCGCTTTGAGGTCAATGGTAGAATAGGAAATATCTTCCTATGGAAATTCGACAGAATGATTCTCAGAAAATCTTTTGTGATGTGTGCGTTCAACTCACAGAGTTTAACTTTTCTTCTCATAGAGCAGTTAGGAAACACTCTGTTTGTAAAGTCTGCAAGTGGATATTCAGACCTCTTTGAAGCCTTCGTTGGAAACGGGATTTCTTCATATTATGCTAGACAGAAGAATTCTCAGTAACTTCCTTGTGTTGTGTGTATTCAACTGACAGAGTTGAACTTTCATTTAGAGAGAGCAGATTTGAAACACTCTTTTTGTGGAATTTGCAAGTGGAGATTTCAAGCGCTTTGAGGCCAAAGGCAGAAAAGGAAATATCTTCGTATAAAAACTAGACAGAATCATTCTCAGAAACTGCTGCGTGATGTGTGCGTTCAACTCTCAGAGTTTAACTTTTCTTTTCATTCAGCGGTTTGGAAACACTCTGTTTGTAAAGTCTGCACGTGGAAATTTTGACCACTTAGAGGCCTTCGTTGGAAACGGGATTTTTTCATGTAAGGCTAGACAGAAGAATTCCCAGTAACTTCCTTGTGTTGTGTGCATTCAACTCACAGAGTTGAACGTTCCCTTAGACAGAGCAGATTTGAAACACTCTATTTGTGCAATTTGCAAGTGTAGTTTTCAAGCTCTTTAAGGTCAACGGCAGAAAAGGAAATATCTTGGTTTCAAAACTAGACAGAATCATTCCCACAAACTGCGTTGTGATGTGTTCGTTCAACTCAGAGAGTTTAACCTTTCTGTTCATAGAGCAGTTAGGAAACACTCTGTTTGTAAAGTCTGTAAGTGGATATTCTGACATCTTGTGGCCTTCGTTGGAAACGGGATTTCTTCATATTCTGCTAGACAGAAGAATTCTCAGTAACTTCCTTGTGTTGTGTGTATTCAACTCACAGAGTTGAACGATCCTTTACACAGAGCAGACTTGAAACACTCTTTTTGTGGAATTTGCAAGTGGAGATTTCAGCCTCTTTGTGGTCAATGGTAGAAAAGGAAATATCTTCGTATAAAGACTAGACAGAATGATTCCCAGAAACTCCTTTGTGATGTGTGCGTTCAACTCACAGAGTTTAACCTTTCTTTTCATAGAGCAGTTAGGAAACACTCTGTTTGTAAAGTCTGCAAGGGGATATTCAGACCTCTTTGAGGCCTTCGTTGGAAACGGGATTTCTTCGTATTCTGCTAGATAGAAGAATTCTCAGTAACTTCCTTGTGTTGTGTGTATTCAACTGACAGAGTTGAACTTTCATTTAGAGAGAGCAGATTTGAAACTCTGTTTTTGTGGAATTTGCAAGTGGAGATTTCAAGCGCTTTGAGGCCAAAGGCAGAAAAGGAAATATCTTCGTATAAAAACTAGACAGAATCATTCTCAGAAACTGCTCTGCGATGTGTGCGTTCAACTCTCAGAGTTTAACTTTTCTTTTCATTCAGCAGTTTGGAAACACTCTGTTTGTAAACTCTGCACGTGGATATTTTGACCACATAGAGGCCTTCGTTGGAAACGGGTTTCTTTCCTGTAAGGCTAGACAGAAGTATTCCCAGTAACTTCCTTGTGTTGTGTACATTCAACTCACAGAGTTGAACGTTCCCTTAGACAGAGCAGATTTGAAACACTCTTTTTGTGCAATTGGCAAGTGGAGATTTCAAGCGCTTTAAGGTCAATGGCAGAAAAGGAAATATCTTCGTTTCAAAACTAGACAGAATCATTCCCACAAACTGCGTTGTGATGTGTTCGTTCAACTCACAGAGTTTAACCTTTCTTTTCATAGAGCAGTTAGGAAACAGTCTGTTTGTAAATTCTGTAAGTGGATATTCTGACATCTTGTGGCCTTCGTTGTAAACGGGATTTCTTCATATTCTGCTAGACAGAAGAATTCTCAGAAACTTCCTTGTGCTGTGGGTTTTCAACTCACAGAGTTGAACGATCCTTTACACAGAGCAGACTTGAAACACTCCTTTTGTGGAATTTGCAAGTGGAGATTTCAGCCGCTTTGAGGTCAATGGTAGAATAGGAAATATCTTCCTATAGAAAGTAGACAGAATGATTCTCAGAAACTCCTTTGTGATGTGTGCGTTCAACTCACAGAGTTTAACCTTTCTTTTCATAGAGCAGTTAGGAAACACTCTGTTTGTAAATTCTGCAAGTGGATATTCAGACCTCTTTGAGACCTTCCTTGGAAACGGGTTTTTTTCATATAAGGCTAGACAGAAGAATTCCCAGTAACTTCCTTGTGTTGTGTGTGTTCAACTCACAGAGCTGAACTTTCATTTACACAGAGCAGATTTGAAACACTCTTTTTGTGGAATTTGCAAGTGGAGATTTCAAGCGCTTTAAGGCCAAAGGCAGAAAAGGAAATATCTTCGTTTCAAAACTAGACAGAATCATTCTCGGAAACTGCTCTGTGATGTGTGCGTTCAACTCTCAGAGTTTAACTTTTCTTTTCATTCAGCAGTTTGGAAACACTCTGTTTGTAAAGTCTGCACGTGGATATTTTGACCACTTAAAGGCCTTCGTTGGAAACGTGTTTTTTTCCTGTAAGGCTAGACAGAAGAATTCCCAGTAACTTCCTTGTGTTGTGTACATTCAACTCACAGAGTTGAACGTTCCCTTAGACAGAGCAGATTTGAAACACTCTTTTTGTGCAATTGGCAAGTGGAGATTTCAAGCGCTTTGAGGTCAATGGCAGAAAAGGAAATATCTTCGTTTCAAAACTAGACAGAATCATTCCCACAAACTGCGTTGTGATGTGTTCGTTCAACTCACAGAGTTTAACCTTTCTTTTCATAGAGCAGGTAGGAAACACTCTGTTGGTAAATTCTGTAAGTGGATATTCTGACATCTTGTGGCCTTCGTTGGAAACGGGATTTCTACATATTCTGCCAGACAGAAGAATTCTCAGAAACTTACTTGTGTTGTGTGTTTTCAACTCTCAGAGTTGAACGATCCTTTACACAGAGCAGACTTGAAACACTCCTTTTGTGGAATTTGCAAGTGGAGATTTCAGCCGCTTTGAGGTCAAAGGTAGAATAGGAAATATCTTCCTATAGAAAGTAGACAGAATGATTCTCAGAAACTCCTTTGTGATGTGTGCGTTCAACTCACAGAGTTTAACCTTTCTTTTCACAGAGCAGTTAGGAAACACTCTGCTTGTAAAGTCTGCAAGTGGATATTCAGCCCTCTTTGAGGCCTTCGTTGGAAACGGGTTTTTTTCATATAAGGCTAGACAGAAGAATTCTCAGAATCTTCCTTGTGTTGTGTGTATTCAACTCACAGAGTTGAACGATCCTTTTCACAGAGCAGACTTGAAACACTCTTTTTGTGGAATTTGCAAGTGGAGATTTCAGCCGCGTTGAGGTCAATGGTAGAAAAGGAAATATGTTCGTATAAAAACTAGACAGAATGATTCTCATAAACTCCTTTGTGAAGTGTGCGTTCAAATCACAGAGTTTAACTTTTCTTTTCATAGAGCAGTTAGGAAACACTCTGTTTGTAAAGTCTGCAAGTGGATATTCAGACCTCTTTGAAGCCTTCGTTGGAAACGGGATTTCTTCATATTATGCTAGACAGAAGAATTCTCAGTAACTTCCTTGTGTTGTGTGTATTCAACTCACAGAGTTGAACGATCCTTTACACAGAGCAGCCTTGAAACATTCTTTTTGTGGAATTTGCAAGTGGAGATTTCAGCCGCTTTGAGGTCAATGGTAGAATAGGAAATATCTTCCTATAGAAACTAGACAGAATGATTCTCAGAAACTCCTTTGTGATGTGTGCGTTCTACTCACAGAGTTTAACCTTTCTTTTCATAGAGCAGTTAGGAAACACTCTGTTTGTAAAGTCTGCAAGTGGATATACAGACCTCCTTGAGGCCTTCGTTGGAAACGGGATTTCTTCATATTATGCTAGACAGAAGAATTCCCAGTAACTTCCTTGTGTTGTGTGTGTTCAACTCACAGAGTTGAACTTTCATTTACACAGAGCACATTTGAAACACTCTTTTTGTGGAATTTGCAAGTGGAGATTTCAAGCGCTTTGAGGCCAAAGGCAGAAAAGGAAATATCTTCGTTTCAAAACTAGACAGAATCATTCTCAGAAACTGCTCTGCGATGTGTGCGTTCAACTCTCAGAGTTTAACTTTTGTTTTCATTCAGCAGTTTGGAAACACTCTGTTTGTAAAGTCTGCACGTGGATAATTTGACCACTTAGAGGCCTTCGTTGGAAACGGGTTTTTTCCATGTAAGGCTAGACACAAGAATTCCCAGTAACTTCCCTTGTGTTGTGTACATTCAACTCACAGAGTTGAACGTTCCCTTAGACAGAGCAGATTTGAAACACTCTTTTTGTGCAATTGGCAAATGGAGATTTCAAGCGCTTTAAGGTCAATGGCAGAAAAGGAAATATCTTCGTTTCAAAACTAGACAGAATCATTCCCACAAACTGCGTTGTGATGTGTTCGTTCAACTCACAGCAGTTTAACCTTTCTATTCATAGAGCAGTTAGGAAACACTCTGTTTGTAAAGTCTGTAAGTGGATATTCTGACATCTTGTGGCCTTCGTTGGAAACGGGATTTCTTCCTATTCTGCTAGACAGAAGAATTCTCAGTAACTTCCTTGTGTTGTGTGCATTCAACTCACAGAGTTGAACGATCCTTTACACAGAGCAGACTTGAAACACTCTTTTTGTGGAATTTGCAAGTGGAGATTTCAGCCGCTTTGAGGTCAATGGTAGAAAACGAAATATCTTCGTATAGAAACTAGACAGAATGATTCTCAGAAACTCCTTTGTGATGTGTGTGTTCAACTCACAGAGTTTAACCTTTCTTTTCATAGAGCAGTTAGGAAACACTCTGTTTGTAAAGTCTGCAAGTGGATATTCAGACCTCCTTGAGGCCTTCGTTGGAAACGGGATTTCTTCATATTCTGCTAGACAGAAGAATTCTCAGTAACTTCCTTGTGTTGTGTTTATTCAACTCACAGAGTTGAACGATCCTTTACACAGAGCAGACTTGAAACACTCTTTTTGTGGAATTTGCAAGTGGAGATTTCAGCCGCTTTGAGGTCAATAGTAGAAAAGGAAATATCTTCGTAGAAAAACTAGACAGAATCATTCTCAGAAACTGCTGCGTGATGTGTGCGTTCAACTCTCAGAGTTTAACTTTTCTTTTCATTCAGCGGTTTGGAAACACTCTGTTTGTAAAGTCTGCACGTGGATATTTTGACCACTTAGAGGCCTTCGTTGGAAACGGGTTTTTTGCATGTAAGGCTAGACAGAAGAATTCCCAGTAACTTCCTTGTGTTTTGTACATTCAACCCACAGAGTTGAACGTTTCCTTAGACAGAGCAGATTTGAAACACTCTTTTTGTGCAATTGGCAAGTGGTGATTTCAGCCGCTTTCAGGTCAAAGGTAGAAAAGGAAATATCTTCCTATAAAAACTAGACAGAATCATTCCCACAAACTGCGTTGTGATGTGTTCGTTCAACTCACAGAGTTTAACCTTTCTGTTCATACAGCAGTTAGGAAACACTCTGTTTGTAAAGTCTGTAAGTGGATATTCTGACATTTTGTGGCCTTCGTTGGAAATGGGATTTCTTCATATTCTGCTAGACAGAAGAATTCTCAGTAAGTTCCTTGTGTTGTGTGTATTCAACTCACAGAGTTGAACGATCCTTTACACAGAGCAGACTTGAAACACTCTTTTTGTGGAATTTGCAAGTGGAGATTTCAGCCGCTTTGAGGTCAATGGCAGAATAGGAAATATCTTCCTATAGAAACTAGACAGAATGATTCTCAGAAACTCCTTTGTGATGTGTGCGTTCATCTCACAGAGTTTAACTTTTCTTTTCATAGAGCAGTTAGGAAACACTCTGTTTGTAAAGTCTGCATGTGGATATTCAGACCTCTTTGAGGCCTTCGTTCGAAAAGGGATTTCTTCATATTATGCTAGACAGAAGAATTCTCAGTAACTTCCTTGTGTTGTGTGTATTCAACTGACAGAGTTGAACTTTCATTTAGAGAGAGCAGATTTGAAACACTGTTTTTGTGGAATTTGCAAATGGAGATTTCAAGCGCTTTGGTGCCAAAGGCAGAAAAGGAAATATCTTCGTATAAAAACTAGACTGAATCATTCTCAGAAACTGCTGCGTGATGTGTGCGTTCAACTCTCAGAGTTTAACTTTTCTTTTCATTCAGCGGTTTGGAAACACTCTGTTTGTAAAGTCTGCACGTGGATATTTTGACCACTTAGAGGCCTTCGTTGGAAACGGGTTTTTTTTCATGTAAGGCTAGACAGAAGAATTCCCAGTAACTTCCTTCTGTTGTGTGCATTCAACTCACAGAGTTGAACGTTCCCTTAGACAGAGCAGATTTGAAACACTCTATTTGTGCAATTTGCAAGTGTAGATTTCAAGCGCTTTAAGGTCAACGGCAGAAAAGGAAATATCTTCGTTTCAAAACTAGACAGAATCATTCCCACAAACTGCGTTGTGATGTGTTCGTTCAACTCACAGAGTTTAACCTTTCTGTTCATAGAGCAGTTAGGAAACACTCTGTTTGTAAAGTCTGTAAGTGGATATTCTGACATCTTGTGGCCTTCGTTGGAAACGGGATTTCTTCCTATTCTGCTAGACAGAATAATTCTCAGTAACTTCCTTGTGTTGTGTGTATTCAACTCACAGAGTTGAAGGATCCTTTACAGAGAGCAGGCTTGAAACACACTTTTTGTCGAATTTGCAAGTGGAGATTTCAGCCGCTTTGAGGTCAATGGTAGAATAGGAAATATCTTCTTATAGAAACTAGACAGATTGATTCTCAGAAACTCCTTTGTGATGTGTGCGTTCAACTCACAGAGTTTAACCTTTCTTTTCATAGAGCAGTTAGGAAACACTCTCTTTGTAAAGTCTGCAAGTGGATATTCAGACCTCCTTGAGGCCTTCGTTGGAAACGGGATTTCTTCATATTATGCTAGGCAGAAGAATTCTCAGTAACTTCCTTGTGTTGTGCGTATTCAACTCACAGAGTTGAACGATCCTTTACACAGAGCAGACGTGAAACACTCTTTTTGTGGAATTTGCAAGTGGAGATTTCAGCCGCTTTGAGGTCAATGGTAGAATAGGAAATATCTTCCTATAGAAACTAGACAGAATCATTCTCAGAAAATGCTCTGTGATGTGTGCGTTCAACTCTCAGAGTTTAACTTTTCTTTTCATTCAGCAGTTTGGAAACACTCTGTTTGTAAAGTCTGCACGTGGATATTTTGACCACTTAGAGGCCTTCGTTGGAAACGGGTTTTTTTCATGTAAGGGTAGACAGAAGAATTCTCAGTAACTTCCTTGTGTTGTGTGTATTCAACTCACAGAGTTGAACGATCCTTTAAACAGAGCAGACTTGAAACACTCTATTTGTGCAATTTGCAAGTGTAGATTTCAAGCGCTTTAAGGTCAATGGCAGAAAAGGAAATATCTTCGTTTTAAAACTAGACAGAATCATTCCCACAAACTGCGTTGTGATGTGTTCGTTCAACTCACAGAGTTTAACTTTTCTGTTCATAGAGCAGTTAGGAAACACTCTGTTTGTAAAGTCTGCAATTGGATATTCAGACCTCCTTGAGGCATTCGTTGGAAACGGGATTTCTTCATATTCTGCTAGACAGAATAATTCTCAGTAACTTCCTTGTGTTGTGTGTATTCAACTCACAGAGTTGAACGATCCTTTACACAGAGCAGACTTGAAACATTCTTTTTGTGGAATTTGCAACTGGAGATTTCAGCCGCTTTGAGGTCAATGGTAGAATAGGAGATATCTTCCTATAGAAACTAGACAGAATGATTCTCAGAAACTCCTTTGTGATGTGTGCGTTCAACTCACAGAGTTTAACCTTTCTTTTCATAGAGCAGTTAGGAAACACTCTGTTTGTAAACTCTGCAAGTGGATATTCAGACCTCCCTGAGGCCTTCGTCGGAAATGGGATTTCTTCATATTCTGCTAGACAGAAGAATTCCCAGTAACTTCCTTGTGTTGTGTGTATTCAACTCACAGAGTTGAACTTTCATTTACACAGAGCAAATTTGAAACACTCTTTTTGTGGAATTTGCAAGTGGAGATTTCAAGCGCTTTGAGGCCAAAGGCAGAAAAGGAAATATCTTCGTATAAAAACTAGACAGAATCATTCTCAGAAACTGCTCTGCGATGTGTGCGTTCAACTCTCAGAGTTTAACTTTTCTTTTCATTCAGCAGTTTGGAAACACTCTGTTTGTAAAGTCTGCACGTGGATATTTTGATCACTTAGAGGCCTTCGTTGGAAACGGGTTTCTTTCTTGTAAGGCTAGACAGAAGAATTCCCAGTAACTTCCTTGTGTTGTGTACATTCAACTCACAGGAGTTGAACGTTCCCTTAGACAGAGCAGATTTGAAACACTCTTTTTGTGCAATTGGCAAGTGGAGATTTCAAGCGCTTTATGGTCAATGGCAGAAAAGGAAATATCTTCGTTTCAAAACTAGACAGAATCATTCCCACAAACTGCGTTGTGATGTGTTCGTTCAACTCACAGAGTTTAACCTTTCTTTTCATAGAGCAGTTAGGAAAGAGTCTGTTTGTCAATTCTGTAAGTGGATATTCTGACATCTAGTGGCCTTCGTTGGAAACGGGATTTCTTCATATTCTGCTAGACAGAAGAATTCTCAGTAACTTCCTTGTGTTGTGTGTATTCAACTCACAGAGTTGAACGATCTTTTACAGAGAGCAGACTTGAAACACTCTTTTTGTGGAATTTGCAAGTGGAGATTTCAGCCGCTTTGAAGTCAAAGGTAGAATAGGAAATATCTTCCTATAGAAACTAGACAGAATGATTCTCAGAAACTCCTTTGTGATGTGTGCGTTCAACTCACAGAGTTTAACCTTTCTTTTCATAGAGCAGTTAGGAAACACTCTGTTTGTAAAGTCTGCAAGTGGATATTCAGACCTCATTGAGGCCTTCGTTGGAAACGGGATTTCTACATATTATGCTAGACAGAAGAATTCTCAGTAACTTCCCTGTGTTGTGTGTATTCAACTGACAGAGTTGAACTTTCATTTAGAGAGAGCAGATTTGAAACACTGTTTTTGTGGAATTTGCAAGTGGAGATTTCAAGCGCTTTGGGGCCAAAGGCAGAAAAGGAAATATCTTCGTATAAAAACTAGACAGAATCATTCTCAGAAACTGCTCTGCGATGTGTGCGTTCAACTCTCAGAGTTTAACTTTTCTTTTCATTCAGAAGTTTGGAAACACTCTGTTTGTAAAGTCTGCACGTGGATAACTTGACCACTTAGAGGCCTTCGTTGGAAACGGGTTTTTTTCATGTAAGGCTAGACAGAAGAATTCCCAGTAACTTCCTTGTGTTGTGTGCACTCAACTCACAGAGTTGAACGTTCCCTTAGACAGAGCAGATTTGAAACACTCTATTTGTGCAATTTGCAAGTGGAGATTTCAAGCGCTTTATGGTCAATGGAAGAAAAGGAAATATCTTCGTTTCAAAACTAGACAGATAATCATTCCCACAAACTGCGTTGTGATGTGTTCGTTCAACTCACAGTAGTTTAACCTTTCTTTTCATAGAGCAGTTAGGAAACAGTCTGTTTGAAAATTCTGTAAGTGGATATTCTGACATCTTGTGGCCTTCGTTGGAAACGGGATTTCTTCATATTCTGCTAGACAGAAGAATTCTCTGTAACTGCCTTGTGTTGTGTGTATTCAACTCACAGAGTTGAACGATCCTTTACACAGAGCAGACTTGAAACACTCTTTTTTTGGAATTTGCAAGTGGAGATTTCAGCCGCTTTGAGGTCAATGGTAGAATAGGAAATATCTTCCTATAGAAAGTAGACAGAATGATTCTCAGAAACTCCTTTGTGATGTGTGTGTTCAACTCACAGAGTTTAACCTTTCTTTTCATAGAGCAGTTAGGAAACACTCTGTTTGTAAAGTATGCAAGTGGATATTCAGACCTCTTTGAGGCCTTCGTTGGAAACGGGATTTTTCATATAAGGCTAGACAGAAGAATTCCCAGTAACTTCCTTGTGTTGTGTGTGTTCAACTCACAGAGTTGAACTTTCATTTACACAGAGCAGATTTGAGACACTCTTTTTGTGGAATTTGCTAATGGAGATTTCAAGCGCTTTGAGGCCAAAGGCAGAAAAGGAAATATCTTCGTATAAAAACTAGACAGAATCATTCTCAGAAACTGCTCTGCGATGTGTGCGTTCAACTCTCAGAGTTTAACTTTTCTTTTCCTTCAGCAGTTTGGAAACACTCTGTTTGTAAAGTCTGCACGTGGATATTTTGACCACTTAGAGGCCTTCGTTGGAAACGGGTTTTTTTCCTGTAAGGCTAGACAGAAGAATTCCCAGTAACTTCCTTGTGTTGTGTGCATTCCACTCACAGAGTTGAACGTTCCCTTAGACAGAGCAGATTTGAAACACTCTATTTGTGCAATTTGCAAGTGTAGATTTCAAGCGCTTTAAGGTCAATGGCAGAAAAGGAAATATCTTCGTTTCAAAACTAGACAGAATTATTCCCACAAACTGCGTTGTGATGTGTTCGTTCAACTCACAGAGTTTAACCTTTCTTTTCATAGAGCAGTTAGGAAACAGTCTGTTTGTAAATTCTGTAAGTGGATATTCTGACATCTTGTGGCCTTCGTTGGAAACGGGATTTCTTCATATTCTGCTAGACAGAAGAATTCTCAGTAACTTCCTTGTGTTGTGTGTATTCAACTCACAGAGTTGAACGATCCTTTACACAGAGCAGACTTGAAACACTCTTTTTCTGGAATTTGCAAGTGGAGATTTCAGCCGCTTTGAGGTCAATGGTAGAAAAGGAAACTATCTTCTTATAAAGACTAGACAGAATGATTCTCAGAAACTCCTTTGTGATGTGTGCGTTCAACTAACAGAGTTTAACCTTTCTTTTCATAGAGCAGTTAGGAAACACTCTGTTTGTAAAGTCTGCAAGTGGATATTCAGACCTCTTTGAGGCCTTCGTTGGAAACGGGATTTCTTCATATTCTGCTAGACAGAAGAATTCTCAGTAACTTCCTTGTGTTGTGTGTATTCAACTGACAGAGTTGAACTTTCATTTATGGAGAGCAGATTTGAAACACTGGTTTTGTGGAATTTGCCAGTGGAGATTTCAAGCGCTTTGGGGCCAAAGGCAGAAAAGGAAATATCTTCGTATAAAAACTAGACAGAATCATTCTCAGAAACTGCTCTGCGATGTGTGCGTTCAACTCTCAGAGTTTAACTTTTCTTATCATTCAGCAGTTTGGAAACACTCTGTTTGTAAAGTCTGCACGTGGATAATTTGACCACTTAGAGGCCTTCCTTGGAAACGGGTTTTTTTCATGTAAGGCTAGACAGAAGAATTCCCAGTAACTTCCTTGTGTTGTGTGCATTCAACTCACAGAGTTGAACGTTCCCTTAGACAGAGCAGATTTGAAACACTGTATTTGTGCAATTTGCAAGTGTAGATTTCAAGCGCTTTAAGGTCAATGGCAGAAAAGGAAATATCTTCGTTTCAAAACTACACAGAATCATTCCCACAAACTGCGTTGTGATGTGTTCGTTCAACTCACAGAGTTTAACCTTTCTTTTCATACAGCAGTTAGGAAACAGTCTGTTTGTAAATTCTGTAAGTGGATATTCTGACATCTTGTGGCCTTCGTTGGAAACGGGATTTCTTCATATTCTGCTAGACAGAAGAATTCTCAGTAACTTCCTTGTGTTGTGTGTATTCAACTCACAGAGTTGAACGATCCTTTACACAGAGCAGACTTGAAACACTCGTTTTGTGGAATTTGCAAGTGGAGATTTCAGCCGCGTTGAGGTCAATGGTAGAAAAGGAAATATCTTCGTATAAAAACTAGACAGAATGATTCTCAGAAACTCCTTTCTGATGTGTGCGTTCAACTCGCAGAGTTTAACTTTTCTTTTCATTGAGCAGTTAGGAAACACTCTGTTTGTAAAGTCAGCAAGTGGATATTCAGACCTCTTTGAGGCCTTCGTTGGAAACGGGATTTCTGCATATTATGCTAGACAGAAGGATTCCCAGTAACTTCCTTGTGTTGTGTGTGTTCAACTCACAGAGTTGAACTTTCATTTACACAGAGGAGATTTGAAACACTCTTTTTGTGGAATTTGCAGGTGGAGATTTCAAGCGCTTTGAGGCCAAAGGCAGAAAAGGAAATATCTTCGTATAAAAACTAGACAGAATGATTCTCAGAAACTCCTTTGTGATGTGGGCGTTCAACTCACAGAGTTTAACGTTTCTTTTCATAGAGCCGTTAGGAAACACTCTGTTTGTAAAGTCTGCACGTGGATATTTGGACTTCTTTGAGGCCTTCGTTGGAAACGGGTTTTTTTCATGTAAGGCTAGACGGAAGAATTCCCAGTAACTTCCTTGTGTTGTGTGCATTCAACTCACAGAGCTGAACGTTCCCTTAGACAGAGCAGATTTGAAACACTCTATTTGTGCAATTTGCAAGTGTAGATTTCAAGCGCTTTAAGGTCAACGGCAGAAAAGGAAATATCTTCGTTTCAAAACTAGACAGAATCATTCCCACAAACTGCGTTGTGATGTGTTCTTTCAACTCACAGAGTTTAACCTTTCTGTTCATAGAGCAGTTAGGAAACACTCTGTTTGTAAAGTCTGTAAGTGGATATTCTGACATCTTGTGGCCTTCGTTGGAAACGGGATTTCTTCATATTACTGCTAGACAGAATAATTCTCAGTAATTTCCTTGTGTTGTGTGTATTCAACTCACAGAGTTGAAGGATCCTTTACAGAGAGCAGGCTTGAAACACTCTTTTTGTCGAATTTGCAAGTGGAGATTTCAGCCGCTTTGAGGTCAATGGTAGAATAGGAAATATCTTCTTATAGAAACTAGACAAAATGATTCTCATAAACTCCTTTGTGATGTGTGCGTTCAACTCACAGAGTTTAACCTTTCTTTTCATAGAGCAGTTAGGAAACACTCTGTTTGTAAAGTCTGCAAGTGGATATTCAGACCTACTTGAGGCCTTCGTTGGAAACGGGATTTCTTCATATTCTGCTAGACAGAAGAATTCCCAGTAACTTCCCTTGTGTTGTGTGTGTTCAACTCACAGAGTTGAACTTTCATTTACACAGAGCAGATTTGAAACACTCTTTTTGTGGAATTTGAAAGTGGAGATTTCAAGCGCTTTGAGGCCAAAGGCAGAAAAGGAAATATCTTCGTATAAAAACTAGACAGAATCATTCTCAGAAACTGCTCTGCGATGTGTGCGTTCAGCTCTCAGAGTTTAACTTTTCTTTTCATTCAGCAGTTTGGAAACACTCTGTTTGTAAAGTCTGCACGTGGATATTTTGACCACTTGGAGGCCTTCATTGGAAACGGGTTTTTTTCATGTAAGGCTAGACAGAAGAATTCCCAGTAACTTCCTTGTGTTGTGTACATTCCACTCACAGAGTTGAACGTTCCCTTAGACAGAGCAGATTTGAAACACTCTTTTTGTGCAATTGGCAAGTGGAGATTTCAAGCGCTTTAAGGTCAATGGCAGAAAAGGAAATATCTTCGTTTCAAAACTAGACAGAATCATTCCCACAAACTGCGTTGTGATGTGTTCGTTCAACTCACAGAGTTTAACCTTTCTTTTCATAGAGCAGTTAGGAAACAGTCTGTTTGTAAATTCTGTAAGTGGATATTCTGACATCTTGTGGCCTTCGTTGGAAACGAGATTTCTTCATATTCTGCTAGACAGAAGAATTCTCAGAAACTTCCTTGTGTTGTGTGTTTTCAACTCACAGAGGTGAACGATCCTTTACACAGAGCAGACATGAAACAGTCTTTTTGTGGAATTTGGAAGTGGAGAATTCAGCCGCTTTCAGGTCAATGGTAGAATAGGAAATATCTTCCTATAGAAAATTGACAGAATGATTCTCAGAAACTCCTTTGTGATGTGTGCGTTCAACTCACAGAGTTCAACCTTTCTTTTCATAGAGCAGTTGGGAAACACTCTGTTTGTAAAGTCTGCATGTGGATATTCAGACATCCTTGAGGCTTTCGTTGGAAACGGGATTTCTTCATATTCTGCTAGAAAGAAGAATTCTCAGTAACTTCCTTGTGTTGTGTGTATTCAACTGACAGAGTTGAACTTTCATTTAGAGAGAGCAGATTTGAAACACTGTTTTTGTGGAATTTGCAAGTGGAGATTTTAAGCGCTTTGGGGCCAAAGGCAGAAAAGGAAATATCTTCGTATAAAAACTAGACAGAATCATTCTCAGAAACTGCTCTGCGATGTGTGCGTTCAACTCTCAGAGTTTAACTTTTCTTTTCATTCAGCAGTTTGGAAACACTCTGTATGTAAAGTCTGCACGTGGATATTTTGACCACTTAGAGGCCTTCGTTGGAAACGGGTTTTTTTCCTGTAAGGCTAGACAGAAGAATTCCCAGTAACTTCCTTGTGTTGTGTACATTCAACTCACAGAGTTGAACGTTCCCTTAGACAGAGCAGATTTGAAACACTCTTTTTGTGCAATTGGCAAATGGAGATTTCAAGCGCTTTAAGTTCAAAGGCAGAAAAGGAAATATCTTCGTTTCAAAACTAGACAGAATGATTCTCAGAAACTCCTTTGTGATGTGTGCGTTCAACTCAAAGAGTTTAACCTTTCTTTTCATAGAGCAGTTAGGAAACACTCTGTTTGTAAAGTCTGCAAGTGGATATTCAGACCTCTTTGAGGCCTTCGTTGGAAACGGGATTTCTTCATATTATGCTAGACAGAAGAATTCTCAGTAACTTCCTTGTGTTGTGTGTATTCAACTCACAGAGTTGAACGATCCTTTACACAGAGCAGACTTTAAACACTCTTTTTGTGGAATTTGCAAGTGGAGATTTCAGCCGCTTTGGGGTCAATAGTAGAAAAGGAAATATCTTCGTAGAAAAACTAGACAGAATGATTCTCAGAAAATCCTTTGTGATGTGTGCGTTCAACTCACAGAGTTTAACTTTTCTTTTCATAGAGCAGTTAGGAAACACTCTGTTTGTAAAGTCTTCAAGTGGATATTCAGACCTCTTTGAGGCCTTCGTTGGAAACGGGATTTCTTCATATTATGCTAGACAGAAGAATTCTCAGTAACTTCCTTGCGTTGTGTGTATTCAACTGATAGAGTTGAACTTTCATTTAGACAGAGCAGATTTGAAACACGCTTTTTGTGGAATTTGCAAGTCGAGATTTCAAGCGCTTTGAGGCCAAAGGCAGAAAAGGAAATATCTTCGTATAAAAACTAGACCGAATCATTCTCAGAAACTGCTCTGCGATGTGTGCGTTCAACTCTCAGAGTTTAACTTTGCTTTTCATTCAGCAGTTTGGAAACACTCTGTTTGTAAAGTCTGCACGTGGATATTTTGACCACTTAGAGGCCTTCGTTGGAAACGGGTTTTTTTCCTGTAAGGCTAGACAGAAGAATTCCCAGTAACTTCCTTGTGTTGTGTACATTCAACTCACAGAGTTGAACGATCCCTTAGACAGAGCAGATTTGAAACACTCTTTTTGTGCAATTGGCAAATGGAGATTTCAAGCACTTTAAGGTCAATCGCAGAAAAGGAAATATCTTCGTTTCAAAACTAGACAGAATGATTCTCAGAAACTCCTTTGTGATGTGTGCGTTCAACTCACAGAGTTTAACTTTTCTTTTCATAGAGCAGTTAGGAAACACTCTGTTTGTAAAGTCTGCAAGTGGATATTCAGACGTCTTTGAGGCCTTCGTTGGAAACGGGATTTCTTCATATTCTGCTAGACAGAAGAATTCTCAGTAACTTCCTTGTGTTTTGTGTATTCAACTCACAGAGTTGAACGATCCTTTACACAGAGCAGACTTGAAACACACTTTTTGTGGAATTTGCAAGTGGAGATTTCAGCCGCTTTGAGGTCAATGGTAGAATAGGAAATATCTTCCTATAGAAACTAGACAGAATGATTCTGAGAAACTCCTTTGTGATGTGTGCATTCAACTCACAGAGTTTAACCTTTCTTTTCATAGAGCAGTTAGGAAACACTGTGCTTGTATAGTCTGCAAGTGGATACTCAGACCTCCTTGAGGCCTTCGTTGGAAACGGGATTTCTTCCTATTATGCTAGACAGAAGAATTCTCAGTAACTCCCTTGTGTTGTGTGTATTCAACTGACAGAGTTGAACTTTCATTTAGAGGGAGCAGATTTGAAACACTGTTTTTGTGGAATTTGCAAGTGGAGATTTCAAACGCTTTGGGGCCAAAGGCAGAAAAGGAAATATCTTCGTATAAAAACTAGACAGAATCATTCTCAGAAACTGCTCTGCGATGTGTGCGTTCAACTCTCAGAGTTTAACTTTTCTTTTCATTCAGCAGTTTGGAAACACTCTGTTTGTAAAGTCTGCACGTGCATAATTTGACCACTTAGAGGCCTTCGTTGGAAACGGTTTTTTTTCATGTAAGGCTAGACAGAAGAATTCCCAGTAACTTCCTTGTGTTGTGTGCATTCAACTCACAGAGTTGAACGTTCCCTTAGACAGAGCAGATTTGAAACACTCTATTTGTGCAATTTGCAAGTGTAGATTTCAAGCGCTTAAAGTCAACGGCAGAAAAGGAAATATCTTCGTTTCAAAACTAGACAGAATCATTCCCACAAACTGCGTTGTGATGTGTTCGTTCAACTCACAGAGTTTAACCTTTCTTTTCATAGAGCAGTTAGGAAACACTCTGTTTGTAAAGTCTGCAAGTGGATATTCAGACCTCTTTGAGGCCTTCGTTGGAAACGGGATTTCTTCATATACTGCTGGACAGAGGAATTCTCAGTAACTTCCTTGTGTTGTGTGTATTCAACTCACAGAGTTGAACGATCCTTTACACAGAGCAGACTTGAAACACTCTTTTTGTGGAATTTGCAAGTGGAGATTTCAGCCGCTTTGATGTCAATGGTAGAAAAGGAAATATCTTCGTATAAAGCCGAGACAGAATGATTCTCAGAAACTCCTTTGTGATGTGTGCGTTCAACTCACAGAGTTTAACCTTTCTTTTCATAGAGCAGTTAGTAAACACTCTGTTTATAAAGTCTGCAAGTGGATATTCAGACCCCTTTGAGGCCTTCGTTGGAAACGGGATTTCTTCATATTCTGCTAGACAGAAGAATTCCCAGTAACTTCCTTGTGTTGTGTGTGTTCGACTCACAGAGTTGAACTTTCATTTACACAGAGCAGATTTGAAACACTCTTTTTGTGGAATTTGCAAGTGGAGATTTCAAGCACTTTGAGGCCAAAGGCAGAAAAGGAAATATACTTCGTTTCAAAACTAGACAGAATCATTCTCAGAAACTGCTCTGCGATGTGTGCGTTCAACTCTCAGAGTTTAACTTTTCTTTTCATTCAGCAGTTTGGAAACACTCTGTTTGTAAAGTCTTCACGTGGATAATTTGACCACTTAGAGGCCTTCGTTGGAAACGGGTTTTTTCATGTAAGGCTAGACAGAAGATTTCCCAGTAACTTCCTTGTGTTGTGTACATTCAACTCACAGAGTTGAACGTTCCCTTAGACAGAGCAGATTTGAAACACTCTTTTTGTGCAATTGGCAAATGGAGATTTCAAGCGCTTTAATGTCAATGGCAGAAAAGGAAATATCTTCGTTTCAAAACTAGACAGAATGATTCTCAGAAACTCCTTTGTGATGTGTGCGTTCAACTCACACAGTTTAACCTTTCTGTTCATAGAGCAGTTAGGAAACACTCTGTTTGTAAAGTCTGTAAGTGGATATTCTGACATCTTGTGGCCTTCGTTGGAAACGGGATTTCTTCATATTCTGCTAGACAGAAGAGTTCTCAGTAACTTCCTTGTGTTGTGTGTATTCAACTCACACGGTTGAACGATCCTTTACACAGAGCAGACTTGTAACACTCTTTTTGTGGAATTTGCAAGTGGAGATTTCAGCCGCTTTGAAGTCAAAGTAGAAAAGGAAATATCTTCCTATAAAAACTAGACAGAATGATTCTCAGAAACTCCTTTGTGATGTGTGCGTTCAACTCACAGAGTTTAACCTTTCTTGTCATAGAGCAGTTAGGAAACACTCTGTTTGTAAAGTCTGCAAGTGGATATTCAGACATCTTTGAGGCTTTCGTTGGAAACGGGATTTCTTCATATTCTGCTAGACAGAAGAATTCTCAGTAACTTCCTTGTTTTGTGTGTATTCAACTGACAGAGTTGAACTTTCATTTAGAGAGAGCAGATTTGAAACACGGTTTTTGCGGAATTTGCAAGTGGAGATTTCAAGCGCTTTGGGGCCAAAGGCAGAAAAGGAAATATCTTCGTATAAAAACTAGACAGAATCATTCTCAGAAACTGCTGCGTGGTGTGTGCGTTCAACTCTCAGAGTTTAACTTTTCTTTTCATTCAGCGGTTTGGAAACACTCTGTTTGTAAAGTCTGCACGTGGATATTTTGACCACTTAGAGGCCTTCGTTGGAAACGGGTTTTCTTCATGTAAGGCTAGACAGAAGAATTCCCAGTAACTTCCTTGTGTTGTGTGCATTCAACTCACAGAGTTGAACGTTCCCTTAGACAGAGCAGATTTGAAACACTCTTTTTGTGCAATTGGCAAGTGGAGATTTCAAGCGCTTTAAGGTCAATGGAAGAAAAGGAAATATCTTCGTTTCAAAACTAGACAGAAGAATTCTCAGTAACTTCCTTGTGTTGTGTGTATTCAACTCACAGAGTTGAACGATCCTTTACACAGAACAGACTTGTAACACTCTTTTTGTGGAATTTGCAAGTGGAGATTTCAGCCATTTTGAAGTCAAAGGTAGAAAAGGAAATAACTTCCTATAAAAACTAGACAGAATGATTCTCAGAAACTCCTTTGTGATGTGTGCGTTCAACTCACAGAGTTTAACCTTTGTTTTCATAGAGCAGTTAGGAAACACTCTGCTTGTAAAGTCTGCAAGTGGATATTCAGCCCTCTTTGAGGCCTTCGTTGGAAACGGGTTTTTTTCATATAAGGCTAGACAGAAGAATTCTCAGTAACTTCCTTGTGTTGTGTGTATTCAAGTGACAGAGTTGAACTTTCATTTAGAGAGAGCAGATTTGAAACACTGTTTTTGTGGAATTTGCAATTGGAGATTTCAAGCGCTTTGGGGCCGAAGGCAGAAAAGGAAATATCTTCGTATAAAAACTAGACAGAATCATTCTCAGAAACTGCTCTGCGATGGGTGCGTTCAACTCTCAGAGTTTAACTTTGCTTTTCATTCAGCAGTTTGGAAACACTCTGTTTGTAAAGTCTGCACGTGGATAATTTGACCACTTAGAGGCCTTCGTTGGAAACGGGTTTTTTTCATGTAAGGCTAGACAGAAGAATTCCCAGTAACTTCCTTGTGTTCTGTACATTCAACTCACAGAGTTGAACGTTCCCTTAGACAGAGCAGATTTGAAACACTCTTTTTGTGCAATTGGCAAGTGGAGATTTCAAGCGCTTTAAGGTCAATGGCAGAAAAGGAAATATCTTCGTTTCAAAACTAGACAGAATGATTCTCAGAAACTCCTTTGTGATGTGTGCGTTCAACTCACAGAGTTTAACCTTTCTGTTCATAGAGCAGTTAGGAAACACTCTGTTTGTAAAGTCTGCAAGTGGATATTCAGACCTCCTTGAGGCCTTCGTTGGAAACGGGATTTCTTTATATTCTGCTAGACAGAAGAATTCTCAGTAACTTCCTTGTGTTGTGTGTATTCAACACACAGAGTTGAACGATCCTTTACACAGAGCAGACTTGAAACACTCTTTTTGTGGAATTTGCAAGTGGAGATTTCAGCCTCTTTGAGGTCAATGGTAGAATAGGAAATATCTTCCTATAGAAACTAGACAGAATGATTCTGAGAAACTCCTTTGTGATGTGTGCGTTCAACTCACAGAGTTTAACCTTTCTTTTCATAGAGCAGTTTGGAAACACTCCGTTTGTAAACTCTGCAAGTGGATATTCAGACCTCCTTGAGACCTTCCTTGGAAACGGGATTTCTTCATATTATGCTAGACAGAAGAATTCTCAGTAACTTCCTAGTGTTGTGTGTATTCAACTGACAGAGTTGAACTTTCATTTAGAGAGAGCAGATTTGAAACACTGTTTTTGTGGAATTTGCAAGTGGAGATTTCAAGCGGTTTGGGGCCAAAGGCAGAAAAGGAAATATCTTCGTATAAAAACTAGACAGAATCATTCTCAGAAACTGCTGCGTGATGTGTGCGTTCAACTCTCAGAGTTTAACTTTTCTTTTCATTCAGCAGTTTGGAAACACTCTGTTTGTAAAGTCTGCACGTGGAAATTTTGACCACTTAGAGGCCTTCGTTGGAAACGGGTTTTTTTCATGTAAGGCTAGACAGAAGAATTCCCAGTAACTTCCCTTGTGTTGTGTGCATTCAACTCACAGAGTTGAACGTTCCCTTAGACAGAGCAGATTTGAAACACTCTATTTGTGCAATTTGCAAGTGTAGTTTTCAAGCTCTTTTAGGTCAACGGCAGAAAAGGAAATATCTTGGTTTCAAAACTAGACAGAATCATTCCCACAAACTGCGTTGTGATGTGTTCGTTCAACTCACAGAGTTTAACCTTTCTGTTCATAGAGCAGTTAGGAAACACTCTATTTGTAAAGTCTGCAAGTGGATATTCAGACCTCCTTGAGGCCTTCGTTGGAAACGGGATTTCTTCATATTCTGCTAGACAGAAGAATTCTCAGAATCTTCCTTGTGTTGTGTGTATTCAACTCACCGAGTTGAACGATCCTTTACACAGAGCAGACTTGAAACACTCTTTTTGTGGAATTTGCAAGTGGAGATTTCAGCCGCTTTGAGGTCCATGTTAGAAAAGGAAATATCTTCGTACAAAAATTGACAGAATGATTCTCAGAAACTTCTTTGTGATGTGTGCCTTCAACTCACAGAGTTTAACCTTTCTTTTCATAGAGCAGTTAGGAAACACTCTGTTTGTAAAGTCTGCAAGTGGATATTCAGACCTCTTTGAGGCCTTCGTTGGAAACGGGTTTTTTTCATATAAGGCTAGACAGAAGAATTCCCAGTAACTTCCTTGTGTTGTGTGTGTTCAACTCACAGAGTTGAACTTTCATTTACACAGAGCAGATTGGAAACACTCTTTTTGTGGAATTTGCAAGTGGAGATTTCAAGCGCTTTGAGGACAAAGGCAGAAAAGGAAATATCTTCGTATAAAAATTAGACAGAATCATTCTCAGAAACTGCTCTGCGATGTGTGCGTTCAACTCTCAGAGTTTAACTTTTCTTTTCATTCAGCAGTTTGGAAACACTCTGTTTGTAAAGTCTGCACGTGGATATTTTGACCACTTAGAGGCCTCCGTTGGAAACGGGTTTCTTTCCTGTAAGGCTAGACAGAAGAATTCCCAGTAACTTCCTTGTGTTGTGTGCATTCAACTCACAGAGTTGAACGTTCCCTTAGACAGAGCCGATTTGAAACACTCTATTTGTGCAATTGGCAAGTGTAGATTTCAAGCGCTTTAAGGTCAACGGCAGAAAAGGAAATATCTTCGTTTCAAAACTAGACAGAATGATTCTCAGAAACTCCTTTGTGATTTGTGCGTTCAACTCACAGAGTTTAACTTTTCTTTTCATAGAGCAGTTAGGAAACACTCTGTTTGTAAAGTGTGCAAGTGGATATTCAGACCTCTTTGAGGCCTTCGTTGGAAACGGGATTTCTTCATATTATGCTAGACAGAATAATTCTCAGTAACTTCCTTGTGTTGTGTGTATTCAACTCACAGAGTTCAACGATCCTTTACAGAGAGCAGACTTGAAACACTCTTTTTGTGGAATTTGCAAGTGGAGATTTCAGCCGCTTTGAGGTCAATGGTAGAATAGGAAATATCTTCCTATAGAAACTAGACAGAATGATTCTCAGAAACTCCTTTGTGATGTGTGCGTTCAACTCACAGAGTTTAACCATTCTTTTCATAGAGCAGTTAGGAAACACTCTGTTTGTAAAGTCTGCAAATGGATATTCAGACCTCCTTGAGGCCTTCGTTGGAAACGGGATTTCTTCATATTCTGCTAGACAGAAGAATTCTCAGTAACTTCCTTGTGTTGTGTGTATTCAACTCACAGACTTGAATGATCCTTTACACAGAACAGTCTTGAAACACTCTTTTTGTGGAATTTGCAAGTGGAGATTTCAGCCGATTTGAGGTCAATGGTAGAATAGAAAATATCTTCCTATAGAAACTAGACAGAATAATTCTCAGAAACTCCTTTGTGATGTGTGCGTTCAACTCACAGAGTTTAACCTTTCTTTTCATAGAGCAGTTAGGAAACACTCTGTTTGTAAAGTCTGCAAGTGGATATTCAGACCTCTTTGAGGCCTTCGTTGGAAACGGGTTTTTTTCATATAAGGCTGGACAGAAGAATTCTCAGTAACTTCCCTGTGTTGTGTGTTTTCAACTGACAGAGTTGAACTTTCATTTAGAGAGAGCAGATTTGAAAAACTGTTTTTGTGGAATTTGCAAGTGGAGATTTCAAGCGTTTTGGAGCCAAAGGCAGAAAAGGAAATATCTTCGTATAAAAACTAGACAGAATCATTCTCAGAAACTGCTGCGTGATGTGTGCGTTCAACTCTCAGAGTTTAACTTTTCTTTTCATTCAGCGGTTTGGAAACACTCTGTTTGTAAAGTCTGCACGTGGATATTTTGACCACTTAGAGGCCTTCGTTGGAAACGGGTTTTTTCATGTAAGGCTAGACAGAAGAATTCCCAGTAACTTCCTTGTGTTGTGTACATTCCACTCACAGAGTTGAACGTTCCCTTAGACAGAGCAGATTTGAAACACTCTTTTTGTGCAATTGGCAAATGGAGATTTCAAGGGCTTTAAGGTCAATGGCAGAAAAGGAAATATCTTCGTTTCAAAACTAGACAGAATCATTCCCACAAACTGCGTTGTGATGGTTCGTTCAACTCACAGAGTTTAAACTTTCTTTTCATAGAGCAGTTAGGAAACAGTCTGTTTGTCAATTCTGTAAGTGGATATTCTGACATCTTGTGGCCTTCGTTGGAAACGGGATTTCTTCATATTCTCCTAGACAGAAGAATTCTCAGAATCTTCCTTGTGTTGTGTGTATTCAACTCACAGAGTTGAACGATCCTTTACACAGAGCAGACTTGAAACACTCTTTTTGTGGAATTTGCAAGTGGAGATTTCAGCCGCTTTGAGGTCCATGGTAGAAAAGGAAATATCTTTGTATAAAAACTAGACAGAATGATTCTCAGGAACTCCTTTGTGATGTGTGTGTTCAACTCACAGAGTTTAACCTTTCTTTTCATAGAGCAGTTAGTAAACACTCTGTTTATAAAGTCTGTAAGTGGGTATTCAGACCCCTTTGGGGCCTTCGTTGGAAACGGGATTTCTTCATATTATGCTAGACAGAAGAATTCTCAGAAACTTCCTTGTGTTGTGTGTATTCAACTCACAGAGTTGAACGATCGTTTACACAGAGCAGACTTGAAACACTCTTTTTGTGGAATTTGCAAGTGGAGATTTCAGCCGCTTTGAGGTCAATGGTAGAAAAGGAAATATCTTCGTATAAAAACTAGACAGAATGATTCTCAGAAACTCCTTTGTGATGTGTGCGTTCAACTCACAGAGTTCAACCTTTCTTTTCACAGAGCAGTTGGGAAACACTCTGTTTGTAAAGTCTGCAAGTGGATATTCAGACTTCTTTGAGGCCTTCGTTGGAAGCGGGATTTCTTCATGTTCTGCTAGACAGAAGAATTCTCAGTAACTTCCTTGTGTTGTGTGTATTCAACTGACAGAGTTGAACTTTCATTTAGAGAGAGCAGATTTGAAACACAGTTTTTGTGGAATTTGCAAGTGGAGATTTCAAGCGCTATGGGGCCAAAGGCAGAAAAGGAAATATCTTCGTATAAAAACTAGACAGAATCATTCTCAGAAACTGCTGCGTGATGTGTGCGTTCAACTCTCAGAGTTTAACTTTTCTTTTCATTCAGCGGTTTGGAAACACTCTGTTTGTAAAGTCTGCACGTGGATATTTTGACCACTTAGAGGCCTTCGTTGGAAACGGGTTTCTTTCATGTAAGGCTAGACAGAAGAATTCCCAGTAACTTCCTTGTGTTGTGTGCATTCAACTCACAGAGTTGAACGTTCCCTTAGACAGAGCAGATTTGAAACACTCTATTTGTGCAATTTGCAAGTGTAGATTTCAAGCGCTTTAAGGTCAACGGCAGAAAAGAAAATATCTTCGTTTCAAAACTAGACAGAATCATTCCCACAAACTGCGTTGTGATGTGTTCGTTCAACTCACAGAGTTTAACCTTTCTTTTCATAGAGCAGTTAGGAAACAGTCTGTTTGTCAATTCTGTAAGTGGATATTCTGACATGCTTGTGGCCTTCGTTGGAAACGGGATTTCTTCATATTCTGCTAGACAGAAGAATTCTCAGTAACTTCCTTGTGTTGTGTGTATTCAACTCACAGAGTTGAACGATCCTTTACACAGAGCAGACTTGAAACACTCTTTCTGTGGAATTTGCAAGTGGAGATTTCAGCCGCTTTGAGGTCAATGGTAGAAAAGGAAATATCTTCGTATAAAGACTAGACAGAATGATTCTCAGAAACTTCTTTGTGATGTGTGCGTTCAACTCACAGAGTTTAGCCTTTCTTTTCATAGAGCAGTTAGGAAACACTCTGTTTGTAAACTCTGCAAGTGGATATTCAGACCTCTTTGAGGCCTTCGTTGGAAACTGGGATTTCTTCATACTATGCTAGACAGAAGAATTCCCAGTAACTTCCATGTGTTGTTTGTGTTCAACTCACAGAGTTGAACTTTCATTTACACAGAGCAGATTTGAAACACTCTTTTTGTGGAATTTGCAAATGGAGATTTCAAGCGCTTTGAGGCCAGAGGCAGAAAAGGAAATATCTTCGTATAAAAACTAGACAGAAATCATTCTCAGAAACTGCTGCGTGATGTGTGCGTTCAACTCTCAGAGTTTAACTTTTCTTTTCATTCAGCGGTTTGGAAACACTCTGTTTGTAAAGTCTGCACGTGGATATTTTGACCACTTAGAGGCCTTCGTTGGAAACGGGTTTTTTTCATGTAAGGCTCGACAGAAGAATTCCCAGTAACTTCTTTGTGTTGTGTGCATTCAACTCACAGAGTTGAACGTTCCTTTAGAAAGAGCAGATTTGAAACACTCTTTTTGTGCAATTTGCAAGTGGAGATTTCAAGCGCTTTAGGGTCAATGGCAGAAAAGGAAATATCTTCGTTTCAAAACTAGACAGAATCATTCACACAAACTGCGTTGTGATGTGTGCGTTAAACTCACAGAGTTTAACCTTTCTTTTCATAGAGCCGTCTGTAAGCGCTCTGTTTGTCAAGTCTGCAAGTGGATATTCTGACCTTTTTGTGGACTTCGTTGGAAACGGGATTTCTTCCTATAATACTAGACAGAAGAATTCTCAGTAACTTCCTTGTGTTGTGTGTATTCAACTCACGGAGTTGAACGATCCTTTACACAGAGCAGACTTGAAACACTCTTTTTGTGGAATTTGCAAGTGGAGATTTCAGCCGCTTTGGGGTCAATGGTAGAAAAGGAAATATCTTCGTATAAAGACTAGACAGAATGATTCTCAGAAACTCCTTTGTGATGTGTGCGTTCAACTCACAGAGTTCAACCTTTCTTTTCATAGAGCAGTTAGGAAACACTCTGTTTGTAAAGTCTGCAAGTGGATATTCAGACATCCTTGAGGCTTTCGTTGGAAACGGGATTTCTTCATATTCTGCTAGAAAGAAGAATTCTCAGTAACTTCCTTGTGTTGTGTGTATTCAACTGACAGAGTTGAACTTTCATTTAGAGAGAGCAGATTTGAAACACTGTTTTTGTGGAATTTGCAAGTGGAGATTTCAAGCGCTTTGGGGCCAAAGGCAGAAAAGGAAATATGCTTCGTATAAAAACTAGACAGAATCATTCTCTGAAACTGCTCTGTGATGTGTGCGTTCAACTCTCAGAGTTTAACTTTTCTTTTCATTCAGCAGTTTGGAAACACTCTGTTTGTAAAGTCTGCACGTGGATATTTTGACTACTTAGAGGCCTTCGTTGGAAACGGGTTTTTTTCATGTAAGGCTAGACAGAAGAATTCCCAGTAACTTCCTTGTGTTGTGTGCATTCAACTCACAGAGATGAACGTTCCCTTAGACAGAGCAGATTTGAAACACTCTATTTGTGCAATTTGCAAGTGTAGATTTCAAGCGCTTTAAGGTCAATGGCAGAAAAGGAAATATCTTCGTTTCAAAACTAGACAGAATCATTCCCACAAACTGCGTTGTGATGTGTTCGTTCAACTCACAGAGTTTAACCTTTCTTTTCATAGAGCAGTTAGGAAACACTCTGTTGGTAAATTCTGTAAGTGGATATTCTGACATCTTGTGGCCTTCGTTGGAAACGGGATTTCTTCATATTCTGCTAGACAGAAGAATTCTCAGAATCTTCCTTGTGTTGTGTGTATTCAACTCACAGAGTTGAACGATCCTTTACACAGAGCAGACTTGAAACACTCTTTTTGTGGAATTTGCAAGTTGAGATTTCAGCCGCTTTGAGGTCCATGGTAGAAAAGGAAATATCTTCGTATAAAACTAGACAGAATGATTCTCAGAAACTCCTTTGTGATGTGTGTGTTCAACTCACAAAGTTTAACCTTTCTTTTCATAGAGCAGTTAGTAAACACTCTGTTTATAAAGTCTGCAAGTGGATATTCAGACCCCTTTGAGACCTTCGTTGGAAACGGGATTTCTTCATATTATGCTAGACAGAAGAATTCTCAGTAACTTCCTTGTGTTGTGTGTTTTCAACTGACAGAGTTGAACATTCATTTAGAGAGAGCAGATTTGTAACACTGTTTTTGTGGAATTTGCAAGTGGAGATTTCAAGTGCTTTGGGGCCAAAGGCAGAAAAGGAAATATCTTCGTATAAAAACTAGACAGAATCATTCTCAGAAACTGCTGCATGATGTGTGCGTTCAACTCTCAGAGTTTAACTTTTCTTTTCATTCAGCGGTTTGGAAACACTCTGTTTGTAAAGTCTGCACGTGGATATTTTGACCACTTAGAGGCCTTCCTTGGAAACGGGTTTTTTTTCATGTAAGGCTAGACAGAAGAATTCTCAGTAACTTCATTGTGTTGTGTGTATTCAACTCACAGATTTCAACGATCCTTTACACAGAGCAGACTTGAAACACTCTTTTTCTGGTATTTGCAAGTGGAGATTTCAGCCGCTTTGAGGTCAATGGTAGAATAGGAAATATCTTCCTATAGAAACTAGACAGAATGATTCTCAGAAACTCCTTTGTGATGTGTGCGTTCAACTCACAGAGTTCAACCTTTCTTTTCATAGAGCAGTTGGGAAACACTCTGTTTGTAAAGTCTGCAAGTGGATATTCAGACTTCTTTGAGGCCTTCGTTGGAAGCGGGTTTTCTTCATATTCTGCTTGACAGAAGAATTCTCAGTAACTTCCTTGTGTTGTGTGTATTCAACTCACAGAGTTGAACGATCCTTTACACAGAGCAGACTTGAAACACTCTTTTTGTGGAATTTGAAAGTGGAGATTTCAGCCGCTTTGAGGTCAATGGTAGAATAGGAAATATCTTCCTATAGAAACTAGACAGAATGATTCTCAGAAACTTCTTTGTGATGTGTGCGTTCAACTCACGGAGTTTAACCTTTCTTTTCATAGAGCAGTTAGGAAACACTCTGTTTGTAAACTCTGCAAGTGGATATTCAGACCTCTTTGAGGCCTTCGTTGGAAACGGGATTTCTTCATACTATGCTAGACAGAAGAATTCCCAGTAACTTCCTTGTGTTGTGTGTGTTCAACTCACAGAGTTGAACTTTCATTTACACAGAGCAGATTTGAAACACTCTTTTTGTGGAATTTGCAAATGGAGATTTCAAGCGCTTTGAGGCCAAAGACAGAAAAGGAAATATCTTCGTATAAAAACTAGACAGAATCATTCTCAGAAACTGCTCTGCGATGTGTGCGTTCAACTCTCAGAGTTTAACTTTTCTTTTCATTCAGCAGTGTGGAAACACTCTGTTTGTAAACTCTGCACGTGGATATTTTGACCACTTAGAGGCCTTCGTTGGAAACGGGTTTTTTTCCTGTAAGGCTAGACAGAAGAATTCCCAGTAACTTCCTTGTGTTGTGTGCATTCAACTCACAGAGTTGAACGTTCCTTAGACAGAGCAGATTTGAAACACTCTATTTGTGCAATTTGCAAGTGTAGATTTCAAGCGCTTTAAGGTCAATGGCAGAAAAGGAAATATCTTCGTTTCAAAACTAGACAGAATCATTCCCACAAACTGCGTTGTGATGTGTTCGTTCAACTCACAGAGTTTACCCTTTCTTTTCTTAGAGCAGTTAGGAAACAGTCTGTTTGTAAATTCTGTAAGTGGTTATTCTGACATCTTGTGGCCTTCGTTGGAAACGGGATTTCTTCATATTCTGCTAGACAGAAGAATTCTCAGTAACTTCCTTGTGTTGTGTGTATTCAACTCACAGAGTTCACCGATCCTTTACACAGAGCAGACTTGTAACACTCTTTTTGTGGAATTTGCAAGTGGAGATTTCAGCCGCTTTGAAGTCAAAGGTAGAAAAGGGAATATCTTCCTATAAAAACTAGACAGAATGATTCTCAGAAACTCCTTTGTGATGTGTGCGTTCAACACACAGAGTTTAACTTTTCTTTTCATAGAGCGGTTAGGAAACACTCTGTTTGTAAAGTCTGCAAGTGGATATTCAGACCTCTTTGAGGCCTTCGTTGGAAACGGGATTTCTTCATATTCTGCTAGACAGAAGAATTCCCAGTAACTTCCTTGTGTTGTGTGTGTTCAACTCACAGAGTTGAACTTTCATTTACACAGAGCAGATTTGAAACACTCTTTTTGTGGAATATGCAAGTGGAGATTTCAAGCGCTTTGAGGCCAAAGGCAGAAAAGGAAATATCTTCGTATAAAAACTAGACAGAATCATTCTCAGAGACTGCTCTGTGATGTGTGCGTTCAACTCTCAGAGTTTAACTTTTCTTTTCATTCAGCAGTTTGGAAACACTCTGTTTGTAAAGTCTGCACGTGGATAATTTGACCACTTAGAGGCCTTCGTTGGAAACGGGTTTTTTTCATGTAAGGCTAGACAGAAGAATTCCCAGTAACTTCCTTGTGTTGTGTACATTCAACTCACAGAGTTGAACGTTCCCTTAGACAGAGCAGATTTGAAACACTCTTTTTGTGCAATTGGCAAATGGAGATTTCAAGCGCTTTAAGTTCAATGGCAGAAAAGGAAATATCTTCGTTTCAAAACTAGACAGAATGATTCTCAGAAACTCCTTTGTGATGTGTGCGTTCATCTCACAGAGTTTAACCTTTCTTTTCGTAGAGCAGTTAGGAAACAGTCTGTTTGTAAATTCTGTAAGTGGATATTCTGACATCTTGTGGCCTTCGTTGGAAACGGGATTTCTTCATATTCTGCTAGACAGAAGAATTCTCAGTAACTTCCTTGTGTTGTGTGTATTCAACTCACAGAGTTGAACGAACCTTTACACAGAGCAGACTTGTAACACTCTTTTTGTGGAATTTGCAATTGGAATTTTCAGCCGCTTTGAAGTCAAAGGTAGAAAAGGAAATATCTTCCTATAAAAACTAGACAGAAATGATTCTCAGAAACTCCTTTGTGATGTGTGCGTTCAACTCACAGAGTTTAACCTTTCTTTTCATAGAGCAGTTAGGAAACACTCTGTTTGTAAAGTCTGCAAGTGGATATTCAGACCTCTTTGAGGCCTTCGTTGGAAACGGGTTTTTTTCATATAAGGCTAGACAGAAGAATTCTCAGTAACTTCCTTGTGTTGTGTGTATTCAACTGACAGAGTTGAACTTTCATTTAGAGAGAGCAGATTTGAAACACTGTTTTTGTGGAATTTGCAAGTGGAGATTTCAAGCGCTTTTGGGCCAAAGGCAGAAAAGGAAATATCTTCGTATAAAAACTAGACAGAATCATTCTCAGAAACTGCTCTGCGATGTGTGCGTTCAACTCTCAGAGTTTAACTTTTCTTTTCATTCAGCAGTTTGGAAACACTCTGTTTGTAAAGTCTGCACGTGGATAACTTGACCACTTAGAGGCCTTCGTTGGAAACGGGTTTTTTTCTTGTAAGGCTAGACAGAAGAATTCCCAGGAACTTCCTTGTGTTGTGTACATTCAACTCACAGAGTTGAACGTTCCCTTAGACAGAGCAGATTTGAAACACTCTTTTTGTGCAATTGGCAAGTGGTGATTTCAGCCGCTTTGAGGTCAATGGTAGAAAAGGAAATATCTTCGTATAAAAACTAGACAGAATCATTCCCACAAACTGCGTTGTGATGTGTTCAGTTCAACTCACAGAGTTTAACCTTTCTGTTCATAGAGCAGTTAGGAAACACTCTGTTTGTAAAGTCTGTAAGTGGATATTCTGACATCTTGTGGCCTTCGTTGGAAACGGGATTTCTTCATATTCTGCTAGACAGAAGAATTCTCAGTAACTTCCTTGTGTTGTGTGTATTGAACTCGCAGAGTTGAACGATCCTTTACACAGAGCAGACTTGAAACACTCTTTTTGTGGAATTTGCAAGTGGAGATTTCAGCCACTTTGAGGTCAATAGTAGAAAAGGAAATATCTTCGTAGAAAAACTAGACAGAATGATTCTCAGAAAATCTTTTGTGATGTGTGCGTTCAACTCACAGAGTTTAACTTTTCTTCTCATAGAGCAGTTAGGAAACACTCTGTTTGTAAAGTCTGCAAGTGGATAGTGGATATTCAGACCTCTTTGAGGTCTTCGTTGGAAACGGGATTTCTTCATATTATGCTAGACAGAAGAATTCCCAGTAACTTCCTTGTGTTGTGGGTGTTCGACTCACAGAGTTGAACTTTCATTTACACAGAGCAGATTTGAAACACTCTTTCTGTGGAATTTGCAAGTGGAGATTTCAAGCGCTTTGAGGCCAAAGGCAGAAAAGGAAATATCTTCGTTTCAAAACTAGACAGAATCATTCTCAGAAACTGCTCTGCGATGTGTGCGTTCAACTCTCAGACTTTAACTTTTCTTTTCATTCAGCAATTTGGAAACACTCTGTTTGTAAAGTCTGCACGTGGATATTTTGACCACTTAGAGGCCTTCGTTGGAAACGGGTTTTTTTCCTGTAAGGCTAGACAGAAGCATTCCCAGTAACTTCCTTGTGTTGTGTGCATTCAACTCACAGAGATGAACGTTCCCTTAGACAGAGCAGATTTGAGACACTCTATTTGTGCAATTTGCAAGTGTAGATTTCAAGCGCTTTAAGGTCAATGGCAGAAAAGGAAATATCTTCGTTTCAAAACTAGACAGAATCATTCCCACAAACTGCGTAGTGATGTGTTCGTTCAACTTACAGAGTTTAACCTTTCTGTTCATAGAGCAGTTAGGAAACACTCTGTTTGTAAAGTCCGTAAGTGGATATTCTGACATCTTGTGGCCTTGTTTGGAAACCGGACTTCTTCATATACTGCTAGACAGAAGAATTCTCAGTAACTTCCTTGTGTTGTGTGTATTCAACTCACAGAGTTGAACGATCCTTTACACAGAGCAGACTTGAAACACTCTTTTTGTGGAATTTGCAAGTGGAGATTTCAGCCGCTTTGAGGTCAATGGTAGAAAAGGAAATATCTTCGTAGAAAAACTAGACAGAACGATTCTCAGAAACTCCTTTGTGATGTGTGCGTTCAACTCACAGAGTTTAACTTTTCTTTTAATATAGCAGTTAGGAAACACTCTGTTTGTAAAGTCTGCAAGTGGATATTCAGACCTCTTTGAGGCCTTCGTTGGAAACGGGATTTCTTCATATTCTGTTAGACAGAAGAATTCTCAGTAACTTCCCTTGTGTTTTGTGTATTCAACTCACAGAGTTGAACGATCCTTTACACAGAGCAGACTTGAAACACTCTTTTTGTGGAATTTGCAAGTGGAGATTTCAGCCGCTTTCAGGTCAATAGTAGAAAAGGAAATATCTTCGTAGAAAAACTAGACAGAATGATTCTCAGAAACTCCTTTGTGATGTGTGCGTTCAACTCACAGAGTTTAACCTTTCTTCTCATAGAGCAGTTAGGAAACACTCTGTTTGTAAAGTCTGCAAGTGGATATTCAGACATCTTTGAGGCCTTCGTTGGAAACGGGATTTCTTCATGTTCTGCTAGACAGAAGAATTCTCAGTAACTTCCTTGTGTTGTGTGTATTCAACTGACAGAGTTGAACTTTCATTTAGAGAGAGCAGATTTGAAACTCTGTTTTTGTGGAATTTGCAAGTGGAGATTTCAAGCGCTTTGGGGCCAAAGGCAGAAAAGGAAATATCTTCGTACAAAAACTAGACAGAATCATTATCAGAAACTGCTGCGTGATGTGTGCGTTCAACTCTCAGAGTTTAACTTTTCTTTTCATTCAGCGGTTTGGAAACACTCTGTTTGTAAAGTCTGCACGTGGAAATTTTGACCACTTAGAGGCCTTCGTTGGAAACGGGTTTTTTTCATGTAAGGCTAGACAGAAGAATTCCCAGTAACTTCCTTGCGTTGTGTACATTCAACTCACAGAGTTGAACGTTCCCTTAGACAGAGCAGATTTGAAACACTCTTTTTGTTCAATTGGCAAGTGGAGATTTCAAGCGCTTTAAGGTCAATGGCAGAAAAGGAAATATCTTCGTTTCAAAACTAGACAGAATCATTCCCACAAACTGCGTTGTGATGTGTTCGTTCATCTCACAGAGTTTAACCTTTCTTTTCATAGAGCAGTTAGGAAACAGTCTGTTTGTAAATTCTGTAAGTGGATATTCCGACATCTTGTGGCCTTCGTTGGAAACGGGATTTCTTCATATTCTGCTAGACAGAAGAATTCTCAGTAACTTCCTTGTGTTGTGTGTATTCAACTCACAGAGTTGAACGATCCTTTACACAGAGCAGACTTGAAACACTCTTTGTGTGGAATTTGCAAGTGGAGATTTCAGCCGCTTTGAGGTCAATAGTAGAAAAGGAAATATCTTCGTAGAAAAACTAGACAGAATGATTCTCAGAAACTCCTTTGAGATGTGTGTGTTCAACTCACAGAGTTTAACCTTTCTTTTCATAGAGCAGTTAGGAATCACTCTGTTTTTAAAGTCTGCAAGTGGATATTCAGACCTCTTTGAGGCCTTCGTTGGAAAAGGGTTTTTTTCATATAAGGCTAGAGAGAAGAATTCCCAGTACCTTCCTTGTGTTGTGTGTGTTCAACTCACAGATTTGAACTTTCATTTACACAGAGCAGATTTGAAACACTCTTTTTGTGGAATTTGCAAATGGAGATTTCAAGCGCTTTGAGGCCAAAGGCAGAAAAGGAAATATCTTCGTATAAAAACTAGACAGAATCATTCTCAGAAACTGCTGTGTGATGTGTGCGTTCAACTCTCAGAGTTTAACTTTTCTTTTCATTCAGCGGTTTGGAAACACTCTGTTTGTAAAGTCTGCACGTGGATATTTTGACCACTTAGAGGCCTTCGTTGGAAACGGGATTTTTTCATGTAAGGCTAGACAGAAGAATTCCCAGTAACTTCCTTGTGTTGTGTACATTCAACTCACAGAGTTGAACGTTCCCTTAGACAGAGCAGATTTGAAACACTCTTTTTGTGCAATTGGCAAGTGGAGATTTCAGCCGCTTTGAAGTCAAATGTAGAAAAGGAAATATCTTCCTATAAAAACTAGACAGAATCATTCCCACAAACTGCGTTGTGATGTGTACGTTCAACTCACAGAGTTTAACCTTTCTGTTCATAGAGCAGTTAGGAAACACTCTGTTTGTAAAGTCTGTAAGTGGATATTCTGACATCTTGTGGCCTTCGTTGGAAACGGGATTTCTTCATATTCTGCTAGACAGAAGAATTCTCAGTAACTTCCTTGTGTTGTGTGTATTCAACTCACAGAGTTGAACGATCCTTTACACAGAGCAGACTTGTAACACTCTTTTTGTGGAATTTGCAAGTGGAGATTTCAGCCGCTTTGAAGTCAAAGGTAGAAAAAAAATATCTTCCTATAAAAACTAGACAGAATGATTCTCAGAAACTCCTTTGTGATGTGTGCCGTTCAACTCACAGAGTTTAACCTTTCTTTTCATAGAGCAGTTAGGAAACACTCTGCTTGTAAAGTCTGCAAGTGGATATTCAGCCCTCTTTGAGGCCTTCGTTGGAAACGGGTTTTTTTCATATAAGGCTAGACAGAAGAATTCTCAGTAACTTCCTTGTGTTGTGTGTATTCAACTGACAGAGTTGAACTTTCATTTAGAGAGAGCAGATTTGAAACACTGTTTTTGTCGAATTTCCAATGGAGATTTCAAGCGCTTTGGGGCCAAAGGCAGAAAAGGAAATATCTTCGTATAAAAACTAGACAGAATCATTCTCAGAAACTGCTCTGTGATGTGTGCGTTCAACTCTCAGAGTTTAACTTTTCTTTTCATTCAGCAGTTTGAAACACTCTGTTTGTAAACTCTGCACGTGGATAATTGGACCACTTAGAGGCCTTCGTTGGAAAAGGGTTTTTTTCCTGTCAGGCTAGACAGAAGAATTCCCAGTAATTTCCTTGTGTTGTGTACATTCAACTCACAGAGTTGAACGTTCCCTTAGACAGAGCAGATTTGAAACACTCTTTTTGTGCAATTGGCAAATGGAGATTTCAAGCGCTTTAAGGTCAATGGCAGAAAAGGAAATATCTTCGTTTCAAAACTAGACAGAATGATTCTCAGAAACTCCTTAGTGATGTGTGCGTTCAACTCACAAAGTTTAACCTTTCTGTTCATAGAGCAGTTAGGAAACACTCTGTTTGTAAAGTCTGCAAGTGGATATTCAGACCTCCTTGAGGCCTTCGTTGGAAACGGGATTTCTTCATATTCTGCTAGACAGAAGAATTCTCAGTAACTTCCTTGTGTTGTGTGTATTCAACTCACAGAGTTGAACGATCCTTTACACAGAGCAGACTTGAAGCACTCTTTTTGTGGAATTTGCAAGTGGAGATTTCAGCCGCTTTGAGGTCAATAGTAGAAAGGAAATATCTTCGTAGAAAAACTAGACAGAATGATTCTCAGAAAATCCTTTGTGATGTGTGCGTTCAACTCACAGAGTTTAACTTTTCTTTTCATAGAGCAGTTAGGAAACACTCTGTTTGTAACGTCTGCAAGTGGATATTCAGACCTCCTTGAGGCCTTCGTTGGAAACGGGATTTCTTCATATTCTGCTAGACAGAAGAATTCTCAGTAACTTCCTTGTGTTGTGTGTATTCAACTGACAGAGTTGAACTTTCATTTAGAGAGAGTAGTTTTGAAACACTTTTTTTTGTGGAATTTGCAAGTGGAGATTTCAAGCGCTTTGGGGCCAAAGGCAGAAAAGGAAATATCTTCGTATAAAAACTAGACAGAATCATTCTCAGAAACTGCTGCGTGATGTGTGCGTTCAACTCACAGAGTTTAACTTTTCTTTTCATTCAGCGGTTTGGAAACACTCTGTTTGTAAAGTCTGCACGTGGAAATTTTGACCACTTAGAGGCCTTCGTTGGAAACGGGTTTTTTTCATGTAAGGCTAGACAGAAGAATTCCCAGTAACTTCCTTGTGTTGTGTGCATTCAACTCACAGAGATGAAAGTTCCCTTCGACAGAGCAGATTTGAAACACTCTATTTGTGCCATTTGCAAGTGTAGATTTCAAGCGCTTTAAGGTCAATGGCAGAAAAGGAAATATCTTCGTTTCAAAACTAGACAGAATCATTCCCACAAACTGCGTTGTGATGTGTTCGTTCAACTCACAGAGTTTAACCTTTCTTTTCATAGAGCAGTTAGGAAACAGTCTGTTTGTCAATTCTGTAAGTGGATATTCTGACATCTTGTGGCTCTTCGTTGGAAACGGGATTTCTTCATATTCTGCTAGACAGAAGAATTCCCAGTAACTTCCTTGTGTTGTGTACATTCAACTCACAGAGTTGAACGTTCCCTTAGACAGAGCAGACTTGTAACACTCTTTTTGTGGAATTTGCAAGTGGAGTTTTCAGCCGCTTTTAAGTCAATGGTAGAAAAGGTAATATCTTCCTATAAAAACTAGACAGAATGATTCTCAGAAACTCCTTTGTGATGTGTGCGTTCAACTCACAGAGTTCAACCTTTCTTTTCATAGAGTAGTTGGAAAACACTCTGTTTGTAAAGTCTGCAAGTGGATATTCAGACTTCTTTGAGGCCTTCGTTGGAAGCGGGATTTCTTCATATTCTGCTAGACAGAAGAATTCTCAGTAACTTCCTTGTGTTGTGTGTATTCAACTGACAGAGTTAAACTTTCATTTAGAGAGAGCAGATTTGAAACACTGTTTTTGTGGAATTTGCAAGTGGAGATTTCAAGCACTTTGGGGCCAAAGGCAGAAAACTAAATATCTTCGTATAAAAACTAGACAGAATCATTCTCAGAAACTGCTGCATGATGTGTGCGTTCAACTCTCAGAGTTTAACTTTTCTTTTCATTCAGCGGTTTGGAAACACTCTGTTTGTAAAGTCTGCACTTGGATATTTTGACCACTTAGAAGCCTTCGTTGGAAACGGGTTTTTTTCATATAAGGCTAGACAGAAGAATTCCCAGTAACTTCCTTGTGTTGTGTGCATTCAACTCACAGAGTTGAACGTTCCCTTAGACAGAGCAGATTTGAAACACTCTATTTGTGCAATTTGCAAGTGTAGATTTCAAGCGCTTTAAGGTCAACGGCAGAAAAAGGAAATATCTTCGTTTCAAAACTAGACAGAATCATTCCCACAAACTGCGTTGTGATGTGTTCGTTCAACTCACAGACTTTAACCTTTCTTTTCATAGAGCAGTTAGGAAACAGTCTGTTTGTCAATTCTGTAAGTGGATATTCTGTCATCTTGTGGCCTTCGTTGGAAACGGGATTTCTTCATATTCTGCTAGACAGAAGAATTCTCAGTAACTTCCTTGTGTTGTGTGTATTCAACTCACAGAGTTGAACGATCCTTTACACAGAGCAGACTTGTAACACTCTTTTTGTGGAATTTGCAAGTGGAGATTTCAGCCGCTTTGAAGTCAAAGGTAGAAAAGGAAATATCTTCTCTATAAAAACTAGACAGAATGATTCTCAGAAACTCCTTTGTGATGTGTGCGTTCAACTCACAGAGTTTAACTTTTCTTTTCATAGAGCAGTTAAGAAACACTCTGTTTGTAATGTCTGCAAGTGGATATTCAGACCTCCTTGAGGCCTTCTTTGGAAACGGGATTTCTTCATATTCTGCTAGACAGAATAATTCTCAGTAACTTCCTTGTGTTGTGTGTATTCAACTGACAGAGTTGAACTTTCATTTAGAGAGAGCAGATTTGAAACACTGTTTTTGTGGAATTTGCAAGTGGAGATTTCAAGCGCTTTGGGGCCAAAGGCAGAAAAGGAAATATCTTCGTATAAAAACTAGACAGAATGATTCTCAGAAACTCCTTTGTGATGTGTGCCTTCAACTCACAGAGTTTAACCTTTCTTTTCATAGAGTAGTTAGGAAACACTCTGTTTGTAAAGTCTGCAAGTGGATATTCAGACCTCTTTGAGGCCTTCGTTGGAAACGGGTTTTTTTCATATAAGGCTAGACAGAAGAATTCTCAGTAACTTCCTTGTGTTGTGTACATTCAACTCACAAGAGTTGAACGTTCCCTTAGACAGAGCAGATTTGAAACACTCTTTTTGTGCAATTGGCAAGTGGTGATTTCAGCCGCTTTGAGGTCAATGGTAGAAAAGGAAATATCTTCGTATAAAAACTAGACAGAATCATCCCCATAAACTGCGTTGTGATGTGTTCGTTCAACTCACAGAGTTTAACCTTTCTTTTCATAGAGCAGTTAGGAAACAGTCTGTTTGTCAATTCTGTAAGTGGATATTCTGACATCTTGTGGCCTTAGTTGGAAACGGGATTTCTTCATATTCTGCTAGACAGAAGAATTCTCAGTAACTTCCTTGTGTTGTGTGTATTCAACTCACAGAGTTGAACGATCCTTTACACAGAGCAGACTTGAAAAACTCTTTTTGTGGAATTTGCAAGTGGAGATTTCAGCCGCTTTGAGTTCAATGGTAGAATAGGAAATATCTTCCTATAGAAACTAGACAGAATGATTCTCAAAAACTCCTTTGTGATGTGTACGTTCAACTCACAGAGTTTAACCTTTCTTTTCATAGAGCAGTTAGGAAACACTCTGTTTGTAAAGTCTGCAAGTGGATATTCAGACCTCTTTGAGGCCTTCGTTGGAAACGGGTTTTTTTCATATAAGGCTAGACAGAAGAATTCTCAGTAACTTCCTTGTGTTGTTTGTATTCAACTCACAGAGTTGAACTTTCATTTACACAGAGCAGATTTGAAACACTCTTTTTGTGGAATTTGCAAATGGAGATTTCAAGCGCTTTGAGGCCAAAGGCAGAAAAGGAAATATCTTCGTATAAAAACTAGACAGAATCATTCTCAGAAACTGCTCTGCGATGTGTGCATTCAACTCTCAGAGTTTAATTTTTCTTTTCATTCAGCAGTTTGGAAACATTCTCTTTGTGAAGTCTGCACGTGGATATTTTGACCACTTAGAGGCCTTCGTTGGAAACGGGTTTTATTCTTGTAAGGCTAGACAGAAGAATTCTCAGTAACTTCCTTGTGTTGTGTGTATTCAACTCACAGAGTGGAACGATCCTTTACACAGAGCAGACTTGAAACACTCTTTTTGTGGAATTTGCAAGTGGAGATTTCTGCCGCTTTGAGGTCAATTGTAGAATAGGAAATATCTTCCTATAGAAACTAGACAGAATGATTCTCAGAAACTCATTTGTGATGTGTGCGTTCAACTCACAGAGTTTAACCTTTCTTTTCATAGAGCAGTTAGGAAACACTCTGTTTGTAAAGTCTGCAAGTGGATATTCAGACCTCTTTGTGGCCTTCGTTGGAAACGGGATTTCTTCATATGATGCTAGACAGAAGAATTCTCAGAATCTTCCTTGTGTGGTGTGTATTCAACTCACAGAGTTGAACGATGGTTTACACAGAGCAGATTTGAAACACTCTTTTTGTGGAATTTGCAAGTGGAGATTTCAGCCGCTTTGAGGTCAATGGTAGAAAAGGAAATATCTTCGTATAAAAACTAGACAGAATGATTCTCAGGAAACTCCTTTGTGATGTGTGTGTTCAACTCACAGAGTTTAACCTTTCTTTTCATAGAGCAGTTAGGAAACACTCTGTTTGTAAAGTCTGCAAGTGGATATTCAGACCTCTTTGAGGCCTTCGTTGGAAACGGGTTTTTTTCATATAAGGCTAGACAGAAGAATTCCCAGTAACTTCCTTGTGTTGTGTGTGTTAAACTCACAGAGTTGAACTTCCATTTACACAGAGCAGATTTGAAACACTCTTTTTGTGGAATTTGCAAGTGGAGATTTCAAGCGCTTTGAGGCCAAAGGCAGAAAAGGAAATATCTTCGTTTCAAAACTAGACAGATAATCATTCTCAGAAACTGCTCTGCGATGTGTGCGTTCAACTCTCAGAGTTTAACTTTTCTTTTCATTCAGCAGTTTGGAAACACTCTGTTTGTAAAGTCTGCAGGTGGATATTTTGACCACTCAGAGGCCTTCGTTGGAAACGGGTTTTTTTCCTGTAAGGCTAGACAGAAGAATTCCCAGTAACTTCCTTGTGTTGTGTGCATTCAAGTCACAGAGTTGAACGTTCCCTTAGACAGAGCAGATTTGAAACACTCTATTTGTGCAATCTCCAAGTGTAGATTTCAAGCGCTTTAAGGTCAACGGCAGAAAAGATAATATCTTCGTTTCAAAACTAGACAGAATCATTCCCACAAACTGCGTTGTGATGTGTTCGTTCAACTCACAGAGTTTAACCTTTCTGTTCATAGTGCAGTTAGGAAACACTCTGTTTGTAAAGTCTGTAAGTGGATATTCTGACATCTTGTGGCCTTCGTTGGAAACGGGATTTCTTCATATTCTGCTAGACAGAAGAATTCTCAGTAACTTCCTTGTGTTGTGTGTATTCAACTCACAGAGTTGAACGATCCTTTACACAGAGCAGACTTGAAACACTCTTTTTGTGGAATTTGCAAGTGGAGATTTCAGCCGCTTTGTGGTCAATGGTAGAAAAGGAAATATCTTCGTATAAAAACTAGACAGAATGATTCTCAGAAACTCCTTTGTGATGTGTGCGTTCAACTCACAGAGTTTAACCTTTCTTTTCATAGAGCAGTTAGGAAACACTCTGTTTGTAAAGTCTGCAAGTGGATATTGAGACCTCCTTGAGGCCTTCGTTGGAAACGGGATTTCTTCATATTATGCTAGACAGAAGAATTCCCAGTAACTTCCTTGTGTTGTGTGTGTTCAACTCACAGAGTTGAACTTTCATTTACACAGAGCAGATTTGAAACACTCTTTTTGTGGAATTTGCAGGTGGAGATTTCAAGCCCTTTGAGGCCAAAGGCAGAAAAGGAAATATCTTCGTATAAAAACTAGACAGAGTCATTCTCAGAAACTGCTGCGTGATGTGTGCGTTCAACTCTCAGAGTTTAACTTTTCTTTTCATTCAGCGGTTTGGAAACACTCTGTTTGTAAAGTCTGCATGTGGAAATTTTGACCATTTAGAGGCCTTCGTTGGAAACGGGTTTTTTTCATGTAAGGCTAGACAGAAGAATTCCCAGTAACTTCCTTGTGTTGTGTACATTCAACTCACAGAGTTGAACGTTCCCTTAGACAGAGCATATTTGAAACACTCTTTTTGTGCAATTGGCAAGTGGAGATTTCAAGCGCTTTAAGGTCAATGGGAGAAAAGGAAATATCTTCGTTTCAAAACTAGACAGAATCATTCCCACAAACTGCGTTGTGATGTGTTCGTTCATCTCACAGAGTTTAACCTTTCTTTTCATAGAGCAGTTAGGAAACAGTCTGTTTGTAAATTCTGTAAGTGGATATTCTGACATCTTGTGGCCTTCGTTGGAAACGGGATTTCTTCATATTCTGCTAGACGGAAGAATTCTCAGTAACTTCCTTGTGTTGTGTGTATTCAACTCACAGAGTTGAACGATCCTTTACACAGAGCAGCCTTGAAACACTCTTTTTGTGGAATTTGCAAGTGGAGATTTCAGCCGCTTTGAGGTCAATGGTAGAATAGGAAATATCTTCCTATAGAAACTAGACAGAATGATTCTCAGAAACTCCTTTGTGATGTGTGTGTCCAACTCACAGAGTTTAACCTTTCTTTTCATAGAGCAGTTAGTAAACACTCTGTTTATAAAGTCTGCAAGTGGATATTCAGACCCCTTTGAGGCCTTCGTTGGAAACGGGATTTCTTCATATTATGCTAGACAGAAGAATTCTCAGTAACTTCCTTGTGTTGTGTGTGTTCAACTCACAGAGTTGAACTTTCATTTACCCAGAGCAGATTTGAAACACTCTTTTTGTGGAATTTGCAAGTGGAGATTTCAAGCGCTTTGAGGCCAAAGGCAGAAAAGGAAATATCTTCGTTTCAAAACTAGACAGAATCATTCTCAGAAACTGCTCGGCGATGTGTGCATTCAACTCTGAGAGTTTAACTTTTCTTTTCATTCAGCAGTTTCGAAACACTCTGTTTGTAAAGTCTGCACGTGGATATTTTGACCACTTAGAGGCCTTCGTTGGAAACGGGTTTTTTTCATGTAAGGCTAGACAGAAGAATTTCCTGTAAGTTCCTTGTGTTGCGTGCATTCAACTCACAGAGTTGAACGTTCCCTTAGACAGAGCAGATTTGAAACACTCTTTTTGTGCAATTGGCAAGTGGAGATTTCAAGCGATTTAAGGTCAATGGCAGAAAACGATATACCTTCATTTCAAAACTAGACAGAAATCATTCCCACAAACTGCGTTGTGATGTGTTCGTTCAACTCACAGAGTTTAACCTTTCTGTTCATAGAGCAGTTAGGAAACACTCTGTTTGTAAAGTCTGTAAGTGGATATTCTGACATCTTGTGGCCTTTGTTGGAAACGGGATTTCTTCATATTCTGCTAGACAGAAGAATTCTCAGTAACTTACTTGTGTTGTGTGTGTTCAACTCACAGAGTTCAACGATCCTTTACACAGAGCAGACTTGAAACACTCTTTTTGTGGAATTTGCAAGTGGAGATTTCAGCCGCTTTGAGGTCAATGGTAGAAAAGGAAATATCTTCGTATAAAAACTAGACAGAATGATTCTCAGAAACTCCTTTGTGATGTGTGCGTTCAACTCACAGAGTTTAACCTTTCTTTTCATAGAGCAGTTGGGAAACACTCTGTTTGTAACGTCTGCAAGTGGATATTCAGACATCCTTGAGGCTTTCGTTGGAAACGGGATTTCTTCATATTCTGCTAGAAAGAAGAATTCCCAGTAACATCCTTGTGTTGTGTGTGTTCAACTCACAAAGTTGAACTTTCATTTACACAGAGCAGATTTGAAACACTCTTTTTGTGGAATTTGCAAATGGAGATTTCAAGCGCTTTGAGGCCAAAGGCAGAAAAGGAAATATCTTCGTATAAAAACTAGACAGAAATCATTCTCAGAAACTGCTCTGCGATGTGTGCGTTCAACTCTCAGGAGTTTAACTTTTCTTTTCATTCAGCAGTTTGGAAACACTCTGTTTGTAAAGTCTGCACGTGGATATTTTGACCACTTAGAGGCCTTCGTTGGAAACGGGTTTTTTTCCTGTAAGGCTAGACAGAATAATTCCCAGTAACTTCCTTGTGTTGTGTACATTCAACTCACAGAGTTGAACGTTCCCTTAGACAGAGCAGATTTGAAACACTCTTTTTGTGAAATTGGCAAGTGGAGATTTCAAGCGCTTTAAGGTCAATGGCAGAAAAGGAAATATCTTCGTTTCAAAACTAGACAGAATGATTCTCAGAAACTCCTTTGTGATGTGTGCGTTCAACTCACAGAGTTTAACCTTTCTGTTCATAGAGCAGTTGGGAAACACTCTGTTTGTAAAGTCTGCAAGTGGATATTCAGACCTCTTTGAGGCCTTCGTTGGAAACGGGATTTCTTCATATTCTGCTAGACAGAAGAATTCTCAGTAACTTCCCTTGTGTTGTGTGTATTCAACTCACAGAGTTGAATGATCCTTTACACAGAACAGACTTGAAACACTCTTTTTGTGGAATTTGCAAGTGGAGATTTCAGCCGCTTTGAGGTCAATGGTAGAATAGGAAATATCTTCCTATAGAAACTAGACAGAATGATTCTCAGAAACTCCTTTGTGATGTGTGCGTTCAACTCACAGAGTTTAACCTTTGTTTTCATAGAGCAGTTAGGAAACACTCTGTTTGTAATGTCTGCAAGTGGATATTCAGACATCTTTGAGGCTTTCGTTGTAAACGGGATTTCTTCATATTCTGCTATACAGAAGAATTCCCAGTAACTTCCCTTGTGTTGTGTGTGTTCAACTCACAGAGTTGAACTTTCATTTACACAGAGCAGATTTGAAACACTCTTTTTGTGGAATTTGCAAGTGGAGATTTCAAGGGCTTTGAGGCCAAAGGCAGAAAAGGAAATGTCTTCGTTTCAAAACTAGACAGAATCATTCTCAGAAACTGCTCTGCGATGTGTGCGTTCAACTCTCAGAGTTTAACTTTTCTTTTCATTCAGCAGTTTGGAAACACTCTGGTTGTAAAGTCTGCACGTGGATATTTTGACCACTTAGAGGCCTTCGTTGGAAACGGGTTTTTTTCCTGTAAGGCTAGACAAAAGAATTCCCAGTAACTTCCTCGTGTTGTGTGCATTCAACTCACAGAGTTGAACGTTCCCTTAGACAGAGCAGATTTGAAACACTCTATTTGTGCAATTGGCAAGTGTAGATTTCAAGCGCTTTAAGGTCAATGGCAGAAAAGGAAATATCTTCGTTTCAAAACTAGACAGAATCATTCCCACAAACTGCGTTGTGATGTGTTCGTTCAACTCACAGAGTTTAACCTTTCCGTTCATAGAGCAGTTAGGAAACACTCTGTTTGTAAAGTCTGAAAGTGGATATTCTGACATCTTGTGGCCTTCGTTGGAAACGGGATTTCTTCATATTCTGCTAGACAGAATAATTCTCAGTAACTTCTTTGTGTTGTGTTTATTCAGCTGACAGAGTTGAACGATCCTTTACAGAGAGCAGACTTGAAACACTCTTTTTGTGGAATTTGCAAGTGGAGATTTCAGCCGCTTTGAGGTCAATGGTAGAATAGGAAATATCTTCCTATAGAAACTAGACAGAATGATTCTCAGAAACTCCTTTGTGATGTGTGCGTTCAACTCACAGAGTTTAACCTTTCTTTTCATAGAGCAGTTAGGAAACACTCTGTTTGTAAAGTCTGCAAGTGGATATTCAGACCTCTTTGAGGCCTTCGTTGGAAAAGGGTTTTTTTCATATAAGGCTAGACAGAAGAATTCTCAGTAACTTCCTTGTGTTGTGTGTATTCAACTGACAGAGTTTAACTTTCATTTAGAGAGAGCAGATTTGAAAACCTGTTTTTGTGGAATTTGCAAGTGGAGATTTCAAGCGCTTTGGGGCCAAAGGCAGAAAAGGAAATATCTTCGTATAAAAACTAAACGGAATTATTCTCAGAAACTCCTTTGTGATGTGTGCGTTCAACTCACAGAATTTAACCTTTCTTTTCATAGAGCAGTTAGGAAACACTCTGTTTGTAAAGACTGCAAGTGGATATTCAGACCTCTTTGAGGCCTTCGTTGGAAACGGGTTTTTTTCCTGTAAGGCTAGACAGAAGAATTCCCAGTAACTTCCTTGTGTTGTGTACATTCAACTCACAGAGTTGAACGTTCCCTTAGACAGAGCAGATTTGAAACACTCTTTTTGTGCAATTGGCAAGTGGAGATTTCAAGCGCTTTAAGGTCAATGGCAGAAAAGGAAATATCTTCGTTTCAAAACAAGACAGAATCATTCCCACAAACTGCGTTGTGATGTGTTCGTTCAACTCACAGAGTTTAACCTTTCTTTTCATAGAGCAGTTAGGAAACAGTCTGTTTGTAAATTTTGTAAGTGGATATTCTGACATCTTGTGGCCTTCGTTGGAAACGGGATTTCTTCATATTCTGCTAGACAGAAGAATTCTCAGTAACTTCCTTGTGTTGTGTGTATTCAACTCACAGAGTTGAAGGATCCTGTACACAGAGCAGTCTTGAAACACTCTTTTTGTGGAATTTGCAAGTGGAGATTTCAGCCGCTTTGAGGTCAATAGTAGAAAAGGAAATATCTTCGTAGAAAAACTACACAGAATGATTCTCAGAAACTCCTTTGTGATGTGTGCGTTCAACTCACAGAGTTTAACCTTTCTTTTCATAGAGCAGTTAGGAAACACTCTGTTTGTAAGGTCTGCAAGTGGATATTCAGACATCTTTGAGGCTTTCGTTGCAAACGGGTTTTCTTCATATTCTGCTACACAGAAGAATTCTCAGAAACTTCCTTGTGTTGTGTGATTTCAACTCACAGAGTTGAACGATGCTTTACACAGAGTAGACTTGAAACACTCTTTTTGTGGAATTTGCAAGTGGAGATTTCAGCCGCTTTGTGGTCAATGGTTGAAAAGGAAATATCTTCGTATAAAAACTAGACAGAATGATTCTCCGAAACTCCTTTGTGATGTGTGCGTACAACTCACAGAGTTTAACCTTTCTTTTCATAGAGCAGTTAGGAAACACTCTGTTTGTAAAGTCTGCAAGTGGATATTCAGACCTCTTTGAGGCCTTCGTTGGAAACGGGATTTCTTCATATTCTGCTAGACAGAAGAATTCCCAGTAACTTGCCTTGTGTTGTGTACATTCAACTCACAGAGTTGAACGTTCCCTTAGACAGAGCAGATTTGAAACACTCTTTTTGTGCAATTGGCAAATGGAGATTTCAAGCGCTTTAAGGTCAATGGCAGAAAAGGAAATTGTTCGTTTCAAAACTAGACAGAATCATTCCCACAAACTGCGTTGTGATGTGTTCGTTCAACTCACAGAGTTTAACATTTCTGTTCATAGAGCAGTTAGGAAACACTCTGTTTGTAAAGTCTGTATGTGGATATTCTGACATCTTGTGGCCTTCGTTGGAAACGGGATTTCTTCATATTCTGCTAGACAGAAGAATTCTCAGTAACATCTTTGTGTTGTGTGTATTCAACTCACAGAGTTGAACGATCCTTTACACAGAGCAGACTTGAAACACTCTTTTTGTGGAATTTGCAAGTGGAGATTTCAGCCGCTTTGAGGTCAATGGTAGAATAGGAAATATCTTCCTATAGAAACTAGACAGAATGATTCTCAGAAACTCCTTTGTGATGTGTGCGTTCAACTCACAGAGTTTAACCTTTCTTTTCATAGAGCAGTTAGGAAACACTCTGTTTCTAAAGTCTGCAAGTGGATATTCAGCCCTCTTTGAGGCCTTCGTTGGAAACGGGTTTTTTTCATATAAGGCTAGAGAGAAGAATTCCCAGTAACTTCCTTGTGTTGTGTGTGTTCAACTCACAGAGTTGAACTTTCATTTACACAGAGCAGATTTGAAACACTCTTTTTGTGGAATTTGCAAGTGGAGATTTCAAGCGCTTTGAGGCCAAAGGCAGAAAAGGAAATATCTTCGTAGAAAAACTAGGCAGAAATCATTCTCAGAAACTGCTCTGCGATGTGTGCGTTCAACTCTCAGGAGTTTAACTTTTCTTTTCATTCAGCAGTTTGGAAACACTCTGTTTGTAAAGTCTGCACGTGGATATTTTGACCACTTAGAGGCCTTCGTTGGAAACGGGTTTTTTTCCTGTAAGGCTAGACAGAAGAATTCCCAGTAACTTCCTTGTGTTGTGTACATTCAACTCACAGAGTTGAACGTTCCCTTAGACAGAGCAGATTTGAAACACTCTTTTTGTGCAATTGGCAAGTGGAGATTTCAAGCGCTTTAAGGTCAATGGCAGAAAAGGAAATATCTTCGTTTCAAAACTAGACAGTATCATTCCCACAAACTGCGTTGTGATGTGTTCGTTCAACTCACAGAGTTTAACCTTTCTGTTCATAGAGCAGTTAGGTAACACTCTGTTTGTAAAGTCTGCCAGTGGATATTCGGACCTCCTTGAGGCCTTCGTTGGAAACGGGATTTCTTCATATTCTGCTAGACAGAAGAGTTCTCAGTAACTTTTTTGTGTTGTGTGTATTCAACTCACAGAGTTGAACCTTGCTTTAGAGAGAGCAGATTTGAAACACTCTTTTTGTGGAATTTGCAAGTGGAGATTTCAGCCGCTTTGAGTTCAATGGTAGAATAGGAAATATCTTCCTATAGAAACTAGACAGAATGATTCTCAGAAACTCCTTTGTGATGTGTGCGTTCAACTCACAGAGTTTAACCTTTCTTTTCATAGAGCAGTTAGGAAACACTCTGTTTGTAAAGTCTGCAAGTGGATATTCAGACCTCTTTGAGGCCTTCGTTGGAAACGGGATTTCTTCATATTCTGCTAGACACAAGAATTCTCAGAAACTTCCTTGTGTTGTGTGTTTTCAACTCACAGAGTTGAACGATCCTTTACACAGAGCAGACTTGAAACACTCTTTTTGTGGAATTTGCAAGTGGAGATTTCAGCCGCTTTGAGGTCAATGGTAGAATAGGAAATATTTTCCTATAGAAACTAGACAGAATGATTCTCAGAAACTCCTTTGTGATGTGTGCGTTCAACTCACAGAGTTTAACCTTTCTTTTCATAGAGCAGTTAGGAAACACTCTGTTTGTAAAGACTGCAAGTGGATATTCAGACCTCCTTGAGGCCTTCGTTGGAAACAGGATTTCTTCATATTATGCTAGACAGAAGAATTCTCAGTAACTTCCTTGTGTTGTGTGTATTCAACTCACAGAGTTGAACAATCCTTTACACAGAGCAGACTTGAAACACTCTTTTTGTGGAATTTGCAAGTGGAGATTTCAGCCGCTTTGAGGTCAATGGTAGAATAGGAAATATCTTCCTATAGAAACTAGACAGAATCATTCTCAGAAACTGCTCTGCGATGTGTGCGTACAACTCTCAGACTTTAACTTTTCTTTTCATTCAGCAGTTTGGAAACACTCTGTTTGTAAAGTCTGCACGTGGATAATTTGACCACTTAGAGGCCTTCGTTGGAAACGGGTTTTTTTCATGTAAGGCTAGACAGAAGAATTCCCAGTAACTTCCTTGTGTTGTGTGCATTCAACTCACAGAGTTGAACGTTTCCTTAGACAGAGCAGAATTGAAACACTCTATTTGTGCAATTTGCAAGTGTAGATTTCAAGCGCTTTAAGGTCAATGGCAGAAAAGGAAATATCTTCGTTTCAAAACTAGACAGAATCATTCCCACAAACTGCGTTGTGATGTGTTCGTTCAACTCACAGAGTTTAACCTTTCTTTTCATAGAGCAGTTAGGAAACAGTCTGTTTGTCAATTCTGTAAGTGGATATTCTGACATCTTGTGGCCTTCGTTGGAAACGGGGTTTCTTCATATTCTCCTAGACAGAAGAATTCTCAGTAACTTCCTTGTGTTGTGTGTATTCAACTCACAGAGTTGAACGATCCTTTACACAGAGCAGATTAGAAACACTTCTTTTGTGGAATTTGCAAGTGGAGATTTCAGCCGCGTTGAGGTCAATGGTAGAAAAGGAAATATCTTCGTATAAAAACTAGACAGAATGATTCTGAGAAACTCCTTTGTGATGTGTGCGTTCAACTCACAGAGTTTAACCTTTCTTTTCATAGAGCAGTTAGGAAACACTCTGTTTGTAAAGTCTGCAAGTGGATATTCAGATCTCCTTGAGGCCTTCTTTGGAAACGGGATTTCTTCATATTATGCTAGACAGAAGAATTCCCAGTAACTTCCTTGTGTTGTGTGTGTAGAACTCACAGAGTTGAACTTTCATTTAGACAGAGCAGATTTGAAACACTCTTTTTGTGGAATTTGCAAATGGAGAATTCATGCACTTTGAGGCCAAAGGCAGAAAAGGAAATATCTTCGTATAAAAACTAGACAGAATCATTCTCAGAAACTGCGGCGTGATGTGTGCGTTCAACTCTCAGAGTTTAACTTTTCTTTTCATTCAGCGGTTTGGAAACACTCTGTTTGTAAAGTCTGCACGTGGATATTTTGACCACTTAGAGGCCTTCGTTGGAAACGGGTTTTTTTCATGTAAGGCTAGACAGAAGAATTCCCAGTAACTTCCTTGTGTTGTGTACATTCAACTCACAGAGTTGAACGTTCCCTTAGACAGAGCAGATTTGAAACACTCTTTTTGTGCAATTTGCAAGTGGTGATTTCAGCCGCTTTGAGGTCAATGGTAGAAAAGGAAATATCTTCGTATAAAAACTAGACAGAATCATTCCCACAAACTGCGTTGTGATGTGTTCGTTCAACTCACAGAGTTTAACCTTTCTTTTCATAGAGCAGTTAGGAAACAGTCTGTTTGTAAATTCTGTAAGTGGATATTCTGACATCTTGTGGCGTTCGTTGGAAACGGGATTTCTTCATATTCTGCTAGACAGAAGAATTCTCAGTAACTTCCTTGTGTTGTGTGTATTCAACTCACAGAGTTGGACGATCCTTTACACAGAGCAGACTTGAAACACTCTTTTTGTGGAATTTGCAAGTGGAGATTTCAGCCGCTTTGAGGTCAATAGTAGAAAAGGAAATATCTTCGTAGAAAAACTAGACAGAATGATTCTCAGAAACTTCTTTGTGATGTGTGTGTTCAACTCACAGAGTTTAACCTTTCTTTTCATAGAGCAGTTAGTAAACACTCTGTTTATAAAGTCTGCAAGTGGATATTCAGACCCCTTTGAGGCCTTCGTTGGAAACGGGATTTCTTCATATTATGCTAGACAGAACAATTCCCAGTAACTTCCTTGGGTTGTGTGTGTTCAACTCACAGAGTTGAACTTTCATTTACACAGAGCAGATTTGAAACACTCTTTTTGTGGAATTTGCAAGTGGAGATTTCAAGCGCTTTGAGGCCAAAGGCAGAAAAGGAAATATCTTCGTATAAAAACTAGACAGAATCATTCTCAGAAACTGCTCTGCGATGTGTGCGTTCAACTCTCAGAGTTTAACTTTTCTTTTCATTCAGCAGTTTGGAAACACTCTGTTTGTAAAGTCTGCACGTGGATAATTTGACAACTTAGAGGCCTTCTTTGGAAACGGGTTTTTTTCATGTAAGGCTAGACAGAAGAATTCCCAGTAACTTCCTTGTGTTGTGTACATTCAACTCACAGAGTTGAACGTTCCCTTAGACAGAGCAGATTTGAAACACTCTTTTTGTGCAATTGGCAAGTGGTGATTTCAGCCGCTTTGAGGTCAATGGTAGAAAAGGAAATATCTTCGTATAAAAACTAGACAGAATGATTCTCAGAAACTTCTTTGTGATGTGTGCGTTCAACTCACAGAGTTTAACCTTTCTTTTCACAGAGCAGTTAGGAAACACTCTGTTTGTAAACTCTGCAAGTGGATATTCAGACCTCTTTGAGGCCTTCGTTGGTAACGGGATTTCTTCATACTATGCTAGACAGAAGAATTCTCAGTAACTTCCTTGTGTTGTGTGTATTCAACTCACAGAGTTGAACGATCCTTTACACAGAGCAGACTTGTAACACTCTTTTTGTGGAATTTGCAAGTGGAGATTTCAGCCGCTTTGAAGTCAAAGGTAGAAAAGGAAATATCTTCCTATAAAAACTAGACAGAATGATTCTCAGAAACTTCATTGTGATGTGTGCGTTCAACTCACAGAGTTTAACCTTTCTTTTCATAGAGCAGTTAGGAAACACCGTTTGTAAACTCTGCAAGTGGATATTCAGACCTCTTTGAGGCCTTCGTTGGAAACGGGATTTCTTCATACTGTGCTAGACAGAAGAATTCTCAGTAACTTCTTTGTGTTGTGTGTATTCAACTGACAGAGTTGAACTTTCATTTAGAGAGAGCAGATTTGAAACACTGTTTTTGTGGAATTTGCAAGTGGAGATTTCAAGCGCTTTGGGGCCAAAGGCAGAAAAGGAAATATCTTCGTATAAAAACTAGACAGAATCATTCTCAGAAACTGCTGCGTGATGTGTGCGTTCAACTCTCAGAGTTTAACTTTTCTTTTCATTCAGCGGTTTGGAAACACTCTGTTTGTAAAGTCTGCACGTGGATATTTTGACCACTTAGAGGCCTTCTTTGGAAACGGGTTTTTTTCAAGTAAGGCTAGACAGAAGAATTCCCAGTAACTTCCTTGTGTTGTGTGCATTCAACTCACAGATTTGAACGTTCCCTAGACGGAGCAGATTTGAAACACTCTATTTGTGCAATTTGCAAGTGTAGATTTCAAGCGCTTTAAGGTCAATGGCAGAAAAGGGAATATCTTCGTTTCAAAACTAGACAGAATCATTCCCACAAACTGCGTTGTGATGTGTTCGTTCAACTCACAGAGTTTAACCTTTCTGTTCATAGAGCAGTGAGGAAACACTCTGTTTGTAAAGTCTGTAAGTGGGTATTCTGACATCTTGTGGCCTTCGTTGGAAACGGGATTTCTTCATATTCTGCTAGACAGAAGAATTCTGAGTAACTTCCTTGTGTTGTGTGTATTCAACTCACAGAGTTCAACGATCCTTTACACAGAGCAGACTAGAAACACCCTTTTGTGGAATTTGCAAGTGGAGATTTCAGCCGCTTTGAGGTCAATTGTAGAAAAGGAAATATCTTCGTATAAAAACTAGACAGAATGATTGTCAGAAACTCCTTTGTGCTGTGTGCGTTCAACTCACAGAGTTTAAACTTTCTTTTCATAGAGCAGTTAGGAAACACTCTGTTTGTAAAGTCTGCAGGTGGATATTCAGACATCATTGAGGCTTTCGTTGGAAACGGGATTTCTTCATATTCTGCTAGACAGAAGAATTCTCAGTAACTTCCTTGTGTTGTGTGTATTCAACTGACACAGTTGAACTTTCATTTAGAGAGAGCAGATTTGAAACACTGTTTTTGTGGAATTTGCAAGTGGAGATTTCAAGCGCTTTGGGGCCAAAGGCAGAAAAGGAAATATCTTCGTATAAAAACTAGACAGAATGATTCTCAGAAACTCCTTTGTGATGTGGGCGTTCAACTCACAGAGTTTAACCTTTCTTTTCATAGAGCCGTTAGGAAACACTCTGTTTGTAAATTCTGCACGTGGATATTTGGACTTCTTAGAGGCCTTCGTTGGAAACGGGTTTTTTTCATGTAAGGCTAGACGGAAGAATTCCCAGTAACTTCCTTGCGTTGTGTACATTCAACTCACAGAGTTGAACGTTCCCTTAGACAGAGCAGATTTGAAACACTCTTTTTGTGCAATTGGCAAGTGGAGATTTCAAGCGCTTTAAGGTCAATGGCAGAAAAGGAAATATCTTCGTTTCAAAACTAGACAGAATCACTCCCACAAACTGCGTTGTGATGTGTTCGTTCAACTCACAGAGTTTAACCTTTCTTTTCATAGAGCAGTTAGGAAACAGTCTGTTTGTAAATTCTGTAAGTGGATATTCTGACATCTTGTGGCCTTCGTTGGAAACGGGATTTCTTCATATTCTGCTAGACAGAAGAATTCTCAGTAACTTCCTTGTGTTGTGTGTATTCAACTCACAGTAGTTGAACGATCCTTTACACAGAGCAGACTTGAAACACTCTTTTTGTGGAATTTGCAAGGGGAGATTTCAGCCGCTTTGAGTTCAATGGTAGAATAGGAAATATCTTCCTATAGAAACTAGACAGAGTGATTCTCAGAAACTTCTTTGTGATGTCTGCGTTCAACTCACAGAGTTTAACCTTTCTTTTCATAGAGCAGTTAGGAAACACTCTGTTTGTAAAGTCTGCAAGTGGATAGTCAGACCTCCTTGAGGCCTTCGTTGGAAACGGGATTTCTTCATATTCTGCTATACAGAAGAATTCTCAGTAACTTCCTTGTGTTGTTTGTATTCAACTGACAGAGTTGAACTTTCATTTACAGAGAGCAGATTTGAAACACTGTTTTTGTGGAATTTGCAAGTGGAGATTTCAAGCGCTTTTTGGCCAAAGGCAGAAAACGAAATATCTTCGTATAAAAACTAGACAGAATCATTCTCAGAAACTGCTGCGTGATGTGTGCGTTCAACTCTCAGAGTTTAACTTTTCTTTTCATTCAGCGGTTCTGAAACACTCTGTTTGTAAAGTCTGCACGTGGATATTTTGACCACTTAGAGGCCTTCGTTGGAAACGGGTTTTTTTCATGTAAGGCTAGGCAGAAGAATTCCCAGTAACTTCCTTGTGTTGTGTGCATTCAACTCACAGAGTTGAACGTTCCTTAGACAGAGCAGATTTGAAACACTCTATTTGTGCAATTTGCAAGTGTAGATTTCAAGCGCTTTAAGGTCAATGGCAGAAAAGGAAATATCTTCGTTTCAAAACTAGACAGAATCATTCCCACAAACTGCGTTGTGATGTGTTCGTTCAACTCACAGTGTTTAACCTTTCCGTTCATAGAGCAGTTAGGAAACACTCTGTTTGTAAAGTCTATAAGTGGATATTCTGACATCTTGTGGCCTTCGTTGGAAACGGGATTTCTTCATATTCTGCTAGACAGAAGAATTCTCAGTAACTTCCTTGTGTTGTGTGTATTCAACTCACAGAGTTGAACGATCCTTTACACAGAGCAGACTTGAAACACTCTTTTTGTGGAATTTGCAAGTGGAGATTTCAGCCGCTGTGAGTTCAATGGTAGAATAGGAAATATCTTCCTATAGAAACTAGACAGAATGATTCTCAGAAACTCCTTTGTGATGTGTGTGTTCAACTCACAGAGTTTAACCTTTCTTTTCATAGAGCAGTTAGGAAACACTCTGTTTGTAAAGTCTGCAAGTGGATATTCAGACCTCTTTGAGGCCTTCGTTGGAAACGGGATTTCTTCATATTCTGCTAGACAGAAGAATTCCCAGTAACTTCCTTGTGTTGTGTGTGTTCAACTCACAGAGTTGAACTTTCATTTACACAGAGCAGATTTGAAATACTCTTTTTGTGGAATTTGCAAGTGGAGATTTCAAGCGCTTTGAGGCCAAAGGCAGAAAAGGAAATATCTTCGTATAAAAACTAGACAGAATCATTCTCAGAAACTGCTCTGCGATGTGTGCGTTCAACTCTCAGAGTTTAACTTTTCTTTTCATTCAGCAGTTTGTAAACACTCTGTTTGTAAAGTCTGCACGTGGATATTTTGACCACTTAGAGGCCTTTGTTGGAAACGGGTTTTTTTCCTGTAAGGCTAGACAGAAGAATTCCCAGGAACTTCCTTGCGTTGTGTACATTCAACTCACAGAGTTGAACGTTCCCTTAGACAGAGCAGATTTGAAACACTCTTTTTGTGCAATTGGCAAGTGGAGATTTCAAGCGCTTTAAGGTCAATGGCAGAAAAGGAAATATCTTCGTTTCAAAACTAGACAGAATCATTCTCAGAAACTGCTGCGTGATGTGTGCGTTCAACTCTCAGAGTTTAACTTTTCTTTTCATTCAGCGGTTTGGAAACACTCTGTTTGTAAAGTCTGTAAGTGGATATTCTGACATCTTGTGGCCTTCGTTGGAAACGGGATTTCTTCATATTCTGCTAGACAGAAGAATTCTCAGTACCTTCCTTGTTTTGTGTGTATTCAACTCACAGAGTTGAACGATCCTTTACGCAGAGCAGACTTGAAACACTCTTTTTGTGGAATTTGCAAGTGGAGATTTCAGCCGCTTTGAGGTCAATGGTAGAAAAGGAAATATCTTCGTATAAAGACTAGACAGAATGATTCTCAGAAACTCCTTTGTGATGTGTGCGTTTAACTCACAGAGTTTAACCTTTCTTTTCATAGAGCAGTTAGGAAACACTCTGTTTGTAAAGTCTGCAAGTGGATATTCAGACATCCTTGAGGCTTTCGTTGGAAACGGGATTTCTTCATATTCTGCCAGAAAGAAGAATTCCCAGTAACTTCCTTGTGTTGTGTGTGTTCAACTCACAGAGTTGAACTTTCATTTACACAGAGCAGATTTGAAACACTCTTTTTGTGGAATTTGCAAGTGGAGATTTCAAGCGCTTTGAGGCCAAAGCAGAAAAGGAAATATCTTCGTTTGAAAACTAGACAGAATCATTCTCAGAAACTGCTCTGCGATGTGTGCGTTCAACTCTCAGAGTTTAACTTTTCTTTTCATTCAGCAGTTTGGAAACACTCTGTTTGTAAAGTCTGCACGTGGATAACTTGACCACTTAGAGGCCTTCGTTGGAAACGGGTTTTTTTCATGTAAGGCTAGACAGAAGAATTCCCAGTGACATCCTTGTGTTGTGTGCATTCAACTCACAGAGTTGAACGTTCCCTTAGACAGAGCAGATTTGAAACACTCTATTTGTGCAATTTGCAAGTGTAGATTTCAAGCGCTTTAACGTCAATGGCAGAAAAGGAAATATCTTCGTTTTAAAACTAGACAGAATCATTCCCACAAACTGCATTGTGATGTGTTCGTTCAACTCACAGAGTTTAACCTTTCTGTTCATAGAGCAGTTAGGAAACACTCTGTTTGTAAAGTCTGCAAGTGGATATTCAGACCTCTTTGAGGCCTTCGTTGGAAACGGGATTTCTTCATATTCTGCTAGACAGAAGAATTCTCAGTAACTTCCTTGTGTTGTGTGTATTCAACTCACAGAGTTGAAGGATCCTTTACAGAGAGCAGGCTTGAAACACTCTTTTTGTCGAATTTGCAAGTGGAGATTTCAGCCGCTTTGAGGTCAATGGTAGAATAGGGAATATCTTCTTATAGAAACTAGACAGAATGATTCTCAGAAACTCCTTTGTGATGTGTGTGTTCAACTCACAGAGTTTAACCTTTCTTTTCATAGAGCAGTTAGTAAACACTCTGTTTATAAAGTCTGCAAGTGGATATTCAGACCCCTTTGAGGCCTTCGTTGGAAATGGGATTTCTTCATATTATGCTAGACAGAAGAATTCTCAGTAACTTTCCTTGTGTTGTGTGTATTCAACTGACAGAGTTGAACTTTCATTTAGAGAGAGCAGATTTGAAACACTCTTTTTGTGGAATTTGCAAGTGGAGATTTCAAGCGCTTTGGGGCCAAAGGCAGAAAAGGAAATATCTTCGTATAAAAACTAGACAGAATCATTCTCAGAAACTGCTCTGTGATGTGTGCGTTCAACTCTCAGAGTTTAACTTTTCTTTTCATTCAGCAGTTTGGAAACAATCTGTTTGTAAAGTCTGCACGTGGATATTTTGACCACTTAGAGGCCTTCGTTGGAAACGGGTTTCTTTCCTGTAAGGGTAGACAGAAGAATTCCCAGTAACTTCCTTGTGTTGTGTGCATTCAACTCACAGAGTTGAACGTTCCCTTAGACAGAGCAGATTTGAAACACTCTATTTGTGCAATTTGCAAGTGTAGTTTTCAAGCTCTTTAAGGTCAACGGCAGAAAAGGAAATATCTTGGTTTCAAAACTAGACAGAATCATTCCCACAAACTGCGTTGTGATGTGTTCGTTCAACTCACAGAGTTTAACCTTTCTGTTCATAGAGCAGTTAGGAAACAATCTGTTTGTAAAGTCTGCAAGTGGATATTCAGACCTCCTTGAGGCCTTCGTTGGAAACGGGATTTCATCATATTATGCTAGACAGAAGAATTCTCAGTAACTTCCTTGTGTTGTGTGAATTCACCTCACAGAGTTGAACGATCGTTTACACAGAGCAGACTTGAAACACTCTTTTTGTGGAATTTGCAAGTGGAGATTTCAGCCGCTTTGTGGTCAATAGTAGAATAGGAAATATCTTCCTATAGAAACTAGACAGAATGATTCTCAGAAAGTCCTTTGTGATGTGTGCGTTCAACTCACAGAGTTTAACCTTTCTGTTCATAGAGCAGTTAGGAAACACTCTGTTTGTAAAGTCTGCAAGTGGATATTCAGACCTCCTTGAGGCCTTCGTTGGAAACGGGATTTCTTCATATTCTGCTAGACAGAAGAATTCCCAGTAACTTCCTTGTGTTGTGTGTGTTCAACTCACAGAGTTGAACTTTCATTTACACAGAGCAGATTTGAAACACTCTTTCTGTGGAATTTGCAAGTGGAGATTTCAAGCGCTTTGAGGCCAAAGGCAGAAAAGGAAATATCTTCGTTTCAAAACTAGACAGAATCATTCTCAGAAACTGCTCTGCGATGTGTGCGTTCAACTCTCAGAGTTTAACTTTTCTTTTCATTCAGCAGTTTGGAAACACTCTGTTTGTAAAGTCTGCACGTGGATATTTTGACCATTTAGAGACCTTCGTTGGAAACGGGTTTTTTTCTTGTAAGGCTAGACAGAAGAATTCCCAGTAACTTCCTTGTGTTGTGTACATTCAACTCACAGAGTTGAACGTTCCCTTAGACAGAGCAGATTTGAAACACTCTTTTTGTGCAATTGGCAAATGGAGATTTCCAGCGCTTTAAGGTCAATGGCAGAAAAGGAAATATCTTCGTTTCAAAACTAGACAGAAAATCATTCCCACAAACTGCGTTGTGATGTGTTCGTTCAACTCACAGAGTTTAACCTTTCTGTTCATAGAGCAGTTAGGAAACACTCTGTTTGTAAAGTCTGTAAGTGGATATTCTGACATCTTGTGGCCTTCGTTGGAAACGGGATTTCTTCATATTCTGCTAGACAGAAGAATTCCCAGTAACTTCCCTTGTGTTGTGTGTGTTCAACTCACAGAGTTGAACTTTCATTTACACAGAGCAGATTTGAAACACTCTTTTTGTGGAATTTGCAAATGGAGATTTCAGCCGCGTTGAGGCCAATGGTAGAAAAGGAAATATCTTCGTTTCAAAACTAGACAGAATGATTCTCAGAAACTCCTTTGTGATGTGTGTGTTCAACTCACAGATTTTAACCTTTCTTTTCATAGAGCAGTTAGGAAACACTCTGTTTGTAAAGTCTGCAAGTGGATATTCAGACCTCTTTGAGGCCTTCGTTGGAAACGGGTTTTTTTCATATAAGGCTAGACAGAAGAATTCTCAGTAACTTCCTTGTGTTGTGTGTATTCAACTCACAGAATTGAACGATCCTTTACACAGAGCAGACTTGAAACACTCTTTTTGTGGAATTTGCATGTGGAGATTTCAGCCGCTTTGAGGTCAATGGTAGAAAAGGAAATATCTTCCTATAGAAACTAGACAGAATGATTCTGAGAAACTCCTTTGTGATGTGTGCGTTCAACTCACAGAGTTTAACCTTTCTTTTCACAGAGCAGTTAGGAAACACTCTGTTTGTAAAGTCTGCAAGTGGATATTCAGACCTCCTTGAGGCCTTCGTTGGAAACGGGATTTCTTCATATTATGCTAGACAGAAGAATTCCCAGTAACTTCTTTGTGTTGTGTGCATTCAACTCACAGAGTTGAACGTTCCCTTAGACAGAGCAGATTGGAAACACTCTATTTGTGCAATTTGCAAGTGTAGATTTCAAGCGCTTTAAGGTCAACGGCAGAAAAGGAAATATCTTCGTTTCAAAACTAGACAGAATCATTCCCACAAACTGCGTTGTGATGTGTTCGTTCAACTCACACAGTTTAACCTTTCTGTTCATAGAGCAGTTAGGAAACACTCTGTTTGTAAAGTCTCTAAGTGGATACTCTGACATCTTGTGGCCTTCGTTGGAAACGGGATTTCTTCATATTCTGCTAGACAGAAGAATTCTCAGAAACTTCCTTGTGTTGTGTGTTTTCAACTCACAGAGTTGAATGATCCTTTACACAGAGTAGACTTGAAACACTCTTTTTGTGGAATTTGCAAGTGGAGATTTCAGCCGCTTTGAAGTCAATGGTAGAAAAGGAAATATCTTCGTATAAAAACTAGACAGAATGATTCTCAGAAACTCCTTTGTGATGTGTGCGTTCAACTCACAGAGTTTAACCTTTCTTTTCTTAGAGCAGTTAGGAAACACTCTGTTTGTAAAGTCTGCAAGTGGATATTCAGACCTCTTTGAGGCCTTCGTTGGAAACGGGTTTTTTTCATATAAGGCTAGACAGAAGAATTCTCAGTAACTTCCTTGTGTTATGTGTATTCAACTGACAGAGTTGAACTTTCATTTAGAGAGAGCAGATTTGAAACACTGTTTTTGTGGAATTTGCAAGTGGAGATTTCAAGCGCTTTGGGGCCAAAGGCAGAAAAGGAAATATCTTCGTATGAAAACTAGACACAATCATTCTCAGAAACTGCTCTGCGATGTGTGCGTTCAACTCTCAGAGTTTAACTTTTCTTTTCATTCAGCAGTGTGGAAACACTCTGTTTGTAAAGTCTGCACGTGGATATTTTGACCACTTAGAGGCCTTCGTTGGAAACGGGTTTTTTTCCTGTCAGGCTAGACAGAAGAATTCCCAGTAACTTCCTTGTGTTGTGTGCATTCAACTCACAGAGTTGAACGTTCCCTTAGACAGAGCAGATTTGAAACACTCTATTTGTGCAATTTGCAAGTGTAGATTTGAAGCGCTTTCAGGTCAATGGCAGAAAAGGAAATATCTTCGTTTCAAAACTAGACAGAATGATTCCCACAAACTGCGTTGTGATGTGTTCGTTCAACTCACAGAGTTTAACCTTTCTGTTCATAGAGCAGTTAGGAAACACTCTGTTTGTAAAGTCTGTAAGTGGATATTCTGACATCTTGTGGCCTTCGTTGGAAACGGGATTTCTTCATATTCTGCTAGACAGAAGAATTCTCAGTAACTTACCTTGTGTTGTGTTTATTCAACTCACAGAGTTGAATGATCCTTTACACAGAGCAGACTTGAAACACTCTTTTTGTGGAATTTGCAAGTGGAGATTTCAGCCGCTTTGAAGTCAATGGTAGAAAAGTAAATATCTTCGTATAAAGACAAGACAGAATGATTTTCAGAAACTGCTTTGTGATGTGTGCGTTCAACTCACAGAGTTTCAACTTTCTTTTCATAGAGCAGTTAGGAAACACTCTGTTTGTAAAGTCTACAAGTGGATATTCAGACCTCTTTGAGGCCTTCGTTGGAAACGGGATTTCTTTATATTATGCTAGACAGAAGAATTCCCAGTAACTTCCTTGTGTTGTGTGTGTTCAACTCACAGAGTTGAACTTTCATTTACACAGAGCAGATTTGAAACACTCTTTTTGTGGAATTTGCAAGTGGAGATTTCAAGCGCTTTGAGGCCAAAGGCAGAAAAGGAAATATCTTCGTATAAAAAGTAGACAGAATCATTCTCAGAAACTGCTCTGCGATGTGTGCGTTCAACTCTCAGAGTTTAACTTTTCTTTTCATTCAGCAGTTTGGAAACAGTCTGTTTGTAAAGTCTGCACGTGGATATTTTGACCACTTAGAGGCCTTCGTTGGAAACGGTTTTCTTTCCTGTAAGGCTATACAGAAGAATTCCCAGTAACTTCCTTGTGTTGTGTGCATTCAACTCACAGAGTTGAACGTTCCCTTAAACAGAGCAGATTTGAAACACTCTTTTTGTGCAATTGGCAAGTGGAGATTTCAAGCGCTTTAAGGTCAATGGCAGAAAAGGAAATATCTTCGTTTCAAAACTAGACAGAATCATTCCCACAAACTGCGTTGTGATGTGTTCGTTCAACTCACAGAGTTTAACATTTCTTTTCATAGAGCAGTTAGGAAACAGTCTGTTTGTAAATTCTGTAAGTGGATATTCTGACATCTTGTGGCCTTCGTTGGAAACGGGATATCTTCACATTCTGCTAGACAGAAGAATTCTCAGTAACTTCCTTGTGTTGTGTGTATTCAACTCAGAGAGTTGAACGATCCTTTACACAGAGCAGACTTGTAACACTCTTTTTGTGGAATTTGCAAGTGGAGATTTCAGCCGCTTTGAAGTCAAAGGTAGAAAAGGAAATATCTTCCTATAAAAACTAGACAGAATGATTCTCAGAAACTCCTTTGTGATGTGTGTGTTCAACTCACAGAGTTTAACCATTCTTTTCATAGAGCAGTTAGTAAACACTCAGTTTATAAAGTCTGCAAATGGATATTCAGACCCCTTTGAGGCCTTCGTTGGAAACGGGATTTCTTCATATTATGCTAGAAAGAAGAATTCCCAGTAACTTCCTTGTGTTGTGTGTGTTCAACTCACAGAGTTGAACTTTCATTTACACAGAGCAGATTTGAAACACTCTTTGTGGAATTTGCAAGTGGAGATTTCAAGCGCTTTGAGGCCAAAGGCAGAAAAGGAAATATCTTCGTATAAAAACTAGACAGAATGATTCTCAGAAACTTCATTGTGATGTGTGCGTTCAACTCACAGAGTTTAACCTTTCTTTTCATAGAGCAGTTAGGAAACACTCTGTTTGTAAACTCTGCAAGTGGATATTCAGACCTCCTTTGAGGCCTTCGTTGGAAACGGGATTTCTTCATACTGTGCTAGACAGAAGAATTCGCAGTAACTTCCTTGTGTTGTGTGTATTCAACTGACAGAGTTGAACTTACATTTAGACAGAGCAGATTAGAAAAACTCTTTATGTGGAATTTTCAAGTGGAGATTTCAAGCGCGTTGAGGCCAAAGGCAGAAAAGGAAATATCTTCGTATAAAAACTAGACAGAATCATTCCCTCAAACTGCGTTGTGATGTGTTCGATCAACTCACGGAGTTTAACCTTTCTTTTCATACAGCAGTTAGGAAACACTCTGTTTGTAAAGTCTGTAAGTGGATATGCTGACATCTTGTGGCCTTCGTTGGAAACGAGATGTCTTCATATTCTGCTAGACAGAAGAATTCTCAGAATCTTCCTTGTGTTGTGTGTATTCAACTCACAGAGTTGAACGATCCCTTTACACAGAGCAGACTTGAAACACTCTTTTTGTGGAATTTGCAAGTGGAGATTTCAGCCGCTTTGAGGTCCATGGTAGAAAAGGAAATATCTTCGTATAAAAACTAGACAGAATGATTCTCAGAAACTCCTTTGTGATGTGTGCGTTCAACTCACAGAGTTTAACCTTTCTTTTCATAGAGCAGTTAGGAAACACTCTGTTTGTAAAGTCTGCAAGTGGATATTCAGACATCTTTGAGGCCTTCGTTGGAAACGGGATTTCTTCATGTTCTGCTAGACACAAGAATTCTCAGTATCTTCCTTGTGTTGTGTGTGTTCAACTCACAGAGTTGAACTTTGATTTACACAGAGCAGATTTGAAACACTCTTTTTGTGGAATTTGCAAGTGGAGATTTCAAGCGCTTTGAGGCCAAAGGCAGAAAAGGAAATATCTTCGTCTAAAAACTAGACAGAATCATTCTCAGAAACTGCTCTGCGATGTGTGCGTTCAACTCTCAGAGTTTAACTTTTCTTTTCATTCAGCAGTTTGGAAACACTCTGTTTGTAAAGTCTGCACGTGGATAATTTGACCACTTAGAGGCCTTCTTTGGAAAAGGGTTTTTTTCATATAAGGCTAGACAGAAGAATTCCCAGTAACTTCCTTGTGTTGTGGACATTCAACTCACAGAGTTGAACGTTCCCTTAGACAGAACAGATTTGAAACACTCTTTTTGAGCAATTGGCAAGTGGTGATTTCAGCCGCTTTGAGGTCAATGGTAGAAAAGGAAATATCTTCGTATAAAAACTAGACAGAATCATTCCCACAAACTGCGTTGTGATGTGTTCGTTCAACTCACAGAGTTTAACCTTTCTTTTCATAGAGTAGTTAGGAAACAGTCTGTTTGAAAATTCTGTAAGTAGATATTCTGACAGCTTGTGGCCTTCGTTGGAAACGGGATTTCTTTATATTCTGCTAGACAGAATAATTCTCAGTAACTTCCTTGTGTTGTGTGTATTCAACTCACAGAGTTGAAGGATCCTTTACAGAGAGCAGGCTTGAAACACTCTTTTTGTCGAATTTGCAAGTGGAGATTTCAGCCGCTTTGTGGTCAATGGTAGAATAGGAAATATCTTCTTATAGAAACTAGACAGAATGATTCTCATAAACTCCTTTGTGATGTGTGCGTTCAACTCACAGAGTTTAACTTTTCTTTTCACAGAGCAGTTAGGAAACACTCTGTTTGTAAAGTCTGCAAGTGGATATTCAGACCTCTTTGGGGCCTTCGTTGGAAACGGGATTTCTTCATATTCTGCTAGACAGAATAATTCTCAGTAACTTCCTTGTGTTGTGTGTATTCAACTCACAGAGTTGAACGATCCTTTACACAGAGCGGACTTGAAACATTCTTTTTGTGGAATTTGCAAGTGGAGATTTCAGCCGCTTTGAGGTCAATGGTAGAATAGGAAATATCTTCCTATAGAAACTAGACAGAATCATTCTCAGAAACTGCTCTGCGATGTGTGCGTTCAACTCTCAGAGTTTAACATTTCTTTTCATTCAGCAGTTTGGAAACACTCTGTTTGTAAAGTCTGCACGTGGATATTTTGACCACTTAGAGGCCTTCGTTGGAAACGGGTTTTTTTCCTGTAAGGCTAGACAGAAGCATTCCCAGTAACTTCCTTGTGTTGTGTGCATTCAACTCACAGAGATGAACGTTCCCTTAGACAGAGCAGATTTGAAACGCTCTATTTGCGCAATTTGCAAGTGTAGATTTCAAGCGCTTTAAGGTCAATGGCAGAAAAGGAAATATCTTCGTTTCAAAACTAGACAGAATGATTCTCAGAAACTCCTTTGTGATGTGTGCGTTCAACTCACAGAGTTTAACCTTTCTTTTCATAGAGCAGTTGGGAAACACTCTGTTTGTAAAGTCTGCAAGTGGATATTCAGACATCCTTGAGGCTTTCTTTGGAAAAGGGATTTCTTCATATTCTGCTAGAAAGAAGAATTCTCAGTAACTTCCTTGTGTTGTGTGTATTCAACTCACAGAGTTGAACGATCCTTTACACAGAGCGGACTTGAAACACACTTTTTGTGGAATTTGCAAGTGGAGATTTCAGCCGCGTTGAGGTCAATGGTAGAAAAGGAAATATCTTCGTATAAGAACTAGACAGAATGATTCTCAGAAACTCCTTTGTGATGTGTGCGTTCAACTCACAGAGTTTAACCTTTCTTTTCATAGAGCAGTTAGGAAACACTCTGTTTGTAAAGTCTGCAAGTGGATATTCAGACCTCCTTGAGGCCTTCGTTGGAAACGGTTTTTTTTCATATAAGGCTAGACAGAAGAATTCCCAGTAACTTCCTTGTGTTGTGTGTGTTCAACTCACAGAGTTGAACTTTCATTTACACAGAGCAGATTTGAGACACTCTTTTTGTGGAATTTGCTAATGGAGATTTCAAGCGCTTTGAGGCCAAAGGCTGAAAAGGAAATATCTTCGTATAAAAACTAGACAGAATCATTCTCAGAAACTGCTGCGTGATGAGTGCGTTCAACTCTCAGAGTTTAACTTTTCTTTTCATTCAGCGGTTTGGAAACACTCTGTTTGTAAAGTCTGCACGTGGATAATTTGACCACTTAGAGGCCTTCGTTGGAAACGGGATTTTTTCATGTAAGGCTAGACAGAAGAATTCCCAGTAACTTCCTTGTGTTGTGTGCATTCAACTCACAGATTTGAACGTTCCCTTAGACAGAGCAGATTTGAAACACTCTATTTGTGCAATTGGCAAGTGCAGATTTCAAGCGCTTTAAGGTCAATGGCAGAAAAGGAAATATCTTCGTTTCAAAACTAGACAGAATCATTCCCACAAACTGCGTTGTGATGTGTTCGCTCAACTCACAGAGTTTAACCTTTTTCTTCATAGAGCAGTTAGGAAACACTCTGTTTGTAAAGTCTGTAAGTGGATATTCTGTCATCTTTTGGCCTTCGTTGGAAACGGGATTTCTTCATATTCTGCTAGACAGAAGAATTCTCAGAATCTTCCTTGTGTTGTGTGTATTCAACTCACAGAGTTGAACGATCCTTTACACACAGCAGACTTGAAACACTCTTTTTGTGGAATTTGCAAGTGGAGATTTCAGCCGCTTTGAGGTCCATGGTAGAAAAGGAAATATCTTCGTATAAAAACTAGACAGAATGATTCTCAGAAAGTCCTTTGTGATGTGTGTTTTCAACTCACAGAGTTTAACCTTTCTTTTCATAGAGCAGTTAGTAAACACTCTGTTTATAAAGTCTGCAAGTGGATATTCAGACCCCTTTGAGGCCTTCGTTGGAAACGGGATTTCTTCATATTATGCTAGACAGAAGAATTCTCAGTAACTTCCTTGTGTTGTGTGTATTCAACTGACAGAGTTGAACTTTCATTTAGGGAGAGCAGATTTGAAACACTGTTTTTGTGGAATTTGCAAGTGGAGATTTCAAGCGCTTTGGGGCCAAAGGCAGAAAAGGAAATATCTTCGTAGAAAAACTAGACAGAATCATTCTCAGAAACTGCTCTGTGATGTGTGCGTTCAACTCTCAGAGTTTAACTTTTCTTTTCATTCAGCAGTTTGGAAACACTCTGTTTGTAAAGTCTGCACGTGGATATTTTGACCACTTAGAGGCCTTCGTTGGAAACGGGTTTTTTTCATGTAAGGATAGACAGAAGAATTCCCAGTAACTTCCTTGTGTTGTGTACATTCAACTCACAGAGTTGAACGTTCCCTTAGACAGAGCAGATTTGAAACACTCTTTTTGTGCAATTGGCAACTGGAGATTTCAAGCGCTTTAAGGTCAATGGCAGAAAAGGAAATATCTTCGTTTCAAAACTAGACAGAATCATTCTCAGAAACTGCTCTGCGATGTGTGCGTTCAACTCTCAGAGTTTAACTTTTCTTTTCATTCAGCAGTTTGGAAACACTCTGTTTGTAATGTCTGCACGTGGATATTTTGACCACTTAGAGGCCTTCGTTGGAAACGGGTTTCTTTCCTGTAAGGCTAGACAGAAGAATTCCCAGTAACTTCCTTGTGTTGTGTGCATTCAACTCACAGAGTTGAACGTTCCCTTAGACAGAGCAGATTTGAAACACTCTATTTGTGCAATTTGCAAGTGTAGATTTCAAGCGCTTTAAGGTCAATGGCAGAAAAGGAAATATCTTCGTATAAAAACTAGACAGGATGATTCTCATAAACTCCTTTGTGATGTGTGCGGTCAACTCACAGAGTTTAACCTTTCTTTTCATAGAGCAGTTAGGAAACACTCTGTTTGTAAAGTCTGCAAGAGGATATTCAGACCTCTTTGAGGCTTTCTTTGGAAACGGGATTTCTTCATATTCTGCTAGACAGAAGAATTCTCAGTAACTTCCTTGTGTTGTGTGTATTCAACTGACAGAGTTGAACTTTCATTTAGAGAGAGCAGATTTGAAACACTGTTTTTGTGGAATTTGCAATTGGAGATTTCAAGAGCTTTGGGGCCAAATGCAGAAAAGGAAATATCTTCGTATAAACACTAGACAGAATCATTCTCAGAAACTGCTCTGCGATGTGTACGTTCAACTCTCAGAGTTTAACTTTTCTTTTCATTCAGCAGTTTGGAAACACTCTGTTTGTAAAGTCTGCACGTGGATATTTTGACCACTTAGAGGCCTTCGTTGGAAACGGGTTTTTTTCCTGTAAGGCTAGACAGAAGAATTCCCACTAACTTCCTTGTGTTGTGTACATTCAACTCACAGAGTTGAACGTTCCCTTAGACAGAGCAGATTGGAAACACTCTTTTTGTGCAATTGGCAAATGGAGATTTCAAGCGCTTTAAGGTCAATGGCAGAAAAGGAAATATCTTCGTTTCAAAACTAGACAGAATCATTCCCAGAAACTGCGTTGTGATGTGTTCGTTCAACTCACAGAGTTTAACCTTTCTTTTCATAGAGCAGTTAGGAAACAGTCTGTTTGTCAATTCTGTAAGTGGATATTCTGACATCTTGTGGCCTTCCTTGGAAACGGGATTTCTTCATATTCTGCTAGACAGAAGAATTCTCAGTAACTTCCTTGTGTTGTGTGTATTCAACTCACAGAGTTGAAGGATCCTTTACAGAGAGCAGGCTTGAAACACTCTTTTTGTCGAATTTGCAAGTGGAGATTTCAGCCGCTTTGAGGTCAATGGTAGAATAGGAAATATCTTCTTATAGAAAATAGACAGAATGATTCTCATAAACTCCTTTGTGATGTGTGCGTTCAACTCACAGAGTTTAACCTTTCTTTTCATAGAGCAGTTAGGAAACACTCTGTTTCTAAAGTCTGCAAGTGGATATTCAGACCTCCTTGAGGCCTTCGTTGGAAACGGGATTTCTTCATATTCTGCTAGACAGAAGAATTCTCAGTAACTTCCTTGGGTTGTGTGTATTCAACTCACAGAGTTGAACGATCCTTTACACAGAGCAGACTTGTAACACTCTTTTTGTGGAATTTGCAAGTGGAGATTTCAGCCGCTTTGAAGTCAAAGGTAGAAAAGGAAATATCTTCCTATAAAAACTAGACAGAATGATTCTCAGAAACTCCTTTGTGATGTGTGCGTTCAACTCACAGAGTTTAACCTTTCTTTTCATAGAGCAGTTAGGAAACGCTCTGTTTGTAAAGTCTGCAAGTGGATATTCAGACATCTTTGAGGCTTTCGTTAGAAACGGGATTTCTTCATATTCTGCTAGACAGAAGAATTCTCAGTAACTTCCTTGTGTTGTGTGTATTCAACTGACAGAGTTGAACTTTCATTTAGAGAGAGCAGATTTGAAACACTGTTTTTGTGGAATTTGCAAGTGGAGATTTCAAGAGCTTTGGGGCCAAAGGCAGAAAAGGAAATATCTTCGTATAAAAACTAGACAGAATCATTCTCAGAAACTACTCTGCGATGTGTGCGTTCAACTCTCAGAGTTTAACTTTTCTTTTCATTCAGCAGTTTGGAAACACTCTGTTTGTAAAGTCTGCACGTGGATAATTTGACCACTTAGAGGCCTTCGTTGGAAACGGGTTTTTTTCATGTAAGGCTAGACAGAAGAATTCCCAGTAACTTCCTTGTGTTGTGTACATTCAACTCACAGAGTTGAACGTTCCCTTAGACAGAGCAGATTTGAAACACTCTTTTTGTGCAATTGGCAAGTGGACATTTCAAGCGCTTTGAGGTCAATGGCAGAAAAGGAAATATCTTCGTTTCAAAACTAGACAGAATCATTCCCACAAACTGCGTTGTGATGTGTTCGTTCAACTCACAGAGTTTAACCTTTCTGTTCATAGAGCAGTTAGGAAACACTCTGTTTGTAAAGTCTGTAAGTGGAGATTCTGACATCTTGTGGCCTTCGTTGGAAACGGGATTTCTTCATATTCTGCTAGACAGAAGAATTCTCAGTAACTTCCTTGTGTTGTGTGTATTCAACTCTCAGAGTTGAACGATCCTTTACTGAGAGCAGACTTGAAACACACTTTTTGTGCAATTTGCAAGTGGAGATTTCAGCCGCTTTGAGGTCAATGGTAGAATAGGAAATATCTTCCTATAGAAACTAGACAGAATGATTCTCAGAAACTCCTTTGTGATGTGTGCGTTCAACTCACAGAGTTTAACCTTTCTTTTCATAGAGCGGTTAGGAAACACTCTGTTTGTAAAGTCTGCAAGTGGATATTCAGACCTCTTTGAGGCCTTCGTTGGAAACGGGATTTCTTCATATTCTGCTAGAGAGAAGAATTCTCAGTAACTTCCTTGTGTTGTGTGTATTCAACTGACAGAGTTGAACTTTCATTTAGAGAGAGCAGATTTGAAACACTGTTTTTGTGGAATTTGCAAGTGGAGATTTCAAGCGCTTTGTGTCCAAAGGCAGAAAACGAAATATCTTCGTATAAAAACTAGACAGAATCATTCTCAGAAACTGCTGCGTGATGTGTGCGTTCAACTCTCAGAGTTTAACTTTTCTTTTCATTCAGCGGTTTGGAAACACTCTGTCTGTAAAGTCTGCACGTGGATATTTTGACCACTTAGAGGCCTTCGTTGGAAACGTGTTTTTTGCATGTAAGGCTAGACAGAAGAATTCCCAGTAACTTCATTGTGTTGTGTGCATTCAACTCACAGAGTTGAACGTTCCCTTAGACAGAGCAGATTTGAAACACTCTATTTGTGCAATTTGCAAGTGTAGATTTCAAGCGCTTTAAGGTCAATGGCAGAAAAGGAAATATCTTCGTTTCAAAACTAGACAGAATCATTCCCACAAACTGCGTTGTGATGTGTTCGTTCAACTCACAGAGTTTAACCTTTCTGTTCATAGAGCAGTTAGGAAACACTCTGTTTGTAAAGTCTGTAAGTGGATATTCTGACATCTTGTGGCCTTCGTTGGAAACGGGATTTCTTCATATTATGCTACACAGAATAATTCTCAGTAACTTCCTTGTGTTCTGTGTATTCAACTCACAGAGTTGAACGATCCTTTACAGAGAGCAGACTTGAAACACTCTTTTTGTGGAATTTGCAAGTGGAGATTTCAGCCGCTTTGAGGTCAATGGTAGAAAAGGAAATATCTTCGTATAAAGACTAGACAGAATGATTCTCAGAATCTCCTTTGTAATGTGTGCGTTCAACTCACAGAGTTTAACCTTTCTTTTCATAGAGCAGTTAGGAAACACTCTGTTTGTAAAGTCTGCAAGTGGATATTCAGACCTCTTTGAGGCCTTCGTTGGAAACGGGATTTCTTCATATTCTGCTAGACAGAAGAATTCCCAGTAACTTCCTTGTGTTGTGTGTGTTCTACCCCCAGAGTTGAACTTTGATTTACACAGAGCAGATTTGAAACACTCTTTTTGTGGAATTTGCAAGTGGAGATTTCAAGCGCTTTGAGGCCAAAGGCAGAAAAGGAAATATCTTCGTATAAAAACTAGACAGAATCATTCTCAGAAACTGCTCTGCGATGTGTGCGTTCAACTCTCAGAGTTTAACTTTGCTTTTCATTCAGCAGTTTGGAAACACTCTGTTTGTAAAGTCTGCTCGTGGATAATTTGACCATTTAGAGGCCTTCGTTGGAAACGGGTTTTTTTCATGTAAGGCTAGACAGAAGAATTCCCAGTAACTTCCTTGTGTTCTGTACATTCAACTCACAGAGTTGAACGTTCCCTTAGACAGAGCAGATTTGAAACACTCTTTTTGTGCAATTGGCAAATGGAGATTTCAAGCGCTTTAAGGTCAATGGCAGAAAAGGAAATATCTTCGTTTCAAAACTAGACAGAATCATTCCCACAAACTGCGTTGTGATGTGTTCGTTTAACTCACAGAGTTTAACCTTTCTTTTCATAGAGCAGTTAGGAAACACTCTGTTGGTAAATTCTGTAAGTGGATATTCTGACATCTTGTGGCCTTCGTTGGAAACGGGATTTCTTCATATTCTGCTAGATAGAAGAATTCTCAGAAACGTCCTTGTGTTGTGTGTATTCAACTCACAGAGTTGAACGATCCTTTACACAGAGCAGACTTGAAACACTCTTTTTGTGGAATTTGCAAGTGGAGATTTCAGCCGCTTTGAGGTCAATGGTAGAAAAGGAAATATCTTCGTATAGAAACAAGACAGAATGATTCTCAGAAACTCCTTTGTGATGTGTGCGTTCAACTCACAGAGTTTAACCTTTCTTTTCATAGAGCAGTTAGGAAACACTCTGTTTGTAAAGTCTGCAAGTGGATATTCAGACATCTTTGAGGCCTTCGTTGGAAACGGGATTTCTTCATATTATGCTAGACAGAAGAATTCCCAGTAACTTCCTTGTGTTGTGTGTGTTCAACTCATAGAGTTGAACTTTCATTTACACAGAGCAGATTTGAAACACTCTTTTTGTGGAATTTGCAAATGGAGATTTCAGCCGCGTTGAGGTCAATGGTAGAAAAGGAAATATCTTCGTTTCAAAACTAGACAGAATCATTCTCAGAAACTGCTCTGCGATGTGTGCGTTCAACTCTCAGAGTTTAACTTTTCTTTTCATTCAGCAGTTTGGAAACACTCTGTTTGTAAAGTCTGCACGTGGATAACTTGACCACTTAGAGGCCTTCGTTGGAAACGGGTTTTTTTCATGTAAGGCTAGACAGAAGAATTCCCAGTAACTTCCTTGTGTTGTGTGCGTTCAACTCACAGAGTTGAACGTTCCCTTAGACAGAGCAGATTTGAAACACTCTATTTGTGCAATTTGCAAGTGTAGTTTTCAAGCTCTTTAAGGTCAACGGCAGAAAAGGAAATATCTTCGTTTCAAAACTAGACAGAATGATTCTCAGAAACTCCTTTGTGATGTGTGCGTTCAACTCACAGAGTTTTACCTTTCTATTCATAGAGCAGTTAGGAAACACTCTGTTTGTAAAGTCTGCAAGTGGATATTCAGACCTCCTTGAGGCCTTCGTTGGAAACGGGATTTCTTCATATTCTGCTAGACAGAAGAATTCTCAGTAACTTCCTTGTGTTGTGTTTATTCAACTCACAGAGTTGAAGGATCCTTTACACAGAGCAGACTTGAAACACTCTTTTTGTGGAATTTGCAAGTGGAGATTTCAGCCGCTTTGAGGTCAATGGTAGAAAAGTAAATATCTTCGTATAAAGACTAGACAGAATGATTCTCAGAAACTCCTTTGTGATGTGTGCGTTCAACTCACAGAGTTTAACCTTTCTTTTCATAGAGCAGTTAGGAAACACTCTGTTTGTAAAGTCTGCAAGTGGATATTCACACCTCCTTGAGGCCTTCGTTGGAAACGGGATTTCTTCATATTCTGCTAGACAGAAGAATTCTCAGTAACTTCCTTGTGTTGTGTGTATTCAACTGACAGAGTTGAACTTTCATTTAGAGAGAGCAGATTTGAAACACTGTTTTTGTGGAATTTGCAAGTGGAGATTTCAAGCGCTTTGGGGCCAAAGGCAGAAAAGGGAATATCTTCGTATAAAAACTAGACAGAATCATTCTCAGAAACTGCTGCGTGATGTATGCGTTCAACTCTCAGAGTTTAACTTTTCTTTTCATTGAGCGGTTTGGAAACACTGTGTTTGTAAAGTCTGCACGTGGATATTTTGACCACTTAGAGGCCTTCGTTGGAAACGGAATTTTTTTTGTAAGGCTAGACAGAAGAATTCCCAGTAACTTCCTTGTGTTGTGTACATTCAACTCACAGAGTTGAACGTTCCCTTAGACAGAGCAGACTTGTAACACTCTTTTTGTGGAATTTGCAAGTGGAGATTTCAGCCGCTTTGAAGTGAAAGGTAGAAAAGGAAATATCTTCCTATAAAAACTAGACAGAATCATTCCCACAAACTGCGTTGTGATGTGTTCGTTCAACTCACAGAGTTTAACCTTTCTGTTCATAGAGCAGTTAGGAAACACTCTGTTTGTAAAGTCTGTAAGTGGATATTCTGACATCTTGTGGCCTTCGTTGGCAACGGGATTTCTTCATATTCTGCTAGACAGAAGAATTCTCAGTAACTTCCTTGTGTTGTGTGTATTCAACTCACAGAGTTGAACGATCCTTTACACAGAGCAGACTTGTAACACTCTTTTTGTGGAATTTGCAAGTGGAGATTTCAGCCGCTTTGAGGTCCATGGTAGAAAAGGAAATATCTTCGTATAAAAACTAGACAGAATGATTCTCAGAAACTCCTTTGTGATGTGTGCGTTCAACTCACACAGTTTAACCTTTCTTTTCATAGAGCAGTTGGGAAACACTCTGTTTGTAAAGTCTGCAAGTGGATATTCAGACCTCCTTGAGGCCTTCTTTGGAAACGGGATTTCTTCATATTATGCTAGACAGAAGAATTCTCAGTAACTTCCTTGTGTTGTGTGTATTCAACTCACAGAGTTGAACGATCCTTTACACAGAGCAGACTTGAAACACTCTTTTTGTGGAATTTGCAAGTGGATATTTCAGCCGCTTTGAAGTCAATGGTAGAATAGGAAATATCTTCCTATAGAAACTAGACAGAATCATTCTCAGAAACTGCTCTGCGATGTGTGCGTTCAACTCTCAGAGTTTAACTTTTCTTTTCATTCAGCAGTTTGGAAACACTCTGTTTGTAAAGTCTGCACGTGGATATTTTGACCACTTAGTGGCCTTCGTTGGAAACGGGTTTTTTTCCTGTAAGGCTAGACAGAAGAATTCCCAGTAACTTCCTTGTGTTGTGTGCATTCAACTCACAGAGTTGAACGTTCCCTTAGACAGAGCAGATTTGAAACACTCTATTTGTGCAATTTGCAAGTGTAGATTTCAAGCGCTTTAAAGTCAATGGCAGAAAAGGAAATATCTTTGTTTCAAAACTAGACAGAATCATTCCCACAAACTGCGTTGTGATGTGTTCGTTCAACTCACAGAGTTTAACCTTTCTTTTCATAGAGCAGTTAGGAAACAGTCTGTTTGAAAATTCTGTAAGGGGATATTCTGACATCTTGTGGCCTTCGTTGGAAACGGGATTTCTTCATATTCTGCTAGACAGAAGAATTCTCAGTAACTTCCTTGTGTTGTGTGTATTCAACTCACAGAGTTGAACGATCCTTTACACAGAGCAGACTTGAAACACTCTTTTTGTGGAATTTGCAAGTGGAGATTTCAGCCGCTTTGAGGTCCATGGTAGAAAAGGAAATATCTTCGTATAAAGACTAGACAGATAGATTCTCAGAAACTCCTTTGTGATGTGTGCGTTCAACTCACAGAGTTTAACCTTTCTTTTCATAGAGCAGTTAGGAAACACTCTGTTTGTAAAGTCTGCAAGTGTATATTCAGACCTCTTTGAGGCCTTCGTTGGAAACGGGTTTCTTTCATATAAGGCTAGACAGAAGGATTCCCAGTAACTTCCTTGTGTTGTGTGTGTTCAACTCACAGAGTTGAACTTTCATTTACAAAGAGCAGATTTGAAACACTCTTTTAGTGGAATTTGCAATTGGAGATTTCAAGCGCTTTGAGGCCAAAGGCAGAAAAGGAAATATCTTCGTATAAAAACTAGACAGAATCATTCTCAGAAACTGCTCTGCGATGTGTGCGTTCAACTCTCAGACTTTAACTTTTCTTTTCATTCAGCAGTTTGGAAACACTCTGTTTGTAAAGTCTGCACGTGGATAATTTGACCGCTTGGAGGCCTTCGTTGGAAACGGGTTTTTTTCCTGTAAGGCTAGACAGAAGAATTCCCAGTAACTTCCTTGTGTTGTGTGCATTCAACTCACAGAGTTGAACGTTCCCTTACACAGAGCAGATTTGAAACACTCTGTGCAATTTCCAAGTGTAGATTTCAAGCGCTTTAAGGTCAACGGCAGAAAAGGAAATATCTTCGTTTCAAAACTAGACAGAATCATTCCCACAAACTGCGTTGTGATGTGTTCGCTCAACTCACAGAGTTTAACCTTTCTGTTCATAGAGCAGTTAGGAAACACTCTGTTTGTAAAGTCTGTAAGTGGATATTCTGACATCTTGTGGCCTTCGTTGGAAACGGGATTTCTTCATATTCTGCTAGACAGAAGAATTCTCAGTAACTTCCTTGTGTTGTGTGTATTCAACTCACAGAGTTGAACGATCCTTTACACAGAGCAGACTTGAAACACTCTTTTTGTGGAATTTGCAAGTGGAGATATCAGCCGCTTTGAGGTCAATGGTAGAATAGGAAATATCTTCCTATAGAAACTAGACAGAATGATTCTCAGAAACTCCTTTGTGATGTGTGCGTTCAACTCACATAGTTTAACTTTTCTTTTCATAGAGCAGTTAGGAAACACTCTGTTTGTAAAGTCTGCAAGTGGATATTCAGACCTCTTTGAGGCCTTCGTTGGAAACGGGATTTCTTCATATTATGCTAGACAGAAGAATTCCCAGTAACATCCTTGTGTTGTGTGTGTTCAACTCACAGAGTTGAACTTTCATTTACACAGAGCAGATTTGAAACACTCTTTTTGTGGAATTTGCAAATGGAGATTTCAAGCGCTTTGAGGCCAAAGGCAGAAAAGGAAATATCTTCGTAAAAAAACTAGACAGAATCATTCTCAGAAACTGCTCTGCGATGCGTGCGTTCAACTCTCAGAGTTTAACTTTTCTTTTCATTCAGCAGTTTGGAAACACTCTGTTTGTAAAGTCTGCACGTGGATAATTTGACCACTTAGAGGCCTTTGTTGGAAACGGGTTTTTTTCCTGTAAGGCTAGACAGAAGAATTCCCAGTAACTTCCTTGTGTTGTGTACATTCAACTCACAGAGTTGAACGTTCCCTTAGACAGAGCAGATTTGAAACACTCTTTTTGTGCAATTGGCAAGTGGAGATTTCAAGCGCTTTATGGTCAATGGCAGAAAAGGAAATATCTTCGTTTCAAAACTAGAGAGAATGATTCTCAGAAACTTCTTTGTGATGTGTGCGTTCACCTCACAGAGTTTAACCTTTCTTTTCATAGAGCAGTTAGGAAACACTTTGTTTGTAAAGTCTGCAAGTGGATATTCAGACCTGTTTGAGGCCTTCGTTGGAAACGGGATTTCTTCATACTATGCTAGACAGAAGAATTCTCAGTAACTTCCTTGTGTTGTGTGTATTCAGCTCACAGGGTTGAACGATCCTTTATACAGAGCAGACTTGAAACACTCTTTTTGTGGGACTTGCAAGTGGAGATTTCAGCCGCTTTGAGGTCAATAATAGAAAAGGAAATATCTTCGTAGAAAAACTAGACAGAATGATTCTCAGAAACTCCTTTGAGATGTGTGTGTTCTACTCACAGAGTTTAACCTTTCTTTTCATAGAGCAGTTAGGAATCACTCTGTTTGTAAAGTCTGCAAGTGGATATTCAGACCTCTTTGAGGCCTTCGTTGGAAACGGGTTTTTTTCATATAAGGCTAGACAGAAGAATTCTCAGTAACTTCCTTGTGTTGTGTGTATTCAAGTGACAGAGGTGAACTTTCATTTAGAGAGAGCAGATTTGAAACACTGTTTTTGTGGAATTTGCAAGTGGAGATTTCAAGCGCTTTGGGGCCAAAGGCAGAAAAGGAAATATCTTCGTATAAAAACTAGACAGAATCATTCTCAGAAACTGCTCTGTGATGTGTGCGTTCAACTCTCAGAGTTTAACTTTTCTTTTCATTCAGCAGTTTGGAAACACTCTGTTTGTAAAGTCTGCACGTGGATATTTTGACCACTTAGAGGCCTTCGTTAGAAACGGGTTTTTTTCATGTAAGGCTAGACAGAAGAATTCCCAGTAACTTCCTTGTGTTGTGTGCATTCAACTCACAGAGTTGAACCGTTCCCTTAGACAGAGCAGATTTGAAACACTCTATTTGTGCAATTTGCAAGTGTAGTTTTCAAGCTCTTTAAGGTCAACGGCAGAAAAGGAAATATCTTCGTTTCAAAACTAGACAGAATCATTCCCACAAACTGCGTTGTGATGTGTTCGTTCAACTCACAGAGTTTAACCTTTCTTTTCATAGAGCAGTTAGGAAACACTCTGTTGGTAAATTCTGTAAGTGGATATTCTGACATCTTGTGGCCTCCGTTGGAAACGGGATTTCTTCATATTCTGCTAGACAGAAGAATTCTCAGAAACTTCCTTGTGTTCTGTTTATTTAACTCACAGAGTCGAACGATCCTTTACTCAGAGCAGACTTGAAACACTCCATTTGTGGAATTTGCAAGTGGAGATTTCAGCCGCTTTGAGGTCAATGGTAGAATAGGAAATATCTTCCTATGGAAACTAGACAGAATGATTCTCAGAAACTCCTTTGTGCTGTGTGCGTTCAGCTCACAGAGTTTAACCTTTCTTTTCATAGAGCAGTTAGGAAACACTCTGTTTGTAAAGTCTGCAAGTGGATATTCAGACATCTTTGAGGCTTTCGTTGGAAACGGGATTTCTTCATATTCTGCTAGACAGAAGAATTCTCAGAAACTTCCTTGTGTTGTGTGTTTTCAACTCACAGAGTTCAACGATCCATTACACAGAGAAGACTTGAAACACTCTTTTTGTGGAATTGGCAAGTGGAGATTTCAGCCGCTTTGAGGTCAATGGTAGAAAAGGAAATATCTTCGTATAAAAACTAGACAGAATCATTCTCAGAAACTGCTCTGCGATGTGTGCGTTCAACTCTCAGAGTTTAACTTTTCTTTTCATTCAGCAGTTTGGAAACACTCTGTTTGTAAAGTCTGCACGTAGATATTTTGACCACTTAGAGGCCTTCGTTGGAAACGGGTTTTTTTCCTGTAAGGCTAGACAGAAGAATTCCCAGTAACTTCCTTGTGTTGTGTACATTCAACTCACAGATTTGAACGTTCCCTTAGACAGAGCAGATTTGAAACACTCTTTTTGTGCAATTGGCAAGTGGAGATTTCAAGAGTTTTAAGGTCAATGGCCGAAAAGGAAATATCTTCGTTTCAAAACTAGACAGAATCATTCCCACAAACTGCGTTGTGATGTGTTCGTTCAAATCACAGAGTTTAACCTTTCTTTTCATAGAGCAGTTAGGAAACACTCTGTTTGTAAATTCTGTAAGTGGATATTCTGACATCTTGTGGCCTTCTTTGGAAACGGGATTTCTTCATATTCTGCTAGACAGAAGAATTCTCAGTAACTTCCTTGTGTTGTGTGTATTCAACTCACAGAGTTGAACGATCCTTTACACAGAGCAGACTTGAAACACTCTTTTTGTGGAATTTGCAAGTGGAGATTTCAGCCGCTTTGAGGTCAATGGTAGAAAAGGAAACTATCTTCATATAAAGACAAGACAGAATGATTCTCAGAAACTCCTTTTTGCTGTGTGCGTTCAGCTCACAGAGTTTAACCTTTCTTTTCATAGAGCAGTTAGGAAACACTCTGTTTGTAAAGTCTGCAAGTGGATATTCAGACATCTTTGAGGCTTTTGTTGGAAACGGGATTTCTTCATATTCTGCTAGACAGAAGAATTCCCAGTAACTTCCTTGTGTTGTGTGTGTTCGACTCACAGATTTGAACTTTCATTTACACAGAGCAGATTTGAAACACTCTTTTTGTGGGATTTGCAAATGGAGATTTCAAGCGCTTTGAGGCCAAAGGCAGAAAAGGAAATATCTTCGTATAAAAACTAGACAGAATCATTCTCAGAAACTGCTCTGCGATGTGTGCGTTCAACTCTCAGAGTTTAACTTTTCTTTTCATTCAGCAGTTTGGAAACACTCTGTTTGTAAAGTCTGCACGTGGATAACTTGACCACTTAGAGGCCTTCGTTGGAAACGGGTTTTTTTCATGTAAGGCTAGACAGAAGAATTCCCAGTAACTTCCTTGTGTTGTGTACATTCAACTCACAGAGTTGAACGTTCCCTTAGACAGAGCAGATTTGAAACACTCTTTTTGTGCAATTGGGAAGTGGAGATTTCAAGCGCTTTAAGGTCAATGGCAGTAAAGGAAATATCTTCGTTTCAAAACTAGACAGAATCATTCCCACAAACTGCGTTGTGATGTGTTCGTTCAACTCACAGATGTTTAACCTTTCTTTTCATAGAGCAGTTAGGAAACAGTCTGTTTGTAAATTCTGTAAGTGGATATTCTGACATCTTGTGGCCTTCGTTGGAAACGGGATTTCTTCATATTCTGCTAGACAGAAGAATTCTCAGTAACTTCCTTGTGTTGTGTGTATTCAACTCACAGAGTTGAACGATCGTTTACACAGAGCAGACTTGAAACACTCTTTTTGTGGAATTTGCAAGTGGAGATTTCAGCCGCTTTGAGGTCAATGGTAGAAAAGGAAATATCTTCGTATAAAGACTAGACAGAATGATTCTCAGAAACTCCTTTGTGATGTGTGAATTCAACTCACAGAGTTTAACCTTTCTTTTCACAGAGCAGTTAGGAAACACTCTGTTTGTAAAATCTGCAAGTGGATATTCAGACCTCCTTGAGGCCTTCGTTGGAAACGGGATTTCTTCATATTATGCTAGACAGAAGAATTCCCAGTAACTTCCTTGTGTTGTGTGTGTTCAACTCACGGAGTTGAACTTTCATTTACACAGAGCAGATTTGAAACACTCTTTTTGTGGAATTTGCAAGTGGAGATTTCAAGCGCTTTGAGGCCAAAGGCAGAAAAGGAAATATCTTCGTTTGAAAACTACACAGAAATCATTCTCAGAAACTGCTGCGTGATGTGTGCGTTCAACACTCAGAGTTTAACTTTTCTTTTCATTCAGCGGTTTGGAAACACTCTGTTTGTAAAGTCTGCACGTGGATAATTTGACCACTTAGAGGCCTTCGTTGGAAACGGGATTTTTTCATGTAAGGCTAGACAGAAGAATTCCCAGTAACTTCCTTGTGTTGTGTGCATTCAACTCAAAGAGTTGAACGTTCCCTTAGACAGAGCAGATTTGAAACACTCTATTTGTGCAATTTGCAAGTGTAGATTTCAAGCGCTTTAAGGTCAATGGCAGAAAAGGAAATATCTTCGTTTCAAAACTAGACAGAATCATTCCCACAAACTGCGTTGTGATGTGTTCGTTCAACTCACAGAGTTTAACCTTTCTGTTCATAGAGCAGTTAGGAAACACTCTGTTTGTAAAGTCTGTAAGTGGATATTCTGACATCTTGTGGCCTTCGTTGGAAATGGGATTTCATCATATTCTGCTAGACAGAAGAATTCTCAGTAACTTCCTTGTGTTGTGTTTATTCAACTCACAGAGTTGAATGATCCTTTACACAGAGCAGACTTTAAACACTCTTTTTGTGGAATTTGCAAGTGGAGATTTCAGCCGCTTTGAGGTCAATGGTAGAAAAGGAAATATCTTCGTATAAAGACTAGACAGAATGATTGTCAGAAACTCCTTTGTGATGTGTGCGTTCAACTCACAGAGTTTAACCTTTCTTTTCATAGAGCAGTTAGGAAACACTGTGTTGTTAAAGTCTGCAAGTGGATATTCAGACCTCCTTGAGGCCTTCGTTGGAAATGGGATTTCTTCATATTCTGCTAGACAGAAGAATTCTCAGTAACTTCCTTGTGTTGTGTGTATTCAACTCACAGAGTTGAACTTTCATTTAGAGAGAGCAGATTTGAAACACTGTTTTTGTGGAATTTGCAAGAGGACATTTCACGCGCTTTGGGGCCAAGGGCAGAAAAGGAAATATCTTCGTATAAAAACTAGACAGAATCATTTTCAGAAACTGCTGCGTGATGTGTGCGTTCAACTCTCAGAGTTTAACTTTTCTTTTCATTCAGCGGTTTGGAAACAGTCTGTTTGTAAAGTCTGCACGTGGATATTTTGACCACTTAGAGGCCTTCGTTGGAAACGGGTTTTTTGCATGAAAGGTTAGACAGAAGAATTCTCAGTAACTTCCTTGTGTTGTGTGTATTCAACTCACAGAGTTGAACGATACTTTACACAGAGCAGATTTGAAACACTCTATTTGTGCAATTTGCAAGTGTAGTTTTCAAGCTCTTTAAGGTCAACGGCAGAAAAGGAAATATCTTGGTTTCAAAACTAGACAGAATCATTCCCACAAACTGCGTTGTGATGTGTTCGTTCAAATCACAGAGTTTAACTTTTCTTTTCATAGAGCTGTTAGGAAACAGTCTGTTTGTAAATTCTGTAAGTGGATATTCTGACATCTTGTGGCCTTCGTTGGAAACGGGATTTCTTCATATTCTGCTAGACAGAATAATTCTCAGTAACTTCCTTATGTTGTGTGTATTCAACTCACAGAGTTGAACGATCCTTTACACAGAGCAGACTTGAAACACTCTTTTTGTGGAATTTGCAAGTGGAGATTTCAGCCGCTTTGAGGTCAATGGTAGAATAGGAAATATCTTCCTATAGAAACTAGACAGAATGATTCTCACAAACTCCTTTGTGATGTGTGCGTTCAACTCACAGAGTTAAACCTTTCTTTTCATAGAGCAGTTAGGAAACACTCTGTTTGTAAAGTCTGCAAGTGGATATTCAGACCTCCTTGAGGCCTTCGTTGGAAAGGGGATTTCTTCATATTATGCTAGACAGAATAATTCTCAGTAACTTCCTTGTGTTGTGTGTATTCAACTGACAGAGTTGAACTATCATTTAGAGAGTGCAGATTTGAAACACTGTTTTTGTGGAATTTGTAAGTGGAGATTTCAAGCGCTTTGGGGCCAAAGGCAGAAAAGGAAATATCTTCGTATAAAAACTAGACAGAATCATTCTCAGAAACTGCTGCGTGATGTGTGCGTTCAACTCTCAGAGTTTAACTTTTCTTTTCATTCAGCGGTTTGGAAACACTCTGTTTGTAAAGTCTGCACGTGGATATATTGACCACTTAGAGGCCTTCGTTGGAAACGGGTTTTTTGCATGTAAGGCTAGACAGAAGAATTCCCAGTAATTTCCTTGTGTTGTGTGCATTCAACTCACAGAGTTGAACGTTCCCTTAGACAGAGCAGATTTGAAACACTCTATTTGTGCAATTTGGAAGTGTAGATTTCAAGCGCTTTAAGGTCAATGGCAGAAAAGGAAATATCTTCGTTTCAAAACTAGACAGAATCATTCCCACAAACTGCGTTGTGATGTGTTCGTTCAACCCACAGAGTTTAACCTTTCTGTTCATAGAGCAGTTAGGAAACACTCTGTTTGTAAAGTATGAAAGTGGATATTCTGACATCCTTGTGGCCTTCGTTGGAAACGGGATTTCTTCATATTCTGCTAGACAGAAGAATTCTCAGTAACTTCCTTGTGTTGTGTGTATTCAACTGACAGAGTTGAACTTTCATTTACACAGAGCGGACTTGAAACACTCTTTTTGTGGAATTTGCAATTGGAGATTTCAGCCGCGTTGAGGTCAATGGTAGAAAAGGAAATCTCTTCGTATAAAAACTAGACAGAATGATTCACAGAAAATCTTTTGTGATGTGTGCGTTCAACTCACAGAGTTTAACTTTTCTTCTCATGGAGCAGTTAGGAAACACTCTGTTTGTAAAGTCTGCAAGTGGATATTCAGACCCCTTTGAGGCCTTCGTTGGAAACGGGATTTCTTCATATTCTGCTAGACAGAAGAATTCTCAGTAACTTCCTTGTGTTGTGTGTATTCAACTGACAGAGTTGAACTTTCATTTAGACAGAGCAGATTTGAAACACTCTTTTTGTGGAATTTGCAAAGGTAGATTTCATGCGCTTTGAGGCCAAAGGCAGAAAAGGAAATATCTTCGTATAAAAACTAGACAGAATCATGCTCAGAAACTGCTCTGCGATGTGTGCGTTCAACTCTCAGAGTTTAACTTTTCTTTTCATTCAGCAGTTTGGAAACACTCTGTTTGTCAAGTCTGCACGTGCATAATTTGACCGCTTAGAGGCCTTCGTTGGAAACGGGTTTTTTTCATGTAAGGCTAGACAGAAGAATTCCCAGTAACTTCCTTGTGTTGTGTGCATTCAACTCACAGAGTTGAACGTTCCCTTAGACAGAGCAGATTTGAAACAGCCTATTTGTGCAATTTGCAAGTGTAGATTTCAAGCGCTTTAAGGTCAACGGCAGAAAAGGAAATATCTTCCTTTCAAAACTAGACAGAATGATTCTCAGAAACTCCTTTGTGATGTGTGCGTTCAACTCACAGAGTTTAACTTTTCTTTTCATAGAGCAGTTAGGAAACACTCTGTTTGTAAAGTCTGCAAGTGGATATTGAGACCTCTTTGAGGCCTTCGTTGGAAACGGGATTTCTTCATATTATGCTAGACAGAATAATTCTCAGTAACTTTCCTTGTGTTGTGTGTATTCAACTCACAGAGTTGAACGATCCTTTACAGAGAGCAGACTTGAAACACTCTTTTTGTGGAATTCGCAAGTGGAGATTTCAGCCGCTTTGAGGTCAATGGTAGAAAAGGAAATGTCTTCGTATAAAGACTAGACAGAATGATTCCCATAAACTCCTTTGTGATGTGTGCGTTCAACTCACAGAGTCTAACCTTTCTGTTCATAGAGCAGTTAGGAAACACTCTGTTTGTAAAGTCTGCAAGTGGATATTCAGACCTCCTTGAGGCCTTCGTTGGAAACGGGATTTCTTCATATTCTGCTAGACAGAAGAATTCCCAGTAACTTCCTTGTGTTGTGTGTGTTCAACTCACAGAATTGAACTTTCATTTACACAGAGCAGATTTGAAACACTCTTTTTGTGGAATTTGCAAATGGAGATTTCAAGCGCTTTGAGGCCAAAGGCAGAAAAGGAAATATCTTCGTTTCAAAACTAGACAGAATCATTCTCAGAAACTGCTGCGTGATGTGTGCGTTCAACTCTCAGAGTTTAACTTTTCTTTTCATTCAGCGGTTTGGAAACACTCTGTTTGTGAAGTCTGCCCGTGGATATTTTGACCCCTTAGAGGCCTTCGTTGGAAACGGGTTTTTTTCATGTAAGGCTAGACAGAAGAATTCCCAGTAACTTCCTTGTGTTGTGTGCATTCAACTCACAGAGATGAAAGATCCCTTAGACAGAGCAGATTTGAAACACTCTATTTGTGCCATTTGCAAGTGTAGATTTCAAGCGCTTTAAGGTCAATGGCAGAAAAGGAAATATCTTCGTTTCAAAACTAGACAGAATCATTCCCACAAACTGCGTTGTGATGTGTTCGTTCAACTCACAGAGTTTAACCTTTCTGTTCATAGAGCAGTTAGGAAACACTCTGTTTGTAAAGTCTGTAAGTGGATATTCTGACATCTTGTGGCCTTCGTTGGAAACGGGATTTCTTCATATTGTGCTAGACAGAAGAATTCTCAGTAACTTCCTTGTGTTGTGTGTATTCAACTCACAGAGTTGAACGATCCTTTACACAGAGTAGACTTGAAACACTCTTTTTGTGGAATTTGCAAGTGGAGATTTCAGCCGCTTTGAGGTCAATGGTAGAATAGGAAATATCTTCCTATAGAAACTAGACAGAATGATTCTCAGAAACTCCTTTGTGATGTGTGCGTTCAACTCACAGAGTTTAACTTTTCTTTTCATAGAGCCGTTAGGAAACACTCTGTTTGTAAAGTCTGCAAGTGGATATTCAGACCTCTTTGAGGCCTTCGTTGGAAACGGGATTTCTTCATATTATGCGTAGACAGAAGAATTCTCAGTAACTTCCTTGTGTTGTGTGTATTCAGCTGACAGAGTTGAACTTTCATTTAGAGAGAGCAGATTTGAAACACTGTTTTTGTGTAATTTGCAATTGGAGATTTCAAGCGCTTTGGGGCCAAACGCAGAAAAGGAAATATCTTCGTATAAAAACTAGACAGAATCATTCTCAGAAACTGCTGTGCGATGTATGCGTTCAACTCTCAGAGTTTAACTTTTCTTTTCATTCAGCAGTTTGGAAACACTCTGTTTGTAAAGTCTGCACGTGGATATTTTGACCACTTAGAGGCCTTCGTTGGAAACGGGTTTTTTTCATGTAAGGCTAGACAGAAGAATTCCCAGTAACTTCCTTGTGTTGTGTACATTCAACTCACAGAGTTGAACGTTCCCTTAGACAGAGCAGATTTGAAACACTCTTTTTGTGAAATTGGCAAGTGGAGATTTCAAGCGCTTTAAGGTCAATGGCAGAAAAGGAAATACCTTCGTTTCAAAACTAGACAGAATGATTCTCAGAAACTCGTTTGTGATGTGTGCGTTCAACTCACAGAGTTTAACCTTTCTTTTCATAGAGCAGTTAGGAAACACTCTCTAAAGTCTGCAAGTGGATATTCAGACCTCCTTGAGGTCTTCGTTGGAAACGGGATTTCTTCATATTCTGCTAGACAGAAGAATTCTCAGTAACTTCCTTGTGTTGTGTTTATTCAACTCACAGAGTTGAATGATCCTTTACACAGAGCAGACTTGAAACACTCTTTTTGTGGAATTTGCAAGTGGAGATTTCAGCCGATTTGAGGTCAATGGTATAAAAGTAAATATCTTCGTATAAAGACTAGACAGAATGATTCTCAGAAACTCCTTTGTGATGTGTGCGTTCAACTCACAGAGTTTAACCTTTCTTTTCATCGAGCAGTTAGGAAACACTCTGTTTGTAAAGTCTGCAAGTGGATATTCAGACCTCTTTGAGGCCATCGTTGGAAACGGGATTTCTTCATATTCTGCTAGAGAGAGGAATTCTCAGTAACTTCCTTGTGTTGTGTGTATTCAACTGACAGAGTTGAACTTTCTTTTAGAGAGAGCAGATTTGAAACACTGTTTTTGTGGAATTTGCAACTGGAGATTTCAAGCGCTTTGGGGCCAAAGGCAGAAAAGGAAATATCTTCGTATAAAAACTAGACAGAATCATTCTCAGAAACTGCTCTGCGATGTGTGCGTTCAACTCTCAGAGTTTAACTTTTCTTTTCATTCAGCAGTTTGGAAACACTCTGTTTGTAAGGTCTGCAAGTGGATATTCAGACCTCTTTGTGGCCTTCTTTGGAAACGGGTTTTTTTCATATAAGGCTAGACAGAAGAATTCCCAGTAACTTCCTTGTGTTGTGTGCATTCAACTCACAGAGTTGAACGTTCCCTTAGACAGAGCAGATTTGAAACACTCTATTTGCGCAATTTGCAAGTGTAGATTTCAAGCGCTTTAAGGTCAATGGCAGAAAAGGAAATATCTTCGTTTCAAAACTAGACAGAATCATTCCCACAAACTGCGTTGTGATGTGTTCGTTCAACTCACAGAGTTTAACCTTTCTTTTCATAGAGCAGTTAGGAAACACTCTGTTTATAAACTCTGCAAGTGGATATTCAGACCTCTTTGAGGCCTTTGTTGGAAACGGGATTTCTTCATACTATGCTAGACAGAAGAATTCTCAGAAACCTCCTTGTGTTGTGTGTATTCAACTCACAGAGTTCAATGACGCTTTACACAGAGCAGACTTGAAACACTCTTTTTGTGGAATTTGCAAGTGGAGATTTCAGCCGCTTTGAGGTCAATGGTAGAATAGGAAATATCTTCCTATAGAAACTAGACAGAATGATTCTCAGAAACTCCTTTGTGATGTGTGCGTTCAACTCACAGAGTTTAACCTTTCTTTTCATAGAGCTGTTAGGAAACACTCTGTTTGTAATGTCTGCAAGTGGATATTCAGACATCCTTGAGGCTTTCGTTGGAAACGGGATTTCTTCATATTCTGCTAGAAAGAAGAATTCTCAGGAACTTCCTTGTGTTGTGTGTATTCAACTCAGAGAGTTCAACGATCCTTTACACAGAGCAGACTTGAAACACTCTTTTTGTGGAATTTGCAAGTGGAGATTTCAGCCGCTTTGAGGTCAATTGTAGAAAAGGAAATATCTTCGTATAAAAACTAGACAGAATGATTCTCAGAAACTCCTTTGTGATGTGTGCGTTCAACTCACAGAGTTTACCCTTTCTTTTCATAGAGCAGTTAGGAAACACTCTGTTTGTAAAGTCTGCAAGTGGATATTCAGACCTCCTTGATGCCTTCGTTGGAAACGGGATTTCTTCATATTATTGTAGACAGAAGAATTCTCAATAACTTCCTTGTGTTGTGTGTATTCAACTCACAGAGTTGAACGATCCTTTACACAGAGCAGACTTGAAACACTCTTTTTGTGGAATTTGCAAGTGGAGATTTCAGCCGCTTTGAGGTCAATGGTAGAATAGGAAATATCTTCCTATAGAAACTAGACAGAATCATTCTCAGAAACTGCTGCGTGATGTGTGCGTTCAACTCTCAGAGTTTAACTTTTCTTTTCATTCAGCGGTTTGGAAACACTCTGTTTGTAAAGTCTGCACGTGGATATTTTGACCACTTAGAGGCCTTCGTTGGAAACGGGATTTTTTCATGTAAGGCTAGACAGAAGAATTCCCAGTAACTTCCTTGTGTTGTGTGCATTCAACTCACAGAGTTGAACGTTCCCTTAGACAGAGCAGATTTGAAACACTCTATTTGTGCAATTTGCAAGTGTAGATTTCAAGCGCTTTAAGGTCAACGGCAGAAAAGGAAATATCTTCGTTTCAAAACTATACAGAATCATTCCCACAAACTGCGTTGTGATGTGTTCGTTCAACTCACAGAGTTTAACCTTTCAGTTCATAGAGCAGTTAGGAAACACTCTGTTTGTAAAGTCTGTAAGTGGATATTCTGACATCTTGTGGCCTTCGTTGGAAACGGGATTTCTTCATATTCTGCAAGACAGAAGAATTCTCAGTAACTTCCTTGTGTTGTGTGTATTCAACTCACAGAGTTGAACGATCCTTTACACAGAGCAGACTTGAAACACTCTTTTTGTGGAATTTGCAATTGGAGATTTCAGCCGCTTTGAGGTCAATAGTAGAAAAGGAAATATCTTCGTAGAAAAACTAGACAGAATGATTCTCAGAAACTCCTTTGTGATGTGTGTGTTCACCTCACAGAGTTTAACCTTTCTTTTCATAGAGCAGTTAGTAAACACTCTGTTTATAAAGTCTGCAACTGGATATTCAGACCCCTTTGAGGCCTTCATTGGAAACGGGATTTCTTCATATTATGCTAGACAGAAGAATTCTCAGTAATTTCCTTGTGTTGTGTGTATTCAACTCACAGAGTTGAACGATCCTTTACACAGAGCAGACTTGAAACACTCTTTTTGTGGAATTTGCAAGTGGAGATTTCAGCCGCATTGGGTTCAATGGTAGAATAGGAAATATCTTCCTATAGAAACTAGACAGAATGATTCTCAGAAACTCCTTTGTGATGTGTGCGTTCAACTCACAGAGTTTAACCTTTCTTTTCATAGAGCAGTTAGGAAACACTCTGTTTGTAAAGTCAGCAAGTGGATATTCAGACCTCTTTGAGGCCTTCGTTGGAAACGGGATTTCTTCATATTCTGCTAGACAGAAGAATTCCCAGTAACTTCCTTGTGTTGTGTGTGTTCAACTCACAGAGTTGAACTTTCATTTACACAGAGCAGATTGGAAACACTCTTTTTGTGGAATTTGCAAGTGGAGATTTCAAGCGCTTTGAGGCCAAAGGCAGAAAAGGAAATATCTTCGTATAAAAACTAGACAGAATCATTCTCAGAAACTGCTGTGCGATGTGTGCGTTTAACTCTCAGAGTTTAACTTTTCTTTTCATTCAGCAGTTTGGAAACTCTCTCTTTGTAAAGTCTGCACGTGGATAACTTGACCACTTAGAGGCCTTCGTTGGAAACGGGTTTTTTTCATGTAAGGCTAGACAGAAGAATTCCCAGTAACTTCCTTGTGTTGTGGACATTCAACTCACAGAGTTGAACGTTCCCTTAGACAGAACAGATTTGAAACACTCTTTTTGTGCAATTGGCAAGTGGTTATTTCAGCCGCTTTGGGGTCAATGGTAGAAAAGGAAATATCTTCGTATAAAAACTAGACAGAATCATTACCACAAACTGCGTTGTGATGTGTTCGTTCAACTCACAGAGTTTAACCTTTCTCTTCATAGAGCAGTTAGGAAACACTCTGTTTGTGAAGTCTGTAAGTGGATATTCTGACATCTTGTGGCCTTCGTTGGAAACGGGATTTCTTCATATTCTGCTACACAGAAGAATTCCCAGTAACTTCCTTGTGTTGTGTGTATTCAACTCACAGAGTTGAACGATCCTTTACACAGAGCAGACTTGAAACACTCTTTTTGTGGAATTTGCAAGTGGAGATTTCAGCCGCTTTGAGGTCAATGGTAGAATAGGAAATATCTTCCTATAGAAACTAGACAGAATGATTCTCAGAAACTCCTTTGTGATGTGTGCGTTCAACTCACAGAGTTTAACCTTTCTTTTCATAGAGCAGTTGGGAAACACTCTGTTTGTAAAGTCTGCAAGTGGATATTCAGACCTCCTTGAGGCTTTCGTTGGAAACGGGATTTCTTCATATTCTGCTAGAAAGAAGAATTCCCAGTAACTTCCCTTGTGTTGTGTGTGTTCAACTCACAGAGTTGAACTTTCATTTAGTCAGAGCAGATTTGAAACACTCTTTTTGTGGAATTTGCAAATGGAGATTTCAAGCGCTTTGAGGCCAAAGGCAGAAAAGGAAATATCTTCGTATAAAAACTAGACAGAATCATTCTCAGAAACTGCTCTGCGATGTGTGCGTTCAACTCTCAGAGTTTAACTTTGCTTTTCATTCAGCAGTTTGGAAACACTCTGTTTGTAAAGTCTGCACGTGGATATTTTGACCGCTTAGAGGCCTTCGTTGGAAACGGGTTTCTTTCCTGTAAGGCTAGACAGAAGAATTCCCAGTAACTTCCTTGTGTTGTGTACATTCAACTCACAGAGTTGAACGTTCCCTTAGACAGAGCAGATTTGAAACACTCTTTTTGTGCAATTAGCAAGTGGAGATTTCAAGCGCTTTAAGGTCAATGGCAGAAAAGGAAATATCTTACTTTCAAAACTAGACAGAATCATTCCCACAAACTGCGTTGTGATGTGTTCGTTCAACTCACAGAGTTTAACCTTTCTTTTCATAGAGCAGTTAGGAAACACTCTGTTGGTAAATTCTGTAAGTGGATATTCTGACATCTTGTGGCCTTCGTTGTAAACGGGATTTCTACATATTCTGCCAGACAGAAGAATTCTCAGAAACTTCCTTGTGTTGTGTGTTTTCAACTCACAGAGTTGAACGATCCTTTACACAGAGCAGACTTGAAACACTCCTTTTGTGGAATTTGCAAGTGGAGATTTTAGCCGCTTTGAGGTCAATGGTAGAATAGGAAATATCTTCCTATAGAAAGTAGACAGAATGATTCTCAGAAACTCCTTTAGTGATGTGTGCATTCAACTCACAGAGTTTAACCTTTCTTTTCATAGAGCAGTTAGGAAACACTCTGTTTGTAAAGTCTGCAAGTGGATATTCAGACCTCCTTGAGGCCTTCGTTGGAAACGGGACTTCTTCATATTATGCTACACAGAGGAATTCCCAGTAACTTCCTTGTGTTGTGTGTGTTCAACTCACAGAGTTGAACTTTCATTTACACAGAGCAGATTTGAAACACTCTTTTTGTGGAATTTGCAAATGAAGATTTCAAGCGCTTTGAGGCCAAAGGCAGAAAAGGAAATATCTTCGTTTCAAAACTAGACAGAATCATTCTCAGAAACTGCTCTGCGATGTGTGCGTTCAACTCTCAGAGTTTAACTTTTCTTTTCATTCAGCAGTTTGGAAACACTCTGGTTGTAAAGTCTGCACGTGGATAACTTGACCACTTAGAGGACTTCGTTGGAAACGGGTTTTTTTCCTGTAAGGCTAGACAGAAGAATTCCCAGTAACTTCCTTGTGTTGTGTGCATTCAACTCACAGAGTTGAACGTTCCCTTAGACAGAGCAGATTTGAAACACTCTATTTGTGCAATTTGCAAGTGTAGTTTTCAAGCTCTTTAAGGTCAACGGCAGAAAAGGAAATATCTTGGTTTCAAAACTAGACAGAATGATTCTCAGACACTTCTTTGTGATGTGTGCGTTCAACTCACAGAGTTTAACCTTTCTTTTCATAGAGCAGTTAGGAAACAGTCTGTTTGTCAATTCTGTAAGTGGATATTCTGACATCTTGTGGCCTTCGTTGGAAACGGGATTTCTTCATATTCTGCTAGACAGAAGAATTCTCAGTAACTTTCTTGTGTTGTGTGTATTCAACTCACAGAGTTGAACGATCCTTTACACAGAGCAGACTTGAAACACTCTATTTGTAGAATTTGCAAGTGGAGATTTCAGCCGCTTTGAGGTCAGTAGTAGAAAAGGAAATATCTTCGTGGAAAAACTAGACAGAATGATTCTCAGAAACTCTTTTGTGATGTGTGCGTTCAACTCACAGAGTTTAACCTTTCTTTTCATAGAGCAGTTAGGAAACACTCTGTTTGTAAAGTCTGCAAGTGGATATTCAGACCTCTTTGAGGCCTTCGTTGGAAACGGGATTTCTTCATATTCTGCTAGAGAGAAGAATTCCCAGTAACTTCCTTGTGTTGTGTGTGTTCAACTCACAGAGTTGAACTTTCATTTACACAGAGCAGATTTGAAACACTCTTTTTGTGGAATTTGCAAGTGGAGATTTCAAGCGCTTTGAGGCCAAAGTTAGAAAAGGAAATATCTTCGTATAAAAACTAGACAGAATCATTCTCAGAAACTGCTTTGCAATGTGTGCGTTCAACTCTCAGAGTTTAACTTTTCTTTTCATTCAGCAGTTTGGAAACACTCTGTTTGTAAAGTCTGCACGTGGATATTTTGACCACTTAGAGGCCTTCTTTGGAAACGGGTTTTTTTCCTGTAAGGCTAGACAGAAGAATTCCCAGTAACTTCCTTGTGTTGTGTACATTCAACTCACAGAGTTGAACGTTCCCTTAGACAGAGCAGATTTGAAACACTCTTTTTGTGCAATTGGCAAGTGGGGATTTCAAGCGCGTTGAGGTCAATGGCCGAAAAGGAAATATCTTCGTTTCAAAACTAGACAGAAAATGATTCTCAGAAACTCCTTTGTGATGTGTGCGTTCAACTCACAGAGTTTAACCGTTCTTTTCATAGAGTAGTTAGGAAACACTCTGTTTGTAAAGTCTGCAAGTGGATATTCAGACCTCTTTGAGGCCTTCGTTGGAAACGGGATTTCTTCATATTCTGCTAGACAGAAGAACTCTCAGTAACTTCCTTGTGTTGTGTGTATTCAACTCACAGGGTTGAACGATCCTTTACACAGAGCATACTTGAAACACTCTTCTTGTGGAATTTGCAAGTGGAGATTTCAGCCGCTTTGAGGTCAATGGTAGAATAGGAAATATCTTCCTATAGAAACTAGACAGAATGATTCTCAGAAACTCCTTTGTGATGTGTGCGTTCAACTCACAGAGTTTAACCTTTCTGTTCATAGAGCAGTTAGGAAACACTGTGTTTGTAAAGTCTGCAAGTGGATATTCAGACCTCCTTGAGGCCTTCGTTGGAAACGGGATTTCTTCATATTCTGCTAGACAGAAGAATTCCCGGTAACTTCCTTGTGTTGTGTGTGTTCAACTCACAGAGTTGAACTTTCATTTACACAGAGCAGATTTGCAACACTCTTTTGTGGAATTTGCAAGTGGAGATTTCAAGCGCTTTGAGGCCAAAGGCAGAAAAGGAAATATCTTCGTTTCAAAACTAGACAGAATCATTCTCAGAAACTGCTCTGCGATGTGTGCGTTCAACTCTCAGAGTTTAACTTTTCTTTTCATTTAGCAGTTTGGAAACACTCTGTTTGTAAAGTCTGCACGTGGATAATTTGACCACTTAGAGGCCTTCGTTGGAAACGGGTTTTTTTCATGTAAGGCTAGACAGAAGAATTCCCAGTAACTTCCTTGTGTTGTGTGCATTCAACTCACAGAGTTGAACGTACCCTTAGACAGAGCAGATTTGAAACACTCTATTTGTGCAATTTGCAAGTGTAGTTTTCAAGCTCTTTTAGGTCAACGGCAGAAAAGGAAATATCTTGGTTTCAAAACTAGACAGAATCATTCCCACAAACTGCGTTGTGATGTGTTCGTTCAACTCACAGAGTTTAACCTTTCTGTTCATAGAGCAGTTAGGAAACACTCTGTTTGTAAAGTCTGTAAGTGGATATTCTGACATCTTGTGGCCTTCGTTGGGAACGGGATTTCTTCATATTCTGCTAGACAGAAGAATTCTCAGAATCTTCCTTGTGTTGTGTGTATTCAACTCACAGAGTTGAACGATCCTTTACACAGAGCAGACTTGATACAGTCTTTTTGTGGAATTTGCAAGTGGAGATTTCAGCCGCTTTGAGGTCCATGGTAGAAAAGGAAATATCTTCGTATAAAAACTAGACAGAATGATTCTCAGAAACTCCTTTGTGATGTGTGCGTTCAACTCACAGAGTTTAACCTTTCTTTTCATAGAGCAGTTAGGAAACACTCTGTTTGTAAAGTCTGCAAGTGGATATTCAGACATCCTTGAGGCTTTCGTTGGGAACGGGTTTTCTTCATATTCTGCTAGAAAGAAGAATTCTCAGTAACTTCCTTGTGTTGTGTGTATTCAACTCACAGAGTTGAACTTTCATTTACACAGAGCAGATTTGAAACACTCTTTTTGTGGAATTTGCAAATGGAGATTTCAAGGGCTTTGAGGCCAAAGGCAGAAAAGGAAATATCTTCGTTTCAAAACTAGACAGAATCATTCTCAGAAACTGCTCTGTGATGTGTGCGTTCAACTCTCAGAGCTTAACTTTTCTGTTCATTCAGCAGTTTGGAAACACTCTGTTTGTAAAGTCTGCACGTGGATAATTTGACCACTTAGAGGCCTTCGTTGGAAACGGGTTTTTTTCATGTAAGGCTAGACAGAAGAATTCCCAGTAACTTCCTTGTGTTGTGTGCATTCAACTCACAGAGTTGAACGTTCCCTTAGACAGAGCAGATTTGAAACACTCTATTTGTGCAATTTGCAAGTGTAGATTTCAAGCGCTTTAAAGTCAATGGCAGAAAAGGAAATATCTTCGTTTCAAAACTAGACAGAATGATTCTCATAAACTCCTTTGTGATGTGTGCGTTCAAATCACAGAGTTTAACTTTTCTTTTCATAGAGCAGTTAGGAAACACTCTGTTTGTAAAGTCTGCAAGTGGATATTCAGACCTCTTTGAGGCCTTCTTTGGAAACGGGATTTCTTCATATTATGCTAGACAGAATAATTCTCAGTAACTTCCTTGTGTTGTGTGTATTCAACTCACAGAGTTGAACGATCCTTTACACAGAGCAGACTTGAAACACTCTTTTTGTGCAATTTGCAAGTGGAGATTTCAGCCGATTTGAGGTCAATGGTAGAATAGGAAATATCTTCCTATAGAAACTAGACAGAATGATTCTCAGAAACTCCTTTGTGATGTGTGCGTTCAACTCACAGAATTTAACATTTCTTTTCATAGAGCAGTTAGGAAACACTCTGTTTGTAAAGTCTGCAAGTGGATATTCAGACCTCTTTGAGGCCTTCGTTGGAAACGGGATTTCTTCATATTCTGCTAGACAGAAGAATTCCCAGTAACTTCCTTGTGTTGTGTGTGTTCAACTCACAGAGTTGAACTTTGATGTACACAGAGCAGATTTGAAACACTCTTTTTGTGGAATTTGCAAGTGGAGATTTCAAGCGCTTTGAGGCCAAAGGCAGAAAAGGAAATATCTTCGTATAAAAACTAGACAGAATCATTCTCAGAAACTGCTCTGCGATGTGTGCGTTCAACTCTCAGAGTTTAACTTTTCTTTTCATTCAGCAGTTTGGAAACACTCTGTTTGTATAGTCTGCACGTGGATATTTTGACCACTTAGAGGCCTTCGTTGGAAACGGGTTTTTTTCCTGTAAGGCTAGACAGAAGAATTCCCAGAAACTTCCTTGTGTTGTGTGCATTCAACTCACAGAGTTGAACGTTCCCTTAGACAGAGCAGATTTGAAACACTCTATTTGTGCAATTTGCAAGTGTAGATTTCAAGCGCTTTAAGGTCAATGGCAGAAAAGGAAATATCTTCGTTTCAAAACTAGACAGAATCATTCCCACAAACTGCGTTGTGAAGTGTTCGTTCAACTCACAGAGTTTAACCTTTCTGTTCATAGAGCAGTTAGGAAACACTCTGTTTGTAAAGTCTGTAAGTGGATATTCTGACATCTTGTGGCCTTCGTTGGAAACGGGATTTCTGCATATTCTGCTAGACAGAAGAATTCTCAGAAACTTCCTTGTGTTGTGTGTTTTCAACTCACAGAGTTGAACGATCCTTTACGCAGAGCAGACTTGAAACACTCTTTTTGTGGAATTTGCAAGTGGAGATTTCAGCCGCTTTGAGGTCAATGGTATAAAAGGAAATATCTTCGTATAAAAACTAGACAGAATGATTCACAGAAACTCCTTTGTGATGTGTGCGTTCAACTCACAGAGTTTAACCATTCTTTTCATAGAGCAGTTAGGAAACACTCTGTTTGTAAAGTCTGCAAGTGGATATTCAGACCTCTTTGAGGCCTTCGTTGGAAACGGGATTTCTTCATATTCTGCTAGACAGAAGAATTCCCAGTAACTTCCTTGTGTTGTGTGTGTTCAACTCACAGAGTTGAACTCTCATTTACACAGAGCAGATTTGAAACACTCTTTTTGTGGAATTTGCAAGTGGAGATTTCAAGCGCTTTGAAGCCAAAGGCAGAAAAGGAAATATCTTCGTATAAAAACTAGACAGAATCATTCTCAGAAACTGCTCTGCGATGTGTGCATTCAACTCTCAGAGTTTAACTTATCTTTTCATTCAGCAGTTTGGAAACACTCTGTTTGTAAAGTCTGCACGTGGATAATTTGACCACTTAGAGGTCTTCGTTGGAAACGGGTTTTTATCATGTAAGGCTAGACAGAAGAATTCCCAGTAACTACCTTGTGTTGTGTGCATTCAACTCACAGAGTTGAACGTTCCCTTAGACAGAGCAGATTTGAAACACTCTATTTGTGCAATTTGCAAGTGTAGTTTTCAAGCTCTTTAAGGTCAACGGCAGAAAAGGAAATATCTTGGTTTCAAAACTAGACAGAATCATTCCCACAAACTGCGTTGTGATGTGTTCGTTCAACTCACAGAGTTTAACCTTTCTTTTCATTGAGCAGTTAGGAAACAGTCTGTTTGTAAATTCTGTAAGTGGATATTCTGACATCTTGTGGCCTTCGTTGGAAACGGGATTTCTTCATATTCTGCTAGACAGAAGAATTCTCAGTAACTTCCTTGTGTTGTGTGTATTCAACTCACAGAGTTGAACGATCCTTTACACAGAGCAGACTTGAAACACTCTTTTTGTGGAATTTGCAAGTGGAGATTTCAGCCGCTTTGAAGTCAAAGGTAGAAAAGGAAATATCTTCGTATAAAAACTAGACAGAATGATTCTCAGTAAGTTCTTTGTGATGTGTGCGTTAAACTCACAGGGATTAACCTTTCTTTTCATAGAGCAGTTAGGAAACACTCTGTTTGTAAAGTCTGCAAGTGGATATTCAGACCTCCTTGAGGCCCTCGTTGGAAACGGGATTTATTCAAATTATGCTAGACAGAAGAATTCTCAGTAACTTCCTTGTGTTGTGTGTATTCAACTCACAGAGTTGAACGATCCTTTACACAGAGCAGATTAGAAACACTCTTTTTCTCGAATTTGCAGGTAGAGATTTCAGCCGCTTTGCGGTCAATAGTAGAAAAGGGAATATCTTCGTATAAAAACTAGACAGAATGATTCTCAGAAACTCCTTTGTGATGTGTGCGTTCAACTCACAGAGTTCAACCTTTCTTTTCATAGAGCAGTTAGGAAACACTCTGTTTGTAAAGTCTGCAAGTGGATATTCAGACCTCTTTGAGGCCTTCGTTGGAAACGGGTTTTCTTCATATTATGCTAGACAGAAGAATTCTCAGTAGCTTCCTTGTGTTGTGTGTATTCAACTCACAGAGTTGAACGATCCTTTACACAGAGCAGACTTGAAACACTCTTTTTGTGGAATTTGCAATTGGAGATTTCAGCCGCTTTGAGGTCAATGGTAGAATAGGAAATATCTTCGTATAAAAACTAGACAGAATGATTCTGAGAAACTCCTTTGTGATGTGTGCGTTCAACTCACAGAGTTTAACCTTTCTTTTCATAGAGCAGTTAGGAAACACTCTGTTTGTTAAGTCTGCAAGTGGATATTCAGACCTCTTTGAGGCCTTCGTTGGAAACGGGATTTCTTCATATTCTGCTAGACTGAAGAATTCTCAGTAACTTCCTTGTGTTGTGTGTATTCAACTCACAGAGTTGAACGATCCTTTACACAGAGCAGACTTGAAACACTCTTTTTCTGGAATTTGCAAGTGGAGATTTCAGCCGCTTTGAGGTCAATGGTAGAATAGGAAATATCTTCCTATAGAAACTAGACAGAATGATTCTCAGAAACTCCTTTGAGATGTGTGTGTTCAACTCACAGAGTTTAACCTTTCTTTTCATAGAGCAATTAGGAATCACTCTGTTTGTAAAGTCTGCAAGTGGATATTCAGACCTCTTTGAGGCCTTCGTTGGAAACGGGTTTTTTTCATATAAGGCTAGAGAGAAGAATTCTCAGTAACTTCCTTGTGTTGTGTGTATTCAACTGACATAGTTGAACTTTCATTTAGAGAGAGCAGATTTGAAACACTGTTTTTGTGGAATTTGCAAGTGGAGATTTCAAGCGCTTTGGGGCCAAAGGCAGAAAACGAAATATCTTCGTATAAAAACTAGACAGAATCATTCTAAGAAACTGCTCTGCGATGTGTGCGTTCAACTCTCAGAGTTTAACTTTTCTTTTCATTCAGCAGTTTGGAAACACTCTGTTTGTAAAGTCTGCACGTGGATATTTTGACCACTTAGAGGCCTTCGTTGGAAACGGGTTTTTTTCCTGTAAGGCTAGACAGAAGAATTCCCAGTAACTTCCTTGTGTTGTGTACATTCAACTCACAGAGTTGAACGTTCCCTTAGACAGAGCAGATTTGAAACACTCTTTTTGTGCACTTGGCAAGTGGAGATTTCAAGCGCTTTAAGGTCAATGGCAGAAAAGGAAATATCTTCGTTTCAAAACTAGACAGAATGATTCTCAGAAACTCCTTTGTGATGTGTGTGTTCAACTCACAGAGTTTAACCTTTCTTTTCATAGAGCAGTTAGGAAACAATCTGTTTGTAAAGTCTGCAAGTGGATATTCAGACCTCTTTGAGGCCTTCGTTGGAAACGGGTTTTTTTCATATAAGGCTAGACAGAAGAATTCCCAGTAACTTCCTTGTGTTGTGTGTGTTCGACTCACAGAGTTGAACTTTCATTTACACAGAGCAGATTTGAAACACTCTTTTTGTGGAATTTGCAAGTGGAGATTTCAGCCGCTTTGAAGTCAAAGGTAGAAAAGGAAATATCTTCCTATAAAAACTAGACAGAATGATTCTCATAAACTCCTTTGTGATGTGTGCGTTCAAGTCACAAAGTTTAACTTTTCTTTTCATAGAGCAGTTAGGAAACACTCTGTTTTTAAAGTCTGCAAGTGGATAATCAGACCTCTTTGAGGCCTTCGTTGGAAACGGGATTTCTTCATATTATGCTAGACAGAAGAATTCTCAGTAACTTCCTTGTGTTGTGTGTATTCAACTCACAGAGTTGAACGATCGTTTACACAGAGCAGACTTGAAACATTCTTTTTGTGGAATTTGCAAGTGGAGATTTCAGCCGCTTTGAGGTCAATGGTAGAATAGGAAATATCTTCTTATAGAAACTAGACAGAATCATTCTCAGAAACTGCTCTGCGATGTGTGCGTTCAACTCTCAGAGTTTAACTTTTCTTTTCATTTAGCAGTTTGGAAACACTCTGTTTGTAAAGTCTGCACGTGGATATTTTGACCACTTAGAGGCCTACGTTGGAAACGGGTTTTTTTCCTGTAAGGCTAGACAGAAGAATTCCCAGTAACTTCCTTGTGTTGTGTGCATTCAACTCACAGAGTTGAACGTTCCCTTAGACAGAGCAGATTTGAAACACTCTATTTGTGCAATTTGCAAGTGTAGATTTCAAGCGCTTTAAGGTCAACGGCAGAAAAGGAAATATCTTCGTTTCAAAACTAGGCAGAATGATTCTCATAAACTCCTTTATGATGTGTGCATTCAACTCACAGAGTTTCACCTTTCTTTTCATAGAGCAGTTAGGAAACACTCTGTTTGTAAAGTCTGCAAGTAGATATTCAGACCTCCTTGAGGCCTTCGTTGGAAACGGGATTTCTTCATATTCTGCTAGACAGAAGAATTCTCAGTAACTTCCTTGTGTTGTGTGTATTCAACTCATAGAGTTGAACGATCCTTTACACAGAGCAGACTTGTAACACTCTTTTTGTGGAATTTGCAAGTGGAGATTTCAGCCGCTTTGAAGTCAAAGGTAGAAAAGGAAATATCTTCCTATAAAAACTAGACAGAATGATTCTCAGAATCTCCTTTGTGATGTGTGCGTTCAACTCACAGAGTTTAACCTTTCTTTTCATAGAGCAGTTAGGAAACACTCTGTTTGTAAAGTCTGCAAGTGGATATTCAGACCTCTTTGAGGTCTTCGTTGGAAACGGGTTTTTTTCATATAAGGCTAGACAGAGGAATTCCCAGTAACTTCCTTGTGTTGTGTGTGTTCAACTCACAGAGTTGAACTTTCATTTACACAGAGCAGATTTGAAACACTCTTTTTGTGGAATTTGCAAGTGGAGATTTCAAGCGCTTTGAGGCCAAAGGCAGAAAAGGAAATATCTTCGTATAAAAACTAGACAGAATCATTCTCAGAAACTGCTCTGCGATGTGTGCGTTGAACTCTCAGAGTTTAACTTTTCTTTTCATTCAGCAGTTTGAAAACACTCTGTTTGTAAAGTCTGCACGTGGATAACTTGACCACGTAGAGGCCTTCGTTGGAAACGGGTTTTTTTCATGTAAGGCTAGACAGAAGAATTCCCAGTAACTTCCTTGTGTTGTGTGCATTCAATTCACAGAATTGAACGTTCCCTTAGACAGAGCAGATTTGAAACACTCTATTTGTGCAATTTGCAAGTGTAGATTTCAAGCGCTTTAAGGTCAATGGCAGAAAAGGAAATATCTTCGTTTCAAAACTAGACAGAATCATTCCCACAAACTGCGTTGTGATGTGTTCGTTCAACTCACAGAGTTTAACCTTTCTGTTCATAGAGCAGTTAGGAAACACTCTGTTTGTTAAGTCTGTAAGTGGATATTCTTACATCTTGTGGCCTTCGTTGGAAACGGGATTTCTTCATATTCTGCTAGACAGAAGAATTCTCAGTAACTTCCTTGTGTTGTGTGTATTCAACTCACAGAGTTGAAAGATCCTTTACAGAGAGCAGACTTGAAACACTCTTTTTGTGGAATTTGTAAGTGGAGATTTCAGCCGCTTTGAGGTCAATGGTAGAATAGGAAATATCTTAATATAGAAACTAGACAGAATGATTCTCAGAAACTACTTTGCGATGTGTGCGTTCAACTCACAGAGTTTAACCTTTCTTTTCATAGAGCAGTTAGGAAACACTCTGTTTGTAAAGTCTGCAAGTGGATATTCAGACCTCCTTGAGGCCTTCGTTGGAAACGGGATTTCTTCATATTATGCTAGACAGAAGATTTCCCAGTAACTTCCATGTGTTGTGTGTGTTCAACTCACAGAGTTGAACTTTCATTTACACAGAGCAGATTTGACACACTCTTTTTGTGGAATTTGCAAATGGAGATTTCAAGCGCTTTGAGGCCAAAGGCAGAAAAGGAAATATCTTCGTATAAAAACTAGACAGAATCATTCTCAGAAACTGCTCTGCGATGTGTGCGTTCAACTCTCAGAGTTTAACTTTTCTTTTCATTCAGCAGTTTGGAAACACTCTGTTTGTAAAGTCTGCACGTGGATATTTTGACCACTTAGAGGCCTTCGTTGGAAACGGGCTTTTTTCCTGTAAGGCTAGACAGAAGAATTCCCAGGAACTTCCTTGTGTTGTGTACATTCAACTCACAGAGTTGAACGTTCCCTTAGACAGAGCAGATTTGAAACACTCTTTTTGTGCAATTGGCAAGTGGTGATTTCAGCAGCTTTGAGGTCAATGGTAGAAAAGGAAATATCTTCGTATAAAAACTAGACAGAATGATTCTCAGAAACTCCTTTGTGATGTGGGTGTTCAACTCACAGAGTTTAACTTTCTTTTCATAGAGCTGTTAGGAAACACTCTGTAAAGTCTGCAAGTGGGTATTTTAACCTCTTTGAGGCCTTCGTTGGAAACGGGTTTTTTTCATGTAAGGCTAGAGAGAAGAATTCTCAGTAACTTCCTTTTGTTGTGTGTATTAAACTGACAGAGTTGAACTTTCATTTACACAGAGCAGATTTGAAACACTCTTTTTGTGGTATTTGCAAGTGGAGATTTCAGCCGCTTTGATGTCAATGATAGAAAAGGAAATATCTTCATATAAAAATTAGACAGAATGATTCTCAGAAACTCCTTTGTGATATGGGTGTTCAACTCACAGAGTTTAACCTTTCCTTTCATAGAGCAGTTAGGAAACACTCTGTTTGTAAAGTCTGCAAGTGGATATTTTCACCTCTTTGAGGCCTTCGTTGGAAACGGGTTTTTTTTCATGTAATTCTAGACAGAAGAATTCTCAGTAACTTTCTTGTGTTGTGTGTATTCAACTGACAGAGTTGAACTATCATTTAGAGAGTGCAGATTTGAAACACTGTTTTTGTGGAATTTGTAAGTGGAGATTTCAAGCGCTTTGGGGCCAAAGGCAGAAAAGGAAATATCTTCGTATAAAAACTAGACAGAATCATTCTCAGAAACTGCTGCGTGATGTGTGCGTTCAACTCTCAGAGTTTAACTTTTCCTTTCATTCAGCGGTTTGGAAACACTCTGTTTGTAAAGTCTGCACGTGGAAATTTTGACCACTTAGTGGCCTTCGTTGGAAACGGGTTTTTTTCATGTAAGGCTAGACAGAATAATTCCCAGTAACTTCCTTGTGTTGTGTACATTCAACTCACAGAGTTGAACGTTCCCTTAGACAGAGCAGATTTGAAACACTCTTTTTGTGCAATTGGAAAGTGGAGATTTCAAGCGCTTAAGGTCAATGGCAGAAAAGGAAATATCTTCGTTTCAAAACTAGACAGAATCATTCCCACAAACTGCGTTGTGATGTGTTAGTTCAACTCACAGAGTTTAACCTTTCTTTTCATAGAGCAGTTAGGAAACACTCTGTTTGTAAATTCTGTAAGTGGATATTCTGACATCTTGTGGCCTTCGTTGGAAACGGGATTTCTTCATATTCTGCTAGACAGAAGAATTCTCAGTAACTTCCTTGTGTTGTGTGTATTCAACTCACAGAGTTGAACGATCCTTTACACAGAGCAGACTTGAAACACTCTTTTTGTGGAATTTGCAAGTGGAGATTTCAGCCGCTTTGAGTTCAATGTTAGAATAGGAAATATCTTCCTATAGAAACTAGACAGAATGATTCTCAGAAACTCCTTTGTGATGTGTGCGTTCAACTCACAGAGTTTAATCTTTCTTTTCATAGAGCAGTTAGGAAACACTCTCTAAAGTCTGCAAGTGGATATTCAGACCTCCTTGAGGTCTTCGATGGAAACGGGATTTCTTCATATTCTGCTAGACAGAAGAATTCCCAGTAACTTCCTTGTGTTGTGTGTGTTCAACTCACAGAGTTGAACTTTCATTTACACAGAGCAGATTTGAAACACTCTTTTTGTGGAATTTGCAAGTGGAGATTTCAAGCGCTTTGAGGCCAAGGCAGAAAAGGATATATCTTCGTATAAAAACTAGACAGAATCATTCTCAGAAACTGCTCTGCGATGTGTGCGTTCAACTCTCAGAGTTTAACTTTTCTTTTCATTCAGCTGTTTGGAAACACTCTGTTTGTAAAGTCTGCACGTGGATATTTTGACCACTTAGAGGCCTTCGTTGGAAACGGGTTTTTTTACCTGTAAGGCTAGACAGAAGAATTCCCAGTAACTTCCTTGTGTTGTGTGCATTCAACTCACAGAGTTGAACGTTCCCTTAGACAGAGCAGATTTGAAACACTCTATTTGTGCAATTTGCAAGTGTAGTTTTCAAGCTCTTTAAGGTCAACGGCAGAAAAGGAAATATCTTGGTTTCAAAACTAGACAGAATGATTCTCAGAAACGCCTTTGTGATGTGTGTGTTCAACTCACAGAGTTTAACCTTTCTTTTCATAGAGCAGTTAGGAAACACTCTGTTGGTAATGTCTGCAAGTGGATATTCAGACCTCTTTGAGGCCTTCGTTGGAAACGGGATTTCTTCATACTGTGCTAGACAGAAGAATTCTCAGAATCTTCCTTGTGTTGTGTGTATTCAACTCACAGAGTTGAACGATCCTTTACACAGAGCGGAATTGAAACACTCTTTTTGTGAAATTTGCAAGTGGAGATTTCAGCCGCGTTGAGGTCAATGGTAGAAAAGGAAATCTCTTCGTATAAAAACTAGACAGAATGATTCTCAGAAACTCCTTTGTGATGTGTGCGTTCAACTCACAGAGTTTAACCTTTCTTTTCATAGAGCAGTTAGGAAACACTCTGTTTGTAAAGTCTGCAAGTGGATATTCACACCTCCTTGAGGCCTTCGTTGGAAACGGGATTTCTTCATATTATGCTAGACAGAAGAATTCTCAGTAACTTCCTTGTGTTGTGTGTATTCAACTCACAGATTTCAACGATCCTTTACACAGAGCAGACTTGAAACACTCTTTTTGTGGAATTTGCAAGTGGAGATTTCAGCCGCTTTGAGGTCAATGGTAGAATAGGAAATATCTTCCTATAGAAACTAGACAGAATCATTCTCAGAAACTGCTCTGCGATGTGTGCGTTCAACTCTCAGAGTTTAACTTTTCTTTTCATTCAGCAGTTTGGAAACACTCTGTTTGTAAAGTCTGCACGTGGATATTTTGACCACTTAGAGGCCTTCGTTGGAAACGGGTTTTTTTCCTGTAAGGCTAGACAGTAGAATTCCCAGTAACTTCCTTGTGTTGTGTACATTCAACTCACAGAGTTGAACGTTCCCTTAGACAGAGCAGATTTGAAACACTCTTTTTGTGCAATTGGCAAATGGAGATTTCAAGGGCTTTAAGGTCAATGGCAGAAAAGGAAATATCTTCGTTTCAAAACTAGACAGAATCATTCCCACAAACTGCGTTGTGATGTGTTCGTTCAACTCACAGGGTTTAACCTTTCTTTTCATAGAGCAGTTAGGAAACAGTCTGTTTGTCAATTCTGTAAGTGGATATTCTGACATCTTGTGGCCTTCGTTGGAAACGGGATTTCTTCATATTCTGCTAGACAGAAGAATTCTCAGTAACTTCCTTGTGTTGTGTGTATTCAACTCACAGAGTTGAACGATCCTTTACACAGAGCAGACTTGTAACACTCTTTTTGTGGAATTTGCAAGTGGAGATTTCAGCCGCTTTGAAGTCAAAGGCAGAAAAGGAAATATCTTCGTATAAAAACTAGACAGAATGATTCTCAGAAACTCCTTTGTGATGTGTGCGTTCAACCCACAGAGTTTAACCTTTCTTTTCATAGAGCAATTAGGAAACACTCTGTTTGTAAAGTCTGCACGTGGATATTTGGACTTCTTTGAGGCCTTCGTTGGAAACGGGTTTTTTTCATGTAAGGCTAGACAGAAGAATTCCCAGTAACTTCCTTGTGTTGTGTGTGTTCAACTCACAGAGTTGAACTTTCATTTACACAGAGCAGATTTGAAATACTCTTTTTGTGGAATTTGCAGGTGGAGATTTCAAGCGCTTTGAGGCCAAAGGCAGAAAAGGAAATATCTTCGTATAAAAACTAGACAGAATCATTCTCAGAAACTGCTCTGTGATGTGTGCGTTCAACTCTCAGAGTTTAACTTTTCTTTTCATTCAGCAGTTTGGAAACACTCTGTAAAGTCTGCACGTAGATATTTTGACCACTTAGAGGCCTTCGTTGGAAACGGGTTTTTTTCATGTAAGGCTAGACAGAATAATTCCCAGTAACTTCCTTGTGTTGTGTACATTCAACTCACAGAGTTGAACGTTCCCTTAGACAGAGCAGATTTGAAACACTCTTTTTGTGCAATTGGCAAGTGGAGATTTGAAGCGCTTTAAGGTCAATGGCAGAAAAGGAAATATCTTCGTTTCAAAACTAGACAGAATGATTCTCAGAAAATCTTTTGTGATGTGTGCGTTCAACTCACAGAGTTTAACTTTTCTTCTCATAGAGCAGTTAGGAAACACTCTGTTTGTAAAGTGTGCAAGTGGATATTCAGACCTCCTTGAGGCCTTCGTTGGAAACGGGATTTCTTCATATTCTGCTAGACAGAAGAATTCTCAGTAACTTCCTTGTGTTGTGTTTATTCAACTCACAGGGTTGAATGATCCTTTACACAGAGCAGACTTGAAACACTCTTTTTGTGGAATTTGCAAGTGGAGATTTCAGCCGCTTTGAGGTCAATGGTAGAAAAGTAAATATCTTCGTATAAAGACTAGACAGAATGATTCTCAGAAACTCCTTTGTGATGTGTGCGTTCAACTCACAGAGTTTAACCTTTCTTTTCATAGAGCAGTTAGGAAACACTCTGTTTGTAAAGTCTGCAAGTGGATATTCAGACCTCTTTGAGGCCATCGTTGGAAACGGGATTTCTTCATATTCTGCTAGAGAGAAGAATTCTCAGTAACTTCCTTGTGTTGTGTGTATTCAACTGAGAGAGTTGATCTTTCATTTAGAGAGATCAGATTTGAAACACTGTTTTTGTGGAATTTGCAAGTGGAGATTTCAAGCGCTTTGGGGCCAAAGGCAGAAAAGGAAATATCTTCGTATAAAAACTTGACAGAATCATTCTCAGAAACTGCTGCGTGATCTGTGCGTTCAACTCTCAGAGTTTAACTTTTCTTTTCATTCAGCGGTTTGGAAACACTCTGTTTGTAAAGTCTGCACGTGGATATTTTGACCACTTAGAGGCCTTCGTTGGAAACGGGTTTTTTTCATGTAAGGCTAGACAGAAGAATTCCCAGTAACTTCCTTGTGTTGTGTGCATTCAACTCACAGAGTTGAACGTTCCCTTAGACAGAGCAGATTTGAAACACTCTATTTGTGCAATTTGCAAGTGTAGATTTCAAGCGCTTTAAGGTCAACGGCAGAAAAAGGAAATATCTTCGTTTCAAAACTAGACAGAATCATTCCCACAAACTGCGTTGTGATGTGTTCGTTCAACTCACAGAGTTTAACCTTTCTGTTCATAGAGCAGTTAGGAAACACTCTGTTTGTAAAGTCTGTAAGTGGATATTCTGACATCTTGTGGCCTTCGTTGGAAAAGGGATTTCTTCATATTTTGCTAGACAGAAGAATTCCCAGTAACTTCCTTGTGTTGTGTACATTCCACTCACAGAGTTGAACGTTCCCTTAGACAGAGCAGACTTGTAACACTCTTTTTGTGGAATTTGCAAGTGGAGATTTCAGCCGCTTTCAAGTCAAAGGTAGAAAAGGAAATATCTTCCTATAAAAACTAGACAGAATGATTCTCAGAAACTCCTTTGTGATGTGTGCGTTCAACTCACAGAGTTTAACCTTTCTTTTCATAGAGCAGTTGGGAAACACTCTGTTTGTAAAGTCTGCAAGTGGATATTCAGACATCTTTGAGGCTTTCGTTGGAAACGGGATTTCTTCATATTCTGCTAGAAAGAAGAATTCCCAGTAACTTCCTTGTGTTGTGTGTGTTCAAGTCACAGAGTTGAACTTTCATTTACACAGAGCAGATTTGAAACACTCTTTTTGTGGAATTTGCAAGTGGAGATTTCAAGCGCTTTGAGGCCAAAGGCAGAAAAGGAAATATCTTCGTTTCAAAACTAGACAGAATCATTCTCAGAAACTGCTCTGTGATGTGTGCGTTCAACTCACAGAGTTTAACTTTTCTTTTCATTCAGCAGTTTGGAAACACTCTGCTTGTAAAGTCTGCAAGTGGATATATTGACCTCTTTGAGTCCTTCATTGGATACGGGCTTTTTCCATGTAAGGCTAGACAGAAGAATTCCCAGTAACTTCTTTGTGTTGGGTGCATTCAACTCACAGAGTTGAACGTTCCTTTAGACAGAGCAGATTTGAAACACTCTTTTTGTGCAATTTGCAAGTGGAGATTTCAAGAGCTTTAAGGTCAATGGCAGAAAAGGAAATATCTTCGTTTCAAAACTAGACAGAATGATTCTCAGAAACTCCTTTGTGATGTGTGCGTTCAACTCACAGAGTTTAACCTTTCTTTTCATAGAGCAGTTAGGAAACACTCTGTTTGTAAAGTCTGCATGTGGATATTCAGACCTCTTTGAGGCCATCGTTGGAAACGGGATTTCTTCATATTCTGCTAGAGAGAAGAATTCTCAGTAACTTCCTTGTGTTGTGTGTATTCAACTCACAGAGTTCAACGATGCTTTACACAGAGGAGACTTGAAACACACTTTTTGTTGAATTTGCAAGTGGAGATTTCAGCCGATTTGAGGTCAATGGTAGAATAGGAAATATCTTCGTATAAAAACTAGACAGAATGATTCTGAGAAACTCCTTTGTGATGTGTGCGTTCAACTCACAGAGTTTAACCTTTCTTTTCATAGAGCAGTTAGGAAACACTCTGTTTGTAAAGTGTGCAAGTGGATATTCAGACCTCCTTGAGGCCTTCGTTGGAAAGGGGATTTCTTCATATTATGCTAGACAGAAGAATTCCCAGTACCTTCCTTGTGTTGTGTGTGTTCAACTCACAGAGTTGAACTTTCATTTACACAGAGCAGATTTGAAACACTCTTTTTGTGGAATTTGCAAGTGGAGATTTCAAGCGCTTTGAGGCCAAAGGCAGAGAAGGAAATATCTTCGTTTCAAAACTAGACAGAATCATTCTCAGAAACTGCTCTGCGATGTGTGCCGTTCAACTCTCAGAGTTTAACTTTGCTTTTCATTCAGCAGTTTGGAAACACTCTGTTTGTAAAGTCTGCACGTGGATAATTTGACCACTTAGAGGCCTTCGTTGGAAACGGGTTTTTTTCATGTAAGGCTAGACAGAAGAATTCCCAGTAACTTCCTTCTGTTGTGTGCATTCCACTCACAGAGTTGAACGTTCCCTTAGACAGAGCAGATTTGAAACACTCTATTTGTGCAATTTGCAAGTGTAGATTTCAAGCGCTTTAAGGTCAATGGCAGAAAAGGAAATATCTTCGTTTCAAAACTAGACAGAATAATTCCCACAACCTGCGTTGTGATGTGTTCGTTCAACTCACAGAGTTTAACCTTTCTTTTCATAGAGCAGTTAGGAAACAGTCTGTTTGTCAATTCTGTAAGTGGATATTCTGACATCTTGTGGCCTTCGTTGGAAACGGGATTTCTTCATATTCTGCTAGACAGAATAATTCTCAGAAACTTCCTTGTGTTGTGTGTATTCAACTCACAGAGTTGAACGATCCTTTACAGAGAGCAGACTTGAAACACTCTTTTTGTGGAATTTGCAAGTGGAGATTTCAGCCGCTTTGAGGTCAGTGGTAGAATAGGAAATATCTTCCTATAGAAACTAGACAGAATGATTCTCAGAAACTCCTTTGTGATGTGTGCGTTCAACTCACAGAGTTTAACCTTTCTTTTCATAGAGCAGTTAGGAAACACTCTGTTTCTAAAGTCTGCAAGTGGATATTCAGACCTGTTTGAGGCCTTCGTTGGAAACGGGTTTTTTTCATATAAGGCTAGACAGAAGAATTCTCAGTAACTTCTTTGTGTTGTGTGTATTCAACTGACAGAGTTGAACTTTCATTTATAGAGAGCAGATTTGAAACACTGTTTTTGTGGAATTTGCAAGTGGAGATTTCAAGCGCTTTGGGGCCAAAGGCGGAAAAGGAAATATCTTCGTATAAAAACTAGACAGAATCATTCTCAGAAACTGCTGCGTGATGTGTGCGTTGAACTCTCAGAGTTTAACTTTTCTTTTCATTCAGCGGTTTGGAAACACTCTGTTTGTAAAGTCTGCACGAGGATATTTTGACCCCTTAGAGGCCTTCGTTGGAAACGGGTTTTTTTCATGTAAGGCTAGACAGAAGAATTCCCAGTAACTTCCTTGTTTTGTGTGCATTCAACTCACAGAGTTGAACGTTCCCTTAGACAGAGCAGATTTGAAACACTCTATTTGTGCAATTTGCAAGTGTAGATTTCAAGCGCTTTAAGGTCAACGGCAGAAAAGGAAATATCTTCGTTTCAAAACTAGACAGAATCATTCCCACAAACTGCGTTCTGATGTGTTCGTTCAACTCACAGAGTTTAACCTTTCTGTTCATAGAGCAGTTAGGAAACACTCTGTTTGTAAAGTCTGTAAGTGGATATTCTGACATCTTGTGGCCTTCGTTGGAAACGGGATTTCTTCATATTCTGCTAGACAGAAGAATTCTCAGTAACTTTCCTTGTGTTGTGTGTATTCAACTCACAGAGTTGAACGATCCTTTACACAGAGCAGACTTGTAACACTCTTTTTGTGGAATTTGCAATTGGAGATTTCAGCCGCGTTGAGGTCAATGGTAGAAAAGGAAATATCTTCGTATAAAAACTAGACAGAATGATTCTCAGAAACTCCTTTGTGATGTGTGCGCTCAACTCACAGAGTTCAACCTTTCTTTTCATAGAGCAGTTAGGAAACACTCTGTTTGTAAAGTCTGCAAGTGGATATTCAGACCTCTTTGAGGCCTTCGTAGGAAACGGGATTTCTTCATATTATGCTAGACAGAAGAATTCCCAGTAACTTCCTTGTATTGTGTGTGTTCGACTCACAGAGTTGAACTTTCATTTACACAGAGCAGATTTGAAACACTCTTTTTGTGGAATTTGCAAGTGGAGATTTCAAGCGCTTTGAGGCCAAAGGCAGAAAAAGAAATATCTTCGTTTCAAAACTAGACAGAATCTTTCTCAGAAACTGCTCTGGGATGTGTGCGTTCAACTCACAGAGTTTAACTTTTCTTTCCATTCAGCAGTTTGGAAACACTCTGTTTGGAAAGTCTGCACGTGGATATTTTGACCTCTTTGAGGCCTTCGTTGGAAACGGGTTTTTTTCATGTAAGGCTAGACAGAAGAATTCTCAGTAACTTCCTTGTGTTGTGTGTATTCGGCTCACAGAGTTGAACAATCCTTTACACAGAGCAGACTTGAAACACTCTTTTTGTGGAATTTGCAAGTGGAGATTACAGCCGCTTTGAGGTCAATGGTAGAAAAGGAAATATCTTCGTATAAAGACTAGACAGAATGATTCTCATAAACTCCTTTGTGATGTGTGCGTTCAACTCACAGAGTTTAACTTTTCTTTTCATAGAGCAGTTAGGAAACACTCTGTTTGTAAAGTCTGTAAGTGGATATTCTGACATCTTGTGGCCTTCGTTGGAAACGGGATTTCTTCATATTCTGCTAGACAGAAGAATTCTCAGAAACTTCCTTGTGTTGTGTGTATTCAACTCACAGAGTTGAACGATCCTTTACATAGAGCAGACTTGAAACACTCTTTTTGTGGAATTTGCAAGTGGAGATTTCAGCCGCTTTGAGGTCAACGGTAGAATAGGAAATATCTTCCTATAGAAACTAGACAGAATGATTCTCAGAAACTCCTTTGTGATGTGTGCGTTCAACTCACAGAGTTTAACCTTTCTTTTCATAGAGCAGTTAGGAAACACTCTGTGTGTAAAGTCTGCAAGTGGATAATTCAGACATCCTTGAGGCCTTCGTTGGAAACTGGATTTCTTCATATTATGCTAGACAGAAGAATTCTCAGTAACTTCCTTGTGTTGTGTGTATTCAACTGACAGAGTTGAACTTTCATTTAGAGAGATCACATTTGAAACACTGTTTTTGTGGAATTTGCAAGTGGAGATTTCAAGCGCTTTGGGGCCAAAGGCAGAAAAGGAAATATCTTCGTATAAAAACTAGACAGAATCATTCTCAGAAACTGCTGCGTGATGTGTGCATTCAACTCTCAGAGTTTAACTTTTCTTTTCATTCAGCGGTTTGGAAACACTCTGTTTGTAAAGTCCGCACGTGGATATTTTCACCACTTAGAGGCCTTCTTTTGAAACGGTTTTTTGCATGTAAGGCTAGACAGAAGAATTCCCAGTAACTTCCTTGTGTTGTGTACATTCAACTCACAGAGTTGAACGTTCCTTTAGACAGAGCAGATTTGAAACACTCTTTTTGTGCAATTGGCAAGTGGAGATTTCAAGCGCTTTAAGGTCAATGGCAGAAAAGGAAATATTTTCGTTTCAAAACTAGACAGAATGATTCTCAGAAACTTCATTTGTGAAGTGTGCGTTCAACTCACAGAGTTTAACCTTTCTTTTCATAGAGCAGTTAGGAAACACTCTGTTTGTAAACTCTGCAAGTGGATATTCAGACCTCTTTGAGGCCTTCGTTGGAAACGGGATTTCTTCATACTGTGCTAGACAGAAGAATTCTCAGTAACTTCCTTGTGTTGTGTGTATTCAACTCACAGAGTTGAACGATCCTTTACACAGAGCAGACTTGTAACACTCTTTTTGTGGAATTTGCAAGTGGAGATTTCAGCCGCTTTGAAGTCAAAGGTAGAAAAGGAAATATCTTCCTATAAAAATTAGACAGAATGATTCTCAGAAACTCCTTTGTGATGTGTGCGTTCAACTCACAGAGTTTAACTTTTCTTTTCATAGAGCAGTTAGGAAACACTCTTTTTGTAAAGTCTGCAAGTGGATATTCAGACCTCTTTGAGGCCTTCGTTGGAAACGGGTTTTTTTCATATAAGGCTAGACAGAAGAATTCCCAGTAACTTCCTTGTGTTGTGTGTGTTCAACTCACAGAGTTGAACTTTGATTTACACAGAGCAGATTTGAAACACTCTTTTTGTGGAATTTGCAAATGGAGATTTCAAGCGCTTTGAGGCCAAAGGAAGAAAAGGAAATATCTTCGTATAAAAACTGGACAGAATGATTCTCAGAAACTGCTCTGTGATGTGTGCGTTCAACTCTCAGAGTTTAACTTTCCTTTTCATTCAGCAGTTTGGAAACACTCTGTTTGAAAAGTCTGCACGTGGATAATTTGACCACATAGAGGCCTTCGTTGGAAACGGGTTTTTGTCATGTAGGGCTAGACAGAAGAATTCCCAGTAACTTCCTTGTGTTGTGTACATTCAACTCACAGAGTTGAACGTTCCCTTAGACAGAGCAGATTTGGAACACTCTTTTTGTGCAATTGGCAAGTGGAGATTTCAAGCGCTTTGAGGTCAATGGCAGAAAAGGAAATATCTTCGTTTCAAAACTAGACAGAATCATTCCCACAAACTGCGTTGTGATGTGTTCGTTCATCTCACAGAGTTTAACCTTTCTTTTCATAGAGCAGTTAGGAAACACTCTGTTTGTTAATTCTGTAAGTGGATATTCTGACATCTTGTGGCCTTCGTTGGAAACGGGATTTCTTCATATTCTGCTAGACAGAAGAATTCTCAGTAACTTCCTTGTGTTGTGTGTATTCAACTCACAGAGTTGAATGATCCTTTACACAGAACAGTCTTGAAACACTCTTTTTGTGGAATTTGCAAGTGGAGATTTCAGCCGCTTTGAGGTCAATGGTAGAATAGGAAATATCTACCTATAGAAATTAGACAGAATGATTCTCAGAAACTTCTTTGTGATGTGTGCGTTCAACTCACAGAGTTTAACCTTTCTTTTCATAGAGCAGTTAGGAAACACTGTGTTTTTAAACTGTGCAAGTGGATATTCAGACCTCTTTGAGGCCTTCGTTGGAAACGGGATTTCTTCATACTGTGCTGGAGAGAAGAATTCTCAGTAACTTCCTTGTGTTGTGTGTATTCAACTGACAGAGTTGAACTTTCATTTAGAGAGAGCACATTTGAAACACTGTTTTTGTGGAATTTGCAAGTGGAGATTTCAAGAGCTTTGGGGCCAAAGGCAGAAAAGGAAATATCTTCGTATAAAAACTAGACAGAAATCATTCTCAGAAAACTGCTGCGTGATGTGTGCGTTCAACTCTCAGAGTTTAACTTTTCCTTTCATTCAGCGGTTTGGAAACACTCTGTTTGTAAAGTCTGCACGTGGATATTTTGAACACTTAGAGGCCTTCGTTGGAAACGGGTTTTTTTCATGTAAGGCTAGACAGAAGAATTCCCAGTAACTTCCTTGTGTTGTGTACATTCAACTCACAGAGTTGAACGTTCCCTTAGACAGAGCAGATTTGAAACACTCTTTTTGTGCATTTGGCAAGTGGTGATTTCAGCCGCTTTGAGGTCAATGGTAGAAAAGGAAATATCTTCGTATAAAAACTAGACAGAATCATTCCCACAAACTGCGTTGTGATGTGTTCGTTCAACTCACAGAGTTTAACCTTTCTTTTCATAGAGCAGTTAGGAAACAGTCTGTTTGTCAATTCTGTAAGTGGATATTCTGACATCTTGTGGCCTTCGTTGGAAACGGGATTTCTTCATATTCCTGCTAGACAGAAGAATTCTCAGTAACTTCCTTGTGTTGTGTGTATTCAACTCACAGAGTTGAACGATCCTTTACACAGAGCAGACTTGAAACACTCTTTTTGTGGAATTTGCAAATGGAGATTTCAGCCGCTTTGATGTCAATGGTAGAAAAGGTAATATCTTCGTATAAAGACTAGACAGAATGATTCTCAGAAACTCCTTTGTGATGTGTGTGTTCAACTCACAGAGTTCAACCTTTCTTTTCATAGAGCAGTTGGGAAACACTCTGTTTGTAAAGTCTGCAAGTGGATATTCAGACTTCTTTGAGGCCTTCTTTGGAAGCGGGATTTCTTCATGTTCTGCTAGACAGAAGTAATTCTCAGTAACTTCCTTGTGTTGTGTGTATTCAACTCACAGAGTTGAACGATCCTTTACACAGAGCAGACTTGTAACACTCTTTTTGTGGAATTTGCAAGTGGAGATTTCAAGCGCTTTGAGGCCAAAGGCAGAAAAGGAAATATCTTCGTTTCAAAACTAGACAGAATCATTCTCAGAAACTGCTCTGCGATGTGTGCGTTCAACTCTCAGAGTTTAACTTTTCTTTTCATTCAGCAGTTTGGAAACACTCTGTTTGTAAAGTCTGCACGTGGATATTTTGACCACTTAGAGGCCTTCGTTGGAAACGGGTTTTTTTCCTGTAAGGCTAGACAGTAGAATTCTCAGTAACTTCCTTGTGTTGTGTGTATTCAACTCACAGAGTTGAACGATCCTTTACAGAGAGCAGACTTGAAACACTCTTTTTGTGGAATTTGCAAGTGGAGATTTCAGCCGCTTTGAGGTCAATGGTAGAATAGGAAATATCTTTCTATAGAAACTAGACAGAATGATTCTCAGAAACTCCTTTGTGATGTGTGCGTTCAACTCACAGAGTTTAACCTTTCTTTTCATAGAGCAGTTAGGAAACACTCTGTTTGTAAAGTCTGCAAGTGGATATTCAGACCTCTTTGAGGCCTTCGTTGGAAACGGGATTTCTTCATATTCTGTTACACAGAAGAATTCTCAGTAACTTCCTTGTGTTGTGTGTATTCAACTCACAGAGTTGAACGATCCTTTACACAGAGCAGACTTGAAACACTCTTTTTGTAGAATTTGCAAGTGGAGATTTCAGCCGCTTTGAGGTCAATAGTGGAAAAGGAAATATCTTCGTAGAAAAACTAGACAGAATGATTCTCAGAAACTCCTTTGTGATGTGTGCGTTCAACTCACAGAGTTTAACCTTTCTTTTCATAGAGCAGTTAGGAAACACTCTGTTTGTAAAGTCTGCAAGTGGATATTCAGACATCATTGAGGCTTTCGTTGGAAACGGGATTTCTTCATATTCTGCTAGAAAGAAGAATTCCCAGTAACTTCCTTGTGTTGTGTGTGTTCAACTCACAGTAGGTGAACGGTCCTTTACACAGGAGCAGATTTGAGACACTCTTTTTGTGGAATTTGCTAATGGAGATTTCAAGCGCTTTGAGGCCAAAGGCAGAAAAGGAAATATCTTCGTATAAAAACTAGACAGAATCATTCTCAGAAACTGCTCTGCGATGTCTGCGTACAACTCTCAGAGTTTAACTTTTCTTTTCATTCAGCAGTTTGGAAACACTCTGTTTGTAAAGTCTGCACGTGGATAATTTGACCACTTAGAGGCCTTCGTTGGAAACGGGTTTTTTTCATGTAAGGCTAGACAGAAGAATTCCCAGTAACTTCCTTGTGTTGTGTACATTCAACTCACAGAGTTGAACGTTCCCTTAGACAGAGCATATTTGAAACACTCTTTTTGTGCAATTGGCAAGTGGAGATTTCAAGTGCTTTAAGGTCAATGGCAGAAAAGGAAATATCTTCGTTTCAAAACTAGACAGAATCATTCCCACAAACTGCGTTGTGATGTGTTCGTTCAACTCACAGAGTTTAACCTTTCTTTTCATAGAGCAGTTAGGAAACAGTCTGTTTGTAAATTCTGTAAGTGGATATTCTGACATTTGTGGCCTTCGTTGGAAACGGGATTTCTTCATATTTTGCTAGACAGAAGAATTCTCAGAAACTTTGTTGTGTTGTGTGTTTTCAACTCACAGAGTTCAACGATCCTTTACACAGAGTAGACTTGAAACACTCTTTTTGTGGAATTGGCAGGGTGGAGATTTCAGCCGCTTTGAGGTCAATGGTAGAAAAGGAAATATCTTCGTATAAAAACTAGACAGAGTGATTCTCAGAAACTCCTTTGTGATGTCTGCGTTCAACTCACAGAGTTTAACCTTTCTTTTCATAGAGCAGTTTGGAAACACTCTGTTTGTAAAGTCTGCAAGTGGATATTCAGACCTCCTTGAGGCCTTCGTTGGAAACGGGATTTCTTCATATTCTGCTATACAGAAGAATTCTCACTAACTTCCTTGTGTTGTGTGTATTCAACTGACAGAGTTGAACATTCATTTAGAGAGAGCAGATTTGAAACACTGTTTTTGTGGAATTTGCAAGTGGAGATTTCAAGCGCTTTGGGGCCAAAGGCAGAAAAGGAAATATCTTCGTATAAAAACTAGACAGAATCATTCTCAGAAACTGCTGCGTGATGTGTGCGTTCAACTCTCAGAGTTTAACTTTTCTTTTCATTCAGCGGTTTGGAAACACTCTGTTTGTAAAGTCTGCACGTGGATATTTTGACCACTTAGAGGCCTTCGTTGGAAACGGGTTTTCTTCATGTAAGGCTAGACAGAAGAATTCCCAGTAACTTCCTTGTGTTGTGTGCATTCAACTCACAGAGTTGAACGTTCCCTTAGACAGAGCAGATTTGAAACACTCTATTTGTCCAATTTGCAAGTGTAGATTTCAAGCGCTTTAAGGTCAACGGCAGAAAAGGAAATATCTTCGTTTCAAAACTAGACAGAATGATTCTCATAAACTCCTTTGTCATGTGTGCGTTCAACTCACAGAGTTTAACTTTTCTTTTCATAGAGCAGTTAGGAAACACTCTGTTTGTAAAGTCTGCAAGTGGATATTCAGACCTCTTTGAGGCCTTTGTTGGAAACGGGATTTCTTCATATTATGCTAGACAGAAGAATTCTCAGTAACTTCCTTGTGTTGTGTGTATTCAACTCACAGAGTTGAACGATCCTTTACACAGAGCAGACTTGAAACATTCTTTTTGTGGAATTTGTAAGTGGAGATTTCAGCCGCTTTGAGGTCAATGGTAGAATAGGAAATATCTTCCTATAGAAATTAGACAGAATGATTCTCAGAAACTCCTTTGTGATGTGTGCTTTCAACGCACAGAGTTTAACCTTTCTTTTCATAGAGCAGTTAGGAAACACTCTGTTTGTAAAGTCTGCAAGTGGATATTCAGACCTCCTTGAGGCCTTCGTTGGAAACGGGAGTTTCTTCCTATTATGCTAGACAGAAGAATTCTCAGTAACTTCCTTGTGTTGTGTGTATTCAACTCACAGAGTTGAACTATCCTTTACACAGAGCAGACTTGAAACACTCTTTTTGTGGAATTTGCAAGTGGAGATTTCAGCCGCTTTGAGTTCAATGGTAGAATAGGAAATATCTTCCTATAGAAACTAGACAGATAATCATTCTCAGAAACTGCTGCGTGATGTGTGCGTTCAACTCTCAGAGTTTAACTTTTCTTTTCATTCAGCGGTTTGGAAACACTCTGTTTGTAAAGTCTGCACGTGGATATTTTGACCACTTAGAGGCCTTCGTTGGAAACGGGTTTTTTTCATGTAAGGCTAGACAGAAGAATTCCCAGTAACTTCCTTGTGTTGTGTGCATTCAACTCACAGAGTTCAACGTTCCCTTAGACAGAGCAGATTTGAAACACTCTATTTGTGCAATTTGCAAGTGTAGATTTCAAGCGCTTTAATGTCAATGGCAGAAAAGGAAATATCTTCGTTTCAAAACTAGACAGAATCATTCCCACAAACTGCGTTGTGATGTGTTCGTTCAACTCACAGAGTTTAACCTTTCTTTTCATAGAGTAGTTAGGAAACAGTCTGTTTGTAAATTCTGTACGTGGATATTCTGACATCTTGTGGCCTTCGTTGGAAACGGGATTTCTTGATATTCTGCTAGACAGAAGAATTCTCACTAACTTCCTTGTGTTGTGTGTATTCAACTCACAGAGTTGAACGATCCTTTACACAGAGGAGACTTGAAACACTCTTTTTGTGGAATTTGCAAGTGGAGATTTCAGCCGCTTTGAGGTCAATGGTAGAAAAGGAAATATCTTCGTATAAAGACTAGACAGAATGATTCTCAGAAACTCCTTTGTGATGTGTACGTTCAACTCACAGAGTTTAACCTTTCTTTTCATAGAGCAGTTAGGAAACACTCTGTTTGTAAAGTCTGCAAGTGGATATTGAGACCTCTTTGAGGCCTTCGTTGGAAACGGGTTTTTTTCATATAAGGCTAGACAGAAGAATTCTAAGTAACTTCCTTGTGTTGTGTGTATTCAACTGACAGAGTTGAACTTTCATTTAGAGAGAGCAGATTTGAAACACTGTTTTGGTGGAATTTGCAAGTGGAGATTTCAAGCGATTTGGGGCCAAAGGCAGAAAAGGAAATATCTTCGTATAAAAACTAGACAGAATCATTCTCAAAAACTGCTGCGTGATGTTTGCGTTCAACTCTCAGAGTTTAACTTTTCTTTTCATTCAGCGGTTTGGAAACACTCTGTTTGTAAAGTCTGCACGTGGATATTTTGACCACTTAGAGGCCTTCGTTGGAAACGGGTTTTTTTCATGTAAGGCTAGACAGAAGAATTCGCAGTAACTTCCTTGTGTTGTGTACATTCAACTCACAGAGTTGAACGTTCCCTTAGACAGAGCAGATTTGAAACACTCTTTTTGTGCAATTGGCAAATGGAGATTTCAAGCGCTTTAAGGTCAATGGCAGAAAAGGAAATATCTTCGTTTCAAAACTAGACAGAATGATTCTCATAAACTCCTTTGTGATGTATGCGTTCAACTCACAGAGTTTAACCTTTCTTTTCATAGAGCAGTTAGGAAACACTCTGTTTGTAAAGTCTGCAAGTGGATATTCAGACCTCCTTGAGGCCTTCGTTGGAAACGGGATTTCTTCATATTATGCTAGACAGAATAATTCTCAGTAACTTCCTTGTGTTGTGTGTATTCAACTCACAGAGTTGAATGATCCTTTACACAGAGCAGACTTGAAACACTCTTTTTGTGGAATTTGCAAGTGGAGATTTCAGCCGCTTTGAGGTCAATGGTAGAAAAGTAAATATCTTCGTATGAAGACTAGACAGAATGATTCTCAGAAACTCCTTTGTGATGTGTGCGTTCAACTCACAGAGTTTAACCTTTCTTCTCATAGAGCAGTTAGGAAACACTCTGTTTGTAAAGTCTGCAAGTGGATATTCAGACCTCTTTGAAGCCTTCGTTGGAAACGGGATTTCTTCATATTATGCTAGACAGAAGATTTCCCAGTAACTTCCTTGTGTTGTGTGTGTTCAACTCACAGAGTTGAACTTTCATTTACACAGAGCAGATTTGAAACACTCTTTTTGTGGAATTTGCAAATGGAGATTTCAAGCGCTTTGAGGCCAAAGGCAGAAAAGGAAATATCTTCGTATAAAAACTAGACAGAATCATTCTCAGAAACTGCTCTGCGATGTGTGCGTTCAACTCTCAGAGTTTAACTTTTCTTTTCATTCAGCAGTTTGGAAACACTCTGTTTGTAATGTCTGCACGTGGATATTTTGACCACTTAGAGGCCTTCGTTGGAAACGGGTTTTTTTCCTGTAAGGCTAGACAGAAGAATTCCCAGTAACTTCCTTGTGTTGTGTACATTCAACTCACAGAGTTGAACGTTCCCTTAGACAGAGCAGATTTGAAACACTCTTTTTGTGCAATTAGCAAGTGGAGATTTCAAGCGCTTTAAGGTCAATGGCAGAAAAGGAAATATCTTACTTTCAAAACTAGACAGAATCATTCCCACAAACTGCGTTGTGATGTGTTCGTTCAACTCACAGAGTTTAACCTTTCTTTTCATAGAGCAGTTAGGAAACACTCTGTTTGTAAATTCTGTAAGTGGATATTCTGACATCTTGTGGCCTTCGTTGGAAACGGGATTTCTTCATATTCTGCTAGACAGAAGAATTCCTCAGTAACTTCCCTTGTGTTGTGTGTATTCAACTCACAGAGTTGAACGATCCTTTACACAGAGCAGACTTGAAACACTCGTTTTGTGGAATTTGCAAGTGGAGATTTCAGCCGCGTTGAGGTCAATGGTAGAAAAGGAAATATCTTCGTATAAAAACTAGACAGAATGATTCTCAGAAAATCCTTTGTGATGTGTGCGTTCAACTCACAGAGTTTAACTTTTCTTTTCATGGAGCAGTTAGGAAACACTCTGTTTGTAAAGTCTGCAAGTGAATATTCAGACCTCTTTGAGGCCTTCGTTGGAAACGGGATTTCTTCATATTATGCTAGACAGAATAATTCTCAGTAACTTCCTTGTGTTGTGTGTATTCAACTCACAGAGTTGAACGATCCTTTACAGAGAGCAGACTTGAAACACTCTTTTTGTGGAATTTGCAAGTGGAGATTTCAGCCGCTTTGAGGTCAATGGTAGAATAGGAAATTTCTTCCTATAGAAACTAGACAGAATCATTCTCAGAAACTGCTCTGCGATGTGTGCGTTCAACTCTCACAGTTTAACTTTTCTTTTCATTCAGCAGTTTGGAAACACTCTGTTTGTAAAGTCTGCACGTGGATAATTTGACCACTTAGAGGCCTTCGTTGGAAACGGGTTTTTTTCATGTAAGGCTACACAGAAGAATTCCCAGTAACTTCCTTGCGTTGTGTACATTCAACTCACAGAGTTGAACGTTCCCTTAGACAGAGCAGATTTGAAACACTCTTTTTGTGCAATTGGCAAGTGGAGATTTCAAGCGCTTTAAGGTCAATGGCAGAAAAGGAAATATCTTCGTTTCAAAACTAGACAGAATCATTCCCACAAACTGCGTTGTGATGTGTTCGTTCAACTCACAGAGTTTAACCATTCTTTTCATAGAGCAGTTAGGAAACAGTCTATTTGAAAATTCTGTAAGTGGATATTCTGACATCTTGTGGCCTTCGTTGGAAACGGGATTTCTTCATATTCTGCTAGACAGAGGAATTCTCAGGAACTTCCTTGTGTTGTGTGTATTCAACTCACAGAGTTGAACGACCCTTTACACAGAGCAGACTTGAAACACTCTTTTTGTGGAATTTGCAAGTGGAGATTTCAGCCGCTTTGAGTTCAAATGTAGAATAGGAAATATCTTCCTATAGAAAGTACACAGAATGATTCTCAGAAAATCCTTTGTGATGTGTGCCTTCAACTCACAGAGTTTAACTTTTCTTTTCATCGAGCAGTTAGGAAACACTCTGTTTGTAAAGTCTGCAAGTGGATATTCAGACGTCTTTGAGGCCTTCGTTGGAAACGGGATTTCTTCATATTATGCTAGACAGAAGAATTCCCAGTAACTTCCTTGTGTTGTGTGTGTTCAACTCACAGAGTTGAACTTTCATTTACACAGAGCAGATTTGAAACCCTCTTTTTGTGGAATTTGCAAATGGAGATTTCAAGCGCTTTGAGGCCAAAGGCAGAAAAGGAAATATCTTCGTATAAAAACTAGACAGAATCATTCTCAGAAACTGCTCTGCGATGTGTGCATTCAACTCTCAGAGTTTAATTTTTCTTTTCATTCAGCAGTTTGGAAACATTCTCTTTGTAAAGTCTGCACGTGGATATTTTGACAACTTAGAGGCCTTCGTTGGAAACGGGTTTTATTCTTGTAAGGCTAGACAGAAGAATTCCCAGTAACTTCCTTGTGTTGTGTGCATTCAACTCACAGAGCTGAACGTTCCCTTAGACAGAGCAGATTTGAAACACTCTATTTGTGCAATTTGCAAGTGTAGATTTCAAGCGCTTTAAGGTCAATGGCAGAAAAGGAAATATCTTCGTTTCAAAACTAGACAGAATCATTCCCACAAACTGCTTTGTGATGTGTTCGTTCAACTCACAGAGTTTAAACTTTCTTTTCATAGAGCAGTTAGGAAACAGTCTGTTTGTCAATTCTGTAAGTGGATATTCTGACATCTTGTGGCCTTCGTTGGAAACGGGATTTCTTCATATTCTGCTAGACAGAAGAATTCTCAGTAACTTCCTTGTGTTGTGTTTATTCAACTCACAGAGTTGAATGATCCTTTACACAGAGCAGACTTGAAACACTCTTTTTGTGGAATTTGCAAGTGGAGATTTCAGCCGCTTTGAGGTCAATGTTAGAAAAGGAAATATCTTCGTATAAAGACTAGACAGAATGATTCTCAGAAACTCCTTTGTGATGTGTGCGTTCAACTCACAGAGTTTAACTTTTCTTTTCATAGAGCAGTTAGGAAACACTCTGTTTGTAAAGTCTGCAAGTGGATATTCAGACCTCTTTGAGTCCTTCATTGGAAACGGGATTTCTTCATATTATGCTAGACAGAAGAATTCTCAGTAACTTCCTTGTGTTGTGTGTATTCAACTCACAGAGTTGAACGATCCTTTACACTGAGCAGACTTGAAACATTCTTTTTGTGGAATTTGCAAGTGGAGATTTCAGCCGCTTTGGGGTCAATGGTAGAATAGGAAATATCTTCGTAGAAGAACTAGACAGAATCATTCTCAGAACCTGCTGCGCGATGTGTGCGTTCAACTCTCAGAGTTTAACTTTTCTTTTCATTCAGCGGTTTGGAAACACTCTGTTTGTAAAGTCTGCACGTGGATATTTTGACCACTTAGAGTCCTTCGTTGGAAACGGGTTTTTTTCATGTAAGGCTAGACAGAAGAATTCCCAGTAACTTCCTTGTGTTGTGTACATTCAACTCACAGAGTTGAACGTTCCCTTAGACAGAGCAGATTTGAAACACTCTTTTTGTGCAATTGGCAAGTGGAGATTTCAAGCGCTTTAAGGTCAATGGCAGAAAAGGAAATATCTTCGTTTCAAAACTAGACAGAATCATTCCCAGAAACTGCGTTGTGATGTGTTCGTTCAACTCACAGAGTTTAACCTTTCTTTTCATAGAGCAGTTAGGAAACACTCTGTTTGTAAAGTCTGTAAGTGGATATTCTGACGTCTTGTGGCCTTCGTTGGAAACGGGATTTCTTCATATTCTGCTAGACAGAAGAATTCTCAGTAACTTCCTTGTGTTGTGTGTATTCAACTCACAGAGTTGAATGATCCTTTACACAGAACAGACTTGAAACACTCTTTTTGTGGAATTTGCAAGTGGAGATTTCAGCCGCTTTGAGGTCAACGGTAGAATAGGAAATATCTTCCTATAGAAACTAGACAGAATGATTCTCAGAAACTGCTTTGTGATGTGTGCGTTCAACTCACAGAGTTTAACCTTCCTTTTCATAGAGCAGTTAGGAAACACTCTGTTTGTAAAATCTGCAATTGGATATTCAGACCTCTTTGAGGCCTTCGTTGCAAACGGGATTTCTTTATGTTATGCTACACAGAAGAATTCTCAGTAACTTCCTTGTGTTGTGTGTATTCAACTCACAGAGTTGAACTTTCATTTACACAGAGCAGATTGGAAACACTCTTTTGTGGAATTTGCAAGTGGAGATTTCAAGCGCTTTGAGGCCAAAGGCAGAAAAGGAAATATCTTCGTATAAAAACTAGACAGAATCATTCTCAGAAACTGCTCTGCGATGTGTGCGTTCAACTCTCAGAGTTTAACTTTTCCTTTCATTCAGCAGTTTGGAAACACTCTGTTTGTAAAGTCTGCACGTGCATAATTTGACCACTTAGATGCCTTCGTTGGAAACGGGTTTTTTCCATGTAAGGCTAGACAGAAGAATTCTCAGTAACTTCCTTGTGTTGTGTGTATTCAACTCACAGAGTTGAACGATCCTTTACACAGAGCAGACTTGGAACACTCTTTTTGTGGAATTTGCAAGTGGAGATTTCAGCCGCTTTGAGGTCCATGGTAGAAAAGGAAATATCTTCGTATAAAAACCAGACAGAATCATTCCCACAAACTTGGGTTGTGATGTGTTCGTTCAACTCACAGAGTTTAACCTTTCTTTTCATAGAGCAGTTAGGAAACAGTCTGTTTGTCAATTCTGTAAGTGGATATTCTGACATCTTGTGGCCTTCGTTGGAAACGGGATTTCTTCATATTCTGCTAGACAGAATAATTCTCAGTAACTTCCTTGTGTTGTGTGTATTCAGCTCACAGAGTTGAACGATCCTTTACACAGAGCAGACTTGAAACACTCTTTTTGTGGAATTTGCAAGTGGAGATTTCAGCCGCTTTGAGGTCAATAGTAGAAAAGGAAATATCTTCGTAGAAAAACAAGACAGAATGATTCTCAGAAACTCCTTTGTGATGTGGGCGTTCAACTCACAGAGTTTAACCTTTCTTTTCATAGAGCAGTTAGGAAACACTCTGTTTGCAAAGTCTGCAAGTGGATATTCAGACCTCTTTGACGCCTTCGTTGGAAACGGGATTTCTTCATATTCTGCTAGACAGAAGAATTCTCAGTAACTTCTTTGTGTTGTGTGTATTCAACTGACAGAGTTGAACTTTCATTTAGAGAGAGCAGATTTGAAACACTGTTTTTGTGGAATTTGCAAGTGGAGATTTCAAGCGCTTTGGGGCCAAAGGCAGAAAAGGAAATATCTTCTTATAAAAACTAGACAGAATCATTCTCAGAAACCGCTCTGTGATGTGTGCGTTCAACTCGCAGAGTTTAACTTTTCTTTTCATTCAGCAGTTTGGAAACACTCTGTTTGTAAAGTCTGCACGTGGATATTTTGACCACTTAGAGGCCTTCGTTGGAAACGGGTTTTTTTTCATGTAAGGCTAGACAGAAGAATTCCCAGTAACTTCCTTGTGTTGTGTGCATTCAACTCACATAGTTGAACGTTCCCTTAGACAGAGCAGATTTGAAACACTCTATTTGTGCAATTTGCAAGTGTAGATTTCAAGCGCTTTAAGGTCAATGGCAGAAAAGGAAATATCTTCGTTTCAAAACTAGACAGAATCATTCCCACAAACTGCGTTGTGATGTGTTCGTTCAACTCACAGAGTTTAACCTTTCTGTTCATAGAGCAGTGAGGAAACACTCTGTTTGTAAAGTCTCTAAGTGGATATTCTGACATCTTGTGGCCTTCGTTGGAAACGGGATTTCTTCATATTCTGCTAGACAGAAGAATTCTCAGTAACTTCCTTGTGTTGTGTGTATTCAACTCACAGAGTTGAACGATCCTTTACACAGAGCAGAATTGAAACATTCTTTTTGTGGAATTTGCAAGTGGAGATTTCAGCCGCTTTGAGGTCAATGGTAGAATAGGAAATATGTTCCTATAGAAACTAGACAGAATGATTCTCAGAAACTCCTTTGTGATGTGTGTGTTCAACTCACAGAGTTTAACCTTTCTTTTCCTAGAGCAGTTAGTAAACACTCTGTTTATAAAGTCTGCAAGTGGATATTGAGACCCCTTTGAGGCCTTCGTTGGAAACGGGATTTCTTCATATTATGCTAGACAGAAGAATTCCCAGTAACTTCCTTGTGTTGTGTGTGTTCTACTCACAGAGTTGAACTTTCATTTACACAGAGCAGATTTGAAACACTCTTTTTGTGGAATTTGCAAATGGAGATTTCAAGCGCTTTGAGGCCAAAGGCAGAAAAGGAAATATCTTCGTATAAAAACTAGACAGAATCATTCTCAGAAACTGCTCTGCGATGTGTGCGTTCAACTCTCAGAGTTTAACTTTTCTTTTCATTCAGCAGTTTGGAAACACTCTGTTTGTAAAGTCTGCACGTGGATAATTTGACCACTTAGAAGCCTTCGTTGGAAACGGGTTTTTTTCATGTAAGGCTAGACAGAAGAATTCTCAGTAACTTCCCTTGTGTTGTGTGTATTCAACTCACAGAGTTGAACGATCCTTTACACAGAGCAGACTTGTAACACTCTTTTTGTGGAATTTGCAAGTGGAGATTTCAGCCGCTTTGATGTCAAAGGTAGAAAAGGAAATATCTTCCTATAAAAACTAGACAGAATGATTCTCAGAAACTCCTTTGTGATGTGTGCGTTCAACTCACAGTTTAACCTTTCTTTTCATAGAGCAGTTAGGAAACACTCTGTTTGTAAAGTCTGCAAGTGGATATTCAGACCTCTTTGAGGCTTTCCTTGGAAACGGGATTTCTTCCTATTCTGCTAGACAGAATAATTCTCAGTAACTTCCTTGTGTTGTGTGTATTCAACTCACAGAGTTGAACGATCCTTTACACAGAGCAGACTTGAAACATTCTTTTTGTGGAATTTGCAACTGGAGATTTCAGCCGCTTTGAGGTCAATGGTAGAATAGGAAATATCTTCCTATAGAAACTAGACAGAATGATTCTCAGAAACTCCTTTGTGATGTGTGCGTTCAACTCACAAAGTTTAACCTTTCTTTTCATAGAGCAGTTAGGAAACACTCTGTTTGTAAAGTCTGCAAGTGGATATTCAGACCTCTTTGAGGCCTTCGTTGGAAACGGGATTTGTTCATACTATGCTAGACAGAAGAATTCTCAGTAACTTCCTTGTGTTGTGTGTATTCAACTTACAGAGTTGAACTTTCATTTAGAGAGAGCAGATTTGAAACACTGTTTTTGTGGAATTTGCAATTGGAGATTTCAAGCGCTTTGGGGCCAAAGGCAGAAAAGGAAATATCTTCGTATAAAAACTAGACAGAATCATTCTCAGAAACTGCTGCGTGATGTGTGCGTTCAACTCTCAGAGTTTAACTTTTCTTTTCATTCAGCGGTTTCGAAACACTCTGGTTGTAAAGTCTGCACGTGGATATTTTGACCACTTAGAGTCCTTCGTTGGAAACGGGTTTTTTGCATGTAAGGCTAGACAGAAGAATTCCCAGTAACTTCCTTGTGTTGTGTGCATTCAACTCACAGAGTTGAACGTTCCCTTAGACAGAGCAGATTTGAAACACTCTATTTGTGCAGTTTGCAAGTGTAGATTTCAAGCGCTTTAAGGTCAATGGCAGAAAAGGAAATATCTTCGTTTCAAAACTAGACAGAATGATTCTCAGAAACTCCTTTGTGATGTGTGCGTTCAACTCACAGAGTTTAACCTTTCTTTTCATAGAGCAGTTAGGAAACACTCTGTTTGTAAAGTCTGCAAGTGGATATTCAGACATCCTTGAGGCTTTCTTTGGAAACGGGATTTCTTCATATTCTGCTAGAAAGAAGAATTCTCAGTAACTTCCTTGTGTTGTGTGTATTCAACTCACAGAGTTCAACGATCCTTTACACAGAGTAGACTTGAAACTCTTTTTGTGGAATTGGCAGGGTGGAGATTTCAGCCGCTTTGAGGTCAATGGTAGAAAAGGAAATATCTTCGTATAAAAACTAGACAGAATGATTCTCAGAAACTGCTTTGTGATGTGTGCGTTCAACTCACAGAGTTCAACCTTTCTTTTCATAGAGCAGTTAGGGAACACTCTGTTTGTAAAGTCTGCAAGTGGATATCCAGACCTCTTTGAGGCCTTCGTTGGAAACGGGTTTTCTTCATATTATGCTAGACAGAAGAATTCTCAGTAACTTCCTTGTGTTGTGTGTATTCAACTGACAGAGTTGAACTTTCATTTAGAGAGAGCAGATTTGAAACACTGTTTTTGTGGTATTTGCAAGTGGAGATTTCAAGCGCTTTGGGGCCAAAGGCAGAAAAGGAAATATCTTCGTATAAAAACTAGACAGAATCATTCTCAGAAACTGCTGCGTGATGTGTGCGTTCAACTCTCAGAGTTTAACTTTTCTTTTCATTCAGCGGTTTGGAAACACTCTGTTTGTAAAGTCTGCACGTGGATATTTTGACCACTTAGAGGCCTTCGTTGGAAACGGGTTTTATGCATGTAAGCCTAGACAGAAGAATTCCCAGTAACTTCCTTGTGTTGTGTGCATTCAACTCACAGAGTTGAACGTTCCCTTAGACAGTGCAGATTTGAAACACTCTATTTGTGCAATTTGCAAGTGTAGATTTCAAGCGCTTTAAGGTCAATGGCAGAAAAGGAAATATCTTCGTTTCAAAACTAGACAGAATCATTCCCACAAACTGCGTTGTGATGTGTTCGTTCAACTCACAGAGTTTAACCTTTCTTTTCATAGAGCAGTTAGGAAACAGTCTGTCAATTCTGTAAGTGGATATTCTGACATCTTGTGGCCTTCGTTGGAAACGGGATTTCTTCATATTCTGCTAGACAGAAGAATTCTCAGTAACTTCCTTGTGTTGTGTGTATTCAACTCACAGATTTGAACGATCCTTTACACAGAGCGGAGTTGAAACACTCTTTTTGTGGAATTTGCAAGTGGAGATTTCAGCCGCGTTGAGGTCAATGGTAGAAAAGGAAATATCTTCGTATAAAAACTAGACAGAATGATTCTCAGAAACTTCTTTGTGATGTGTGCGTTCAACTCACAGAGTTTAACCTTTCTTTTCATAGAGCAGTTAGGAAACACTCTGTTTGTAAACTCTGCAAGTGGATATTCAGACCTCTTTGAGGCCTTGGTTGGAAACGGGATTTCTTCATACTATGCTAGACAGAAGATTTCTAAGTAACTTCCTTGTGTTGTGTGTATTCAACTGACAGAGTTTAACTTTCATTTAGAGAGAGCAGATTTGAAACACTGTTTTCGTGGAATTTGCAAGTGGAGATTTCAAGCGCTTTGGGGCCAAAGGCAGTAAAGGAAATATCTTCGTATAAAAACTAGACAGAATCATTCTCAGAAACTGCTCTGTGATGTGTGCGTTCAACTCTCAGAGTTTAACTTTTGTTTTCATTCAGCAGTTTGGAAACACTCTGTTTGTAAAGTCTGCACGTGGATATTTTGACCACTTAGAGGCCTTCGTTGGAAACTGGTTTTTTTCAAGTAAGGCTAGACAGAAGAATTCCCAGTAACTTCCTTGTGTTGTGTGCATTCAACTCAAAGAGTTGAACGTTCCCTTAGACAGAGCAGATTTGAAACACTCTATTTGTGCAATTTGCAAGTGTAGATTTCAAGCGCTTTAAGGTCAATGGCAGAAAAGGAAATATCTTCGTTTCAACACAAGACAGAATCATTCCCACAAACTGCGTTGTGATGTGTTCGTTCAACTCACAGAGTTTAACCTTTCTGTTCATAGAGCAGTTAGGAAACACTCTGTTTGTAAAGTCTGTAAGTGGATATTCTGACATCTTGTGGCCTTCGTTGGAAAAGGGATTTCTTCATATTCTGCTAGACAGAAGAATTCTCAGTAACTTCCTTGTGTTGTGTTTATTCAACTCACAGAGTTGAACGATCCTTTACACAGAGCAGACTTGAAACACTCTTTTTGTGGAATTTGCAAGTGGAGATTTCAGCCGCTTTGAGGTCAATGGTAGAAAAGTAAATATCTTCGTATAAAGACTAGACAGAACGATTCTCAGAAACTCCTTTGTGATGTGTGCGTTCAACTCACAGAGTTTAACCTTTCTTTTCATAGAGCAGTTAGGAAACACTCTGTTTGTAAAGTCTGTAAGTGGATATTCTGACATTTTCTGGCCTTCATTGGAAAAGGGATTTCTTCATATTCTGCTAGACAGAAGAATTCTCAGTAACTTCCTTGTGTTGTGTGTATTCAACTCACAGAGTTGAATGATCCTTTACAGAGATCAGACTTGAAACACTCTTTTTGTGGAATTTGCAAGTGGAGATTTCAGCCGCTTTGAGGTCAATGGTAGAATAGAAATATCTTCCTATAGAAACTAGACAGAATCATTCTCAGAAAGTGCTCTGCGATGTGTGCGTTCAACTCTCAGAGTTTAACTTTTCTTTTCATTCAGCAGTTTGGAAACACTCTGTTTGTAAAGTCTGCACGTGGATATTTTGACCACTTAGAGGCCTTCGTTGGAAACGGGTTTTTTTCCTGTAAGGCTAGACAGAAGACTTCCCAGTAACTTCCTTGCGTTGTGTACATTCAACTCACAGAGTTGAACGTTCCCTTAGACAGAGCAGATTTGAAACACTCTTTTTGTGCAATTGGCAAGTGGAGATTTCAAGCGCTTTGAGGTCAATGGCAGAAAAGGAAATATCTTCGTTTCAAAACTAGACAGAATCATTCCCACAAACTGCGTTGTAATGTGTGCGTTCAACTCACAGAGTTTAACCTTTCTTTTCATAGAGCAGTTAGGAAACACTCTGTTTGTGAAGTCTGCAAGTGGATATTCAGACCTCTTTGAGGCCTTCGTTGGAAACGGGATTTCTTCATATTCTGCTAGACAGAAGAATTCTCAGTAACTTCCTTGTGTTGTGTGTATTCAACTCACAGAGTTGAACGATCCTTTACACAGAGCAGACATGAAACACTCTTTTTGTGGAATTTGCAGGTGGAGATTTCAGCCGCTTTGAGGTCAATGGTAGAATAGGAAATATCTTCCTATAGAAACTAGACAGAATGATTCTCGGAAACTCCTTTGTGATGTGTGCGTTCAACTCACAGAGTTTAACCTTTCTTTTCATAGAGCAGTTAGGAAACACTCTGTTTGTAAAGTCTGCAAGTGGATATTCAGACCTCTTTGAGGCCTTCGTTGGAAACGGGTTTTTTTCATATAAGGCTAGACAGAAGAATTCTCAGTAACTTCCTTGTGTTGTGTGTATTCAACTGACAGAGTTGAACTTTCATTTAGAGAGAGCAGATTTGAAACACTCTTTTTGTGGAATTTGCAAGTGGAGATTTCAAGCGCTTTGGGGCCAAAGGCAGAAAACGAAATATCTTCGTATAAAAACTAGACAGAATCATTCTCAGAAACTGCTCTGCGATGTGTGCGTTCAACTCTCAGAGTTTAACTTTTCTTTTCATTCAGCAGTTTGGAAACACTCTGTTTGTAAAGTCTGCACGTGGATAATTTGACCACTTAGAGGCCTTCTTTGGAAACGGGTTTTTTTTCATATAAGGCTAGACAGAAGAATTCCCAGTAACTTCCTTGCGTTGTGTACATTCAACTCACAGAGTTGAACGTTCCCTTAGACAGAGCAGATTTGAAACACTCTTTTTGTGCAATTGGCAAGTGGAGATTTCAAGCGCTTTAAGGTCAATGGCAGAAAAGGAAATATCTTCGTTTCAAAACTAGACAGAATCATTCCCACAAACTGCGTTGTAATGTGTGCGTTCAACTCACAGAGTTTAACCTTTCTTTTCATAGAGCAGTTAGGAAACACTCTGTTTGTAAAGTCTGCAAGTGGATATTCAGACCTCTTTGAGGCCTTCGTTGGAAACGGGATTTCTTCGTATTCTGCTAGACAGAGGAATTCTCAGTAACTTCCTTGTGTTGTGTGTATTCAACTCACAGAGTTGAACGATCCTTTACACAGAGCAGACTTGAAACACTCTTTTTGTGGAATTTGCAAGTGGAGATTTCAGCCGCTTTGAGGTCAATGGTAGAATAGGAAATATCTTCCTATAGAAACTAGACGGAAATGATTCTCAGAAACTCCTTTGTGATGTGTGTGTTCAACTCACAGAGTTTAACCTTTCTTTTCATAGAGCCGTTAGGAATCACTCTGTTTGTAAAGTCTGCAAGTGGATATTCAGACCTCTTTGAGGCCTTCGTTGGAAACGGGTTTTTTTCATATAAGGCTAGACAGAAGAATTCTCAGTAACTTCCTTGTGTTGTGTGTGTTCAACTCACAGAGTTGAACTTTCATTTACACAGAGCAGATTTGAAACACTCTTTTTGTGGAATTTGCAAGTGGAGATTTCAAGCGCTTTGAGGCCAAAGGCAGAAAAGGAAATATCTTCGTATAAAAACTAGACAGAATCATTCTCAGAAACTGCTGCGTGATGTGTGAGTTCAACTCTCAGAGTTTAACTTTTCTTTTCATTCAGCGGTTTGGAAACAGTCTGTTTGTAAAGTCTGCACGTGGATATTTTGACCACTTAGAGGCCTTCGTTGGAAACGGGATTTTTTCATGTAAGGCTAGACAGAAGAATTCCCAGTAACTTCCTTGTGTTGTGTGCATTCAACTCACAGAGTTGAACGTTCCCTTAGACAGAGCAGATTTGAAACACTCTATTTGTGCAATTTGCAAGTGTAGATCTCAAGCGCTTTAAGGTCAATGGGAGAAAAGGAAATATCTTCGTTTCAAAACTAGACAGAATCATTCCCACAAACTGCGTTGTGATGTGTTCGTTCAACTCACAGAGTTTAAACTTTCTGTTCATAGAGCAGTTAGGAAACACTCTGTTTGTAAAGTCTGTAAGTGGATATTCTGACATCTTGTGGCCTTCGTTGGAAACGGGATTTCTTCATATTCTGCTGGACAGAAGAATTCTCAGTAACTTCCTTGTGTTGTGTGTATTCAACTCACAGAGTTGAACGATCCTTTACACAGAGCAGACTTGAAACACTCTTTTTGTGGAATTTGCAAGTGGAGATTTCAGCCGCTTTGAGTTCAATGGTAGAATAGGAAATATCTTCCTATAGAAAGTACACAGAATGATTCTCAGAAACTCCTTTGTGATGTGTGCATTCAACTCACAGAGTTTAACCTTTCTTTTCATAGAGCAGTTAGGAAACACTGTTTGTAAAGTCTGCAAGTGGATATTCAGACCTCCTTGAGGCCTTCGTTGGAAACGGGATTTCTTCATATTATGCTAGACAGAAGAATTCTCAGTAACTTCCTTGTGTTGTGTGTATTCAACTGACAGAGTTGAACTTTCATTTAGAGAGAGCAGATTTGAAACACTGTTTTTGTGGAATTTGCAAGTGGAGATTTCAAGCGCTTTGGGGCCAAAGGCAGAAAAGAAAATATCTTCGTATAAAAACTAGACAGAATCATTCTCAGAAACTGCTCTGCGATGTGTGCGTTCAACTCTCAGAGTTTAACTTTTCTTTTCATTCAGCAGTTTGGAAACACTCTGTTTGTAAAGTCTGCACGTGGATAATTTCACCACTTAGAGGTCTTCGTTGGAAACGGGTTTTTTTCATGTAAGGATAGACAGAAGAATTCTCAGTAACTTCCTTGTGTTGTGTGTATTCAACTCACAGAGTTGAACGATCCTTTACACAGAGCAGACTTGTAACACTCTTTTTGTGGAATTTGCAAGTGGAGATTTCAGCCGCTTTGAAGTCACAGGTAGAAAGGGAAATATCTTCCTATAAACACTAGACAGAGTGATTCTCAGAAACTTCTTTGTGATGTCTGCGTTCAACTGACAGAGTTTAACCTTTCTTTTCATAGAGCAGTTAGGAAACACTCTGTTTGAAAAGTCTGCAAGTGGATACTCAGACCTCCTTGAGGCCTTCGTTGGAAACGGGATTTCTTCATATTATGCTAGACAGAGGAATTCTCAGTAACTTCCTTGTGTTGTGTGTATTCAACTCACAGAGTTGAACGATCCTTTACACAGAGCAGACTTGAAACACTCTTTTTGTGGAATTTGCAAGTGGAGATTTCAGCCGCTTTGAGGTCAATGGTAGAATAGGAAATATCTTCCTACAGAAACTAGACAGAATGATTCTCAGAAACTCCTTTGCGATGTGTGCGTTCAACTCACAGAGTTTAACCTTTCTTTTCATAGAGCAGTTAGGAAACACTCTGTTTGTAAAGTCTGCAAGTGGATATTCAGACATCTTTGAGGCTTTCGTTGGAAACGGGATTTCTTCATATTCTGCTAGACAGAAGAATTCTCAGTAACTTCCTTGTGTTGTGTGTATTCAAGCTGACAGAGTTGAACTTTCATTTAGAGAGAGCAGATTTGAAACACTGTTTTTGTGGAATTTGCAAATGGAGATTTCAAGCGCTTTGGGACCAAAGGCAGAAAAGGAAATATCTTCGTATAAAAACTAGACAGAATCATTCTCAGAAACTGCTGCGTGATGTGTGCGTTCAACTCTCAGAGTTTAACTTTTCTTTTCATTCAGCGGTTTGGAAACACTCTGTTTGTAAAGTCTGCACGTGGAAATTTTGACCACTTAGAGGCCTTCGTTGGAAACGTGTTTTTTTCATGTAAGGCTAGACAGAAGAATTCCCAGTAACTTCCTTGTGTTGTGTGCATTCAACTCACAGAGTTGAACGTTCCCTTAGACAGAGCAGATTTGAAACACTCTATTTGTGCAATTTGCAAGTGTAGTTTTCAAGCTCTTTAAGGTCAACGGCAGAAAAGGAAATATCTTCGTTTCAAAACTAGACAGACTCATTCCCAAAAACTGCGTTGTGATGTGTTCGTTAAACTCACAGAGTTTAACCTTTCTGTTCATAGAGCAGTTAGGAAACACTCTGTTTGTAAAGTCTGTAAGTGGAAATTCTGACATCTTGTGGCCTTCGTTGGAAACGGGATTTCTTCATATTATGCTAGACAGAAGAATTCTCAGTAACTTCCTTGTGTTGTGTGTATTCAACTCACAGAGTTGAACGATCCTTTACACAGAGCAGACTTGAAACACTCTTTTTGTGGAATTTGCAAGTGGAGATTTCAGCTGCTTTGAGGTCAATGGTAGAATAGGAAATATCTTCCTATAGAAACTAGACAGAATGATTCTCATAAACTCCTTTGTGATGTGTGCGTTCAACTCACAGAGTTTAACCTTTCTTTTCATAGAGCAGTTAGGAAACACTCTGTTTGTAAAGTCTGCAAGTGGATATTCAGACATCCTTGAGGCTTTCGTTGGAAACGGGATTTCTTCATATTCTGCTAGAAAGAAGAATTCTCGGTAACTTCCTTGTGTTGTGTGTATTCAACTGACAGAGTTGAACTTTCATTTAGAGAGAGCAGATTTGAAACACTGTTTTTGCGGAATATGCAAGTGGAGATTTCAAGCGCTTTGGGGCCAAGGGCAGAAAAGGAAATATCTTCGTTTAAAAACTAGACAGAATCATTCTCAGAAACTGCTGCGTGATGTGTGCGTTCAACTCTCAGAGTTTAACTTTTCTTTTCATTCAGTGGTTTGGAAACACTCTGTTTGTAAAGTCTGCACGTGGATATTTTGACCACTTAGAGGCTTTCGTTGGAAACGGGTTTTTTTCATGTAAGGCTAGACAGAATAATTCCCAGTAACTTCTTTGTGTTGTGTACATTCAACTCACAGAGTTGAACGTTCCCTTAGACAGAGCAGATTTGAAACACTCTTTTTGTGGAATTGGCAAGTGGAGATTTCAAGCGCTTTAAGGTCAGTGGCAGAAAAGGAAATATCTTCGTTTCAAAACTAGACAGAATCATTCCCAAAAACTGCGTTGTGATGTGTTCCTTCATCTCAGAGAGTTTAACCTTTCTTTTCAGAGAGCAGTTAGGAAACAGTCTGTTTGTAAATTCTGTAAGTGGATATTCTGACATCTTGTGGCCTTCGTTGGAAACGGGATTTCTTCATATTCTGCTAGACAGAAGAATTCTCAGAATCTTCCTTGTGTTGTGTGTATTCAACTCACAGAGTTGAACGATGGTTTACTCAGAGCAGATTTGAAACACTCTTTTTGTGGAATTTGCAAGTGGAGATTTCAGCCGCTTTGAGGTCAATGGTAGAAAAGGAAATATCTTCGTATAAAAACTAGACAGAATGATTCTCAGAAACTCCTTTGTGATGTGTGCGTTCAACTCACAGAGTTTAACTTTTCTTTTCATAGAGCAGTTAGGAAACACTCTGTGTGTAAAGTCTGCAAGTGGATATTCAGACCTCTTTGAGGCCTTCGTTGGAAACGGGATTTCTCCATATTATGCTAGACAGAAGAATTCTCAGAATCTTCCTTGTGTTGTGTGTATTCAACGCACAGAGTTGAACGATCCTTTACACAGAGCAGACTTGAAACACTCTTTTTGTGGAATTTGCAAGTGGAGATTTCAGCCGCTTTGAGGTCCATGGTAGAAAAGGAAATATCTTCGTATAAAAACTAGACAGAATGATTCTCAGAAACTCCTTGGTGATGTGGGCGTTCAACTCACAGAGTTTAACCTTTCTTTTCATAGAGCCGTTAGGAAACACTCTGTTTGTAAAGTCTGCACGTGGATATTTGGACTTCTTTGAGGCCTTCGTTGGAAACGGGTTTTTTTCATGTAAGGCTAGACGGAAGAATTCTCAGTAACTTCCTTGTGTTGTGTGTATTCAACTGACAGAGTTGAACTTTCATTTAGAGAGAGCAGATTTGAAACACTGTTTTTGTGGAATTTGCAAGTGGAGATTTCAAGCGCTTTGGGGCCAAAGGCAGGAAAGGAAATATCTTCGTATAAAAACTAGACAGAATCATTCTCAGAATCTGCTGCGTGATGTGTGCGTTCAACTCTCAGAGTTTAACTTTTCTTTTCATTCAGCGGTTTGGAAACACTCTGTTTGTAAAGTCTGCACGTGGATATTTTGACCACTTAGAAGCCTTCTTTGGAAACGGTTTTTCTTCATGTAAGGCTAGACAGAAGAATTCCCAGTAACTTCCTTGTGTTGTGTGCATTCAACTCACAGAGTTGAACGTTCCCTTAGACAGAGCAGATTTGAAACACTCTATTTGTGTAATTTGCAAGTGTAGATTTCAAGCGCTTTAAGGTCAACGGCAGAAAAGGAAATATCTTCGTTTCAAAATTAGACAGGATCATTCCCACAAACTGCGTTGTGATGTGTTCGTTCAACTCACAGAGTTTAACCTTTCTTTTCATAGAGAAGTTAGGAAACACTCTGTTTGTAAAGTCTGCAAGTGGATATTCAGACTTCCTTGAGGCCTTCGTTGGAAACGGGATTTCTTCATATTCTGCTAGACAGAAGAATTCTCAGTAACTTCCTTGTGTTGTGTGTATTCAACTCACAGATTTGAATGATCCTTTACACAGAGCAGACTTGAAACACTCTTTTTGTGGAATTTGCAAGTGGAGATTTCAGCCGCTTTGAGTTCAATGGTAGAATAGGAAATATCTTCCTATAGAAACTAGACAGAATGATTCTCAGAAACTCCTTTGTGATGTGTGCGTTCAACTCACAGAGTTTAACCTTTCTTTTCATAGAGCAGTTAGGAAACACTCTGTTTGTAAAGTCAGCAACTGGATATTCAGACCTCCTTGTGGCCTTCTTTGGAAACGGGATTTCTTCATATTATGCTAGACAGAAGAATTCTCAGTAACTTCCTTGTGTTGTGTGTATTCAACTGACAGAGTTGAACTTTCATTTGGAGAGAGCAGATTTGAAACACTGTTTTTGTGGAATTTGCAAGTGGAGATTTCAAGCGCTTTGGGGCCAAAGGCAGAAAAGGAAATATCCTCGTATAAAAACAAGACAGAATCATTCTCAGAAACTGCTGCGTGATGTGTGCGTTCAACTCTCAGAGTTTAACTTTTCTTTTCATTCAGCGGTTTGGAAACACTCTGTTTGTAAAGTCTGCACGTGGATATTTTGACCACTTAGAGGTCTTCGTTGGAAACGGGTTTTTTTTAATGTAAGGCTAGACAGAAGAATTCCCAGTAACTTCCTTGTGTTGTGTGCATTCAACTCACAGAGTTGAACGTTCCCTTAGACAGAGCAGATTTGAAACACTCTATTTGTGCAATTTGCAAGTGTAGTTTTCAAGCTCTTTAAGGTCAACGGCAGAAAAGGAAATATCTTCGTTTCAAAACTAGACAGAATCATTCCCACAAACTGCGTTGTGATGTGTTCGTTCAACTCACAGAGTTTAACCTTTCTTTTCATAGAGCAGTTAGGAAACAGTCTGTTTGTCAATTCTGTAAGTGGATATTCTGACATCTTGTGGCCTTCGTTGGAAACAGGATTTCTTCATATTCTGCTAGACAGAAGAATTCTCAGTAACTTCCTTCTGTTGTGTGTATTCAACTCACAGAGTTGAACGATCCTTTACACAGAGCAGACTTGAACACAACTCTTTTTGTGGAATTTGCAAGTGGAGATTTCAGCCGCTTTGAGGTCAATAGTAGAAAAGGAAATATCTTCGTAGAAAAACTAGACAGAATGATTCTCAGAAACTTCTTTGTGATGTGTGCGTTCAACTCACAGAGTTTAACCTTTCTTTTCATAGAGCAGTTAGGAAACACTCTGTTTGTAAACTCTGCAAGTGGATGTTCAGACCTCTTTGAGGCCTTCGTTGGAAACGGGATTTCTTCATACTATGCTAGACAGAAGAATTCCCAGTAACTTCCTTGTGTTGTGTGTGTTCAACTCACAGAGTTGAACTTTCATTTACCCAGAGCAGATTCGAAACACTCTTTTTGTGGAATTTGCAAGTGGAGATTTCAAGCGCTTTGAGGCCAAAGGCAGAAAAGGAAATATCTTCGTTTCAAAACTAGACAGAATCATTCTCAGAAACTGCTCTGCGATGTGTGCGTTCAACTCTCAGATTTTAACTTTTCTTTTCATTCAGCAGTTTGGAATCACTCTGTTTGTAAAGTCTGCACGTGGATATTTTGACCACTTAGAGGCCTTCGTTGGAAACGGGTTTTTTTCCTGTAAGGCTAGACAGAAGAATTCCCAGTAACTTCCTTGCGTTGTGTACATTCAACTCACAGAGTTGAACGTTCCCTTAGACAGAGCAGATTTGAAACACTCTTTTTGTGCAATTGGCAAGTGGAGATTTCAAGCGCTTTAAGGTCAATGGCAGAAAAGGAAATATCTTCGTTTCAAAACTAGACAGAATCATTCCCACAAACTGCGTTGTGATGTGTTCGTTCATCTCACAGAGTTTAACCTTTCTTTTCATAGAGCAGTTAGGAAACACTCTGTTTGTAAATTCTGTAAGTGGATATTCTGACATCCTGGTGGCCTTCGTTGGAAACGGGATTTCTTCATATTCTGCTAGACAGAAGAATTCTCAGAAACTTCCTTGTGTTGTGTGTTTTCAACTCACAGAGTTGAACGATCCTTTACACAGAGCAGACTTGAAACACTCCTTTTGTGGAATTTGCAAGTGGAGATTTCAGCCGCTTTGAGGTCAATGGCAGAATAGGAAATATCTTCCTATAGAAACTAGACAGAATGATTCTCAGAAACTCCTTTGAGATGTGTGTGTTCAACTCACAGAGTTTAACCTTTCTTTTCATAGAGCAGTTAGGAAACACTCTGTTTGTAAAGTCTGCAGGTGGATATTCAGACCTCTTTGAGGCCTTCGTTGGAAACGGGTTTTTTTCATATAAGGCTAGACAGAAGAATTCCCAGTAACTTCCTTGTGTTGTGTGTGTTCAACTCACAGAGTTGAACTTTCATTTACAGAGAGCAGGTTTGAGACACACTTTTTGTGGAATTTGCTAATGGAGATTTCAAGCGCTTTGAGGCCAAAGGCAGAAAAGGAAATATCTTCGTATAAAAACTAGACAGAATCATTCTCAGAAACTGCTGCGTGATGTGTGCGTTCAACTCTCAGAGTTTAACTTTTCTTTTCATTCAGCGGTTTGGAAACACTCTGTTTGTAAAGTCTGCACGTGGATATTTTGACCACTTAGAGGCCTTCGTTGGAAACGGGTTTTTTTCATGTAAGGCTAGTCAGAAGAATTCTCAGTAACTGCCTTGTGTTGTGTTTATTCAACTCACAGAGTTAAACGATCCTTTACACAGAGCAGACTTGAAATACTCTTTTTGTGGAATTTGCAAGTGGAGATTTCAGCCGCTTTGAGGTCAATGGTAGAATAGGAAATATCTTCCTATAGAAACTAGACAGAATGATTCTCAGAAACTCCTTTGTGATGCGTGCGTTCAACTCACAGAGTTTAACCTTTCTTTTCATAGAGCAGTTAGGAAACACTCTGTTTGTAAAGTCTGCAAGTGGATATTCAGACATCCTTGAGGCTTTCGTTGGAAACGGGATTTCTTCGTATTCTGCTAGAAAGAAGAATTCTCAGTAACTTCCTTGTGTTGTGTGTATTCAACTCACAGAGTTGAACGATCCTTTACACAGAGCAGACTTGAAACACTCTTTTTGTGGAATTTGCAAGTGGAGATTTCAGCCGATTTGAGGTCAATGGTAGAAAAGGAAATATCTTCGTATAAAGACTAGACAGAATGATTCTCAGAAACTCCTTTGTGATGTGTGCGTTCAACTCACAGAGTTTAACCTTTCTTTTCATAGAGCAGTTAGGAAACACTCTGTTTGTAAAGTCTGCAAGTGGATATTCAGACCTCCTTAAGGCCTTCGTTGGAAACGGGATTTCTTCATATTATGCTAGACAGAAGAATTCTCAGTAACTTCCTTGTGTTGTGTGTATTCAACTCACAGAGTTCAACGATCCTTTACACAGAGCAGACTTGAAACACTCTTTTTGTGGAATTTGCAAGTGGAGATTTCAGCCGCTTTGAGGTCAATGGTAGAATAGGAAATATCTTCCCATAGAAACTAGACAGAATGATTCTCACAAACTCCTTTGTGATGTGTGCGTTCAACTCACAGAGTTAAACCTTTCTTTTCATAGAGCAGTTAGGAAACACTCTGTTTGTAAAGTCTGCAAGTGGATATTCAGACCTCCTTGAGGCCTTCTTTGGAAAGGGGATTTCTTCATATTATGCTAGACAGAAGAATTCTCAGAAACTTCCTTGTGTTGTGTGTATTCAACTCTCAGAGTTGAACGACCCTTTACACAGAGCAGACTTGAAACACTCTTTTTGCGGAATTTGCAAGTGGAGGTTTCAGCCGCTTTGAGGTCAATGGTAGAAAAAGAAATATCTTCGTATGAAAACTAGACAGAATGATTGTCAGAAACTCCTTTGTTATGTGGGCATTTAACTCACAGAGTTTAACCGTTCTTTTCATAGAGCAGTTAGGAAACACTCTGTTTGTAACGTCTGCAAGTGGATATTCAGACATATTTGAGGCCTTCTTTGGAAACGGGATTTCTTCATATTATGCTACACAGAAGAATTCTCAGTAACTTCCTTGTGTTGTGTGTATTCAACTCACAGAGTTGAAGGATCCTTTACACAGAGCAGTCTTGAAATACTCTTTTTGTGGAATTTACACGTGGAGATTTCTGCCGCTTTGATGTCAATGGTAGAATAGGAAATATCTTCGTATAGAAACTAGACAGAATGATTCTCAGAAACTCCTTTGTGATGTGTGCGTTCAACTCACAGTGTTTAACCTTTCTTTTCATAGAGCAGTTAGGAAACACTCTGTTTGTAAAGTCTGAAAGTGGATATTCAGACCTCTTTGAGGCCTTCGTTGGAAACGGGTTTTTTTCATATAAGGCTAGACAGAAGAATTCTCAGTAACTTCCTTGTGTTGTGTGTATTCAAATGACAGAGTTGAACTTTCATTTAGAGAGAGCAGATTTGAAACACTGTTTTTGTGGAATTTGCAAGTGGAGATTTCAAGCGCTTTGGGGCCAAAGGCAGAAAAGGAAATATCTTCGTATAAAAACTAGACAGAATCATTCTCAGAAACTCCTGCGTGATGTGTGCGTCCAACTCTCAGAGTTTAACTTTTCTTTTCATTCAGCGGTTTGGAAACACTCTGTTTGTAAAGTCTGCACGTGGATATTTTGACCACTTAGAGGCCTTCGTTGGAAACGGGTTTTTTTCATGTAAGGCTAGACAGAAGAATTCCCAGTAACTTCCCTTGTGTTGGGTGCATTAAACTCACAGAGTTGAACGTTCCCTTAGACAGAGCAGATTTGAAACACTCTATTTGTGCAATTTGCAAGTGTAGATTTCAAGCGCTTTAAGGTCAATGGCAGAAAAGGAAATATCTTCGTTTCAAAACTAGACAGAATCATTCCCACAAACTGCGTTGTGATGTGTTCGTTCAACTCACACAGTTTAACCTTTCTGTTCATAGAGCAGTTAGGAAACACTCTGTTTGTAAAGTCTGTAAGTGGATATTCTGACATCTTGTGGCCTTCGTTGGAAACGGGATTTCTTCATATTCTGCTAGACAGAACAATTCTCAGTAACTTCCTTGTGTTGTGTGTATTCAACTTACAGAGTTGAACGATTCTTTACACAGAGCAGACTTGAAACACTCTTTTTGTGGAATTTGCAAGTGGAGATTTCAGCCGCTTTGAGGTCAATGGTAGAAAAGGAAATATCTTCGTATAAAGACTAGACAGAATGATTCTCAGAAACTCCTTTGTGATGTGTGCGTTCAACTCACAGAGTTTAACCTTTCTTTTCATAGAGCAGTTGGGAAACACTCTGTTTGTAAAGTCTGCAAGTGGATATTCAGACCTCCTTGAGGCCTTCGTTGGAAATGGGATTTCTTCATATTATGCTAGACAGAAGAATTCTCAGTAACTTCCTTGTGTTGTGTGTATTCAACTGACAGAGTTGAACTTTCATTTAGAGAGAGCAGATTTGAAACACTGTTTTTGTGGAATTTGCAAGTGGAGATTTCAAGAGCTTTGGGGCCAAAGGCAGAAAAGGAAATGTCTTCGTATAAAAACTAGACAGAATCATTCTCAGAAACTGCTCTGCGATGTGTGCGTTCAACTCTCAGAGTTTAAATTTTCTTTTCATTCAGCAGTTTGGAAACACTCTGTTTGTAAAGTCTGCACGTGGATATTTTGACCACTTAGAGGCCTTCGTTGGAAACGGGTTTTTTTCCTGTAAGGCTAGACAGAAGAATTCCCAGTAACTTCCTTGTGTTTTGTACATTCAACCCACAGAGTTGAACGTTTCCTTAGACAGAGCAGATTTGAAACACTTTTTGTGCAATTGGCAAGTGGTGATTTCAGCCGCTTTGAGGTCAAAGGTAGAAAAGGAAATATCTTCCTATAAAAACTAGACAGAATCATTCCCACAAACTGCGTTGTGATGTGTTCGTTCAACTCACAGAGTTTAACCTTTCTTTTCATAGAGCAGTTAGGAAACACTCTGTTTGTAAACTCTGCAAGTGGATATTCAGACCTCTTTGAGGCCTTCGTTGGAAACGGGATTTCTCCATACTGTGCTAGACAGAAGAATTCTCAGTAACTTCCTTGTGTTGTGTGTATTCAACTCACAGAGTTGAACGATCCTTTACACAGAGCAGACTTGTAACACTCTTTTTGTGGAATTTGCAAGTGGAGATTTCAGCCGCTTTGAAGTCAAAGGTAGAAAAGGAAATATCTTCCTATAAAACCTAGACAGAATGATTCTCATAAACTCCTTTGTGATGTGTGCATTCAACTCACAGAGTTTCACCTTTCTTTTCATAGAGCAGTTAGGAAACACTCTGTTTGTAAAGTCTGCAAGTGGATATTCAGACCTCCTTGAGGCCTTCGTTGGAAACGGGATTTCTTCTTATTCTGCTAGACAGAAGAATTCCCCAGTAACTTCCTTGTGTTGTGTGTGTTCAACTCACAGAGTTGAACTTTCATTTACACAGAGCAGATTTGAAACACTCTTTTTGTGGAATTTGCAGGTGGAGATTTCAAGCGCTTTGAGGCCAAAGGCAGAAAAGGAAATATCTTCGTATAAAAACTAGACAGAATCATTCTCAGAAACTGCTGCGTGATGTGTGCGTTCAACTCTCAGAGTTTAACTTTTCTTTTCATTCAGCGGTTTGGAAACACTCTGTTTGTAAAGTGTGCACGTGGAAATTTTGACCACTTAGAGGCCTTCGTTGGAAACGGGTTTTTTTCATGTAAGGCTAGACAGAAGAATTCCCAGTAACTTCCCTTGTGTTGTGTACATTCAACTCACAGAGTTGAACGTTCCCTTAGACAGAGCAGATTTGAAACACTCTTTTTGTGCAATTGGCAAGTGGAGATTTCAAGCGCTTTGAGGTCAATGGCAGAAAAGGAAATATCTTCGTTTCAAAACTAGACAGAATCATTCCCACAAACTGCGTTGTGATGTGTTCGTTCAACTCACAGAGTTTAACTTTTCTGTTCATAGAGCAGTTAGAAAACACTCTGTTTGTAAAGTCTGCAAGTGGATATTCAGACCTCCTTGAGGCCTTCGTTGGAAACGGGATTTCTTCATATTCTGCTAGACAGAAGAATTCTCAGTAACTTCCTTGTGTGGTGTGTATTCAACTCACAGAGTTGAACGATCCTTTACAGAGAGCAGACTTGAAACACTCTTTTTGTGAAATTTGCAAGTGGAGATTTCAGCCGCTTTGAGGTCAATGGTAGAATAGGAAATATCTTCCTATAGAAACTAGACAGAATGATTCTCAGAAACTCCTTTGTGATGTGTGTGTTCAACTCACAGAGTTTAACCTTTCTTTTCATAGAACAGTTCGTAAACACTCTGTTTATAAAGTCTGCAAGTGGATATTCAGACCCCTTTGAGGCCTTCGTTGGAAACGGGATTTCTTCATATTATGCTAGACAGAAGAATTCTCAGTAACTTTCCTTGTGTTGTGTGTATTCAACTGACAGAGTTGAACTTTCATTTAGAGAGAGCAGATTTGAAACACTGTTTTTGTGGAATTTGCAAGTGGAGATTTCAAGCGCTTTGGGGCCAAGGGCAGAAAAGGAAATATCTTCGTATAAAAACTAGACAGAATCATTCTCAGAAACTGCTCTGCGATTTGTGCGTTCAACTCTCAGAGTTTAACTTTCCTTTTCATTCAGCAGTTTGGAAACACTCTGTTTGTAAAGTCTGCACGTGGATAATTTGACCACTTAGAGGCCTTCGTTGGAAACGGGTTTTTTTCATGTAAGGCTAGACAGAAGAATTCTCAGTAACTTCTTTGTGTTGTGTGTATTCAACTCACAGAGTTGAACGATCCTTTACACAGAGCAGACTTGTAACACTCTTTTTGTGGAATTTGCAAGTGGAGATTTCAGCCGCTTTGAAGTCAAAAGTAGAAAAGGAAATATCTTCCTATAAAAACTAGACAGAATCATTCCCACAAACTGCGTTGTGATGTGTTCGTTCAACTCACAGAGTTTAACTTTTCTGTTCATAGAGCAGTTAGAAAACACTCTGTTTGTAAAGTCTGCAAGTGGATATTCAGACCTCCTTGAGGCCTTCGTTGGAAACGGGATTTCTTCATATTCTGCTAGACAGAAGAATTCTCAGTAACTTCCTTGTGTTGTGTGTATTCAACTCACAGAGTTGAACGATCCTTTACACAGAGCAGACTTGAAACACTCTTTTTGTGGAATTTGCAAGTGGAGATTTCAGCCGCTTTGAGGTCAATAGTAGAAAAGGAAACATCTTCGTAGAAAAACTAGACAGAATGATTCTGAGAAATCCTTTGTGATGTGTGCGTTCAACTCACAGAGTTTAACCTTTCTTTTCATAGAGCAGTTAGGAAACACTCTGTTTTTAAAGTCTTCAAGTGGATATTCAGACCTCCTTGAGGCCTTCGTTGGAAACGGGATTTCTTCATATTATGCTAGACAGAAGAATTCCCAGTAACTTCCTTGTGTTGTGTGTGTTCAACTCACAGAGTTGAACTTTCATTTACACAGAGCAGATTTGAAACACTCTTTTTGTGGAATTTGCAAGTGGAGATTTCAAGCGCTTTGAGGCTAAAGGCAGAAAAGGAAATATCTTCGTATAAAAACTAGGCAGAATCATTCTCAGAAACTGCTCTGCGATGTGTGCGTTCAACTCTCAGAGTTTAACTTTTCTTTTCATTCAGCAATTTGGAAACACTCTGTTTGTAAAGTCTGCACGTGGATATTTTGACCACTTAGAGGCCTTCGTTGGAAACGGGTTTCTTTCCTGTAAGGCTAGACAGAAGAATTCCCAGTAACTTCCTTGCGTTGTGTACATTCAACTCACAGAGTTGAACGTTCCCTTAGACAGAGCAGATTTGAAACACTCTTTTTGTGCAATTGGCAAGTGGAGATTTCAAGCGCTTTAAGGTCAATGGCAGAAAAGGAAATATCTTCGTTTCAAAACTAGACAGAATGATTCTCAGAAACTCCTTTGTGATGTGTGCGTTCAACTCACGGAGTTTAACCTTTCTTTTCATAGAGCAGTTAGGAAACACTCTGTTTGTAAAGTCTGGAAGTGGATATTCAGACATCTTTGAGGCTTTCGTTGGAAACGGGATTTCTTCATATTCTGCTATACAGAAGAATTGTCAGAAACTTCCTTGTGTTGTGTGTCTTCAACTCACAGAGTTGAACGATGCTTTACACAGAGTAGACTTGAAACACTCTTTTTCTGGAATTTGCAAGTGGAGATTTCAGCCGCTTTGAGGTCAATGGTAGAAAAGGAAATATCTTCGTATAAAAACTAGACAGAATGTTTCTCAGAAACTCCTTTGTGATGTGGGCGTTGAACTCACAGAGTTTAACCTTTCTTTTCATAGAGCAGTTAGGAAACACTCTGTTTGTAACGTCTGCAGGTGGATATTTGGACTTCTTTGAGGTCTTCGTTGGAAACGGGTTTTTTTCATGTAAGGCTAGACAGAAGAATTCCCAGTAACTTCCCTTGTGTTGTGTGTGTTCAACTCACAGAGTTGAACTTTCATTTACACAGAGCAGATTTGAAACACTCTTTTTGTGGAATTTGCAAGTGGAGATTTCAAGCGCTTTGAGGCCAAAGGCAGAAAAGGAAATATCTTCGTATAAAAACTAGACAGAATCATTCTCAGAAACTCCTTTGTGATGTGTGCGTTCAACTCTCAGAGTTTAACTTTTCTTTTCATTCAGCGGTTTGGAAACACTCTGTTTGTAAAGTCTGCACGTGGATATTTTGACCACTTAGAGGCCTTCGTTGGAAACGGGTTTTTTTCATGTAAGGCTAGACAGAAGAATTCTCAGTAACTTTCCTTGTGTTGTGTGTATTCAACTCACAGAGTTGAACGATCCTTTACACAGAGCAGACTTGTAACACTCTTTTTGTGGAATTTGCAAGTGGAGATTTCAGCCGCTTTGAAGTCAAAGGTAGAAAAGGAAATATCTCCCTATAAAAACTAGACAGAATGATTCTCAGAAACTTCTTGGTGATGTGTGCGTTCAACTCACAGAGTTTAACCTTTCTTTTCATAGAGCAGTTAGGAAACACTCTGTTTGTAAACTCTGCAAGTGGATATTCAGACCTCCTTGAGGCCTTCGTTGGAAACGGGATTTCTTCATACTGTGCTAGACAGAAGAATTCTCAGTAACTTCCTTGTGTTGTGTGTATTCAACTCACAGAGTTGAATGATCCTTTACACAGAGCAGACTTGAAACACTCTTTTTGTGGAATTTGCAAGTGGAGATTTCAGCCGCGTTGAGGTCAATGGTAGAAGAGGAAATATCTTCGTATAAAAACTAGACAGAATGATTCTCAGAAACTCCTTTGTGATGTGTGCGTTCAACTCACAGAGTTTAACTTTTCTTTTCATAGAGCAGTTAGGAAACATTCTGTTTGTAAAGTCTGCAAGTGGATATTCAGACCTCTTTGAGGCCTTCTTTGGAAACGGGATTTCTTCATATTATGCTAGACAGAAGAATTCTCAGTAACTTCCTTGTGTTGTGTGTATTCAACTGACAGAGTTGAACTTTCATTTAGAGAGAGCAGATTTGAAACACTGTTTTTGTGGAATTTGCAAGTGGAGATTTCAAGGGCTTTGGGGCCAAGGGCAGAAAAGGAAATATCTTCGTATAAAAACTAGACAGAATCATTCTCAGAAACTGATGCGTGATGTGTGCGTTCAACTCTCAGAGTTTAACTTTTCTTTTCATTCAGCGGTTTGGAAACACTCTGTCTGTAAAGTCTGCACGTGGATATTTTGACCACTTAGAGGCCTTCGTTGGAAACGGGTTTTTTTCATGTAAGGCTAGACAGAAGAATTCCCAGTAACTTCCTTGTGTTGTGTACATTCAACTCACAGAGTTGAACTTTCCCTTAGACAGAGCAGACTTGTAACACTCTTTTTGTGGAATTTGCAAGTGGAGATTTCAGCCGCTTTGAAGTCAAAGGTAGAAAAGGAAATATCTTCCTATAAAAACTAGACAGAATGATTCTCAGAAACTCCTTTGTGATGTGTGCGTTCAACTCACAGAGTTTAACCTTTCTTTTCATAGAGCAGTTAGGAAACACTCTGTTTGTAAAGTCTGCAAGGGGATAATCAGACCTCTTTGAGGCCTTCGTTGGAAACGGGATTTCTTCGTATTCTGCTAGACAGAAGAATTCTCAGTAACTTCCTCGTGTTGTGTGTATTCAACTCACAGACTTGAACGATCCTTTACACAGAGCAGACTTGAAACACTCTTTTTGTGGAATTTGCAAATGGAGATTTCAGCCGCTTTAAGATCAATGGTTGAAAAGGAAATATCTTCATATAAAAATTAGACAGAATGATTCTCAGAAACTCCTTTGTGATGTGTGTGTTCAACTCACAGAGTTTCACCTTTCTTTTCATAGAGCAGTTAGGAAACACTCTGTTTGTAAAGTCTGCAAGTGGACATTCAGACCTCCTTGAGGCCTTCGTTGGAAACGGGATTTCTTCATATTCTGCTAGACAGAAGAATTCTCAATAACTTCCTTGTGTTGTGTGTATTCAACTCACAGAGTTGAACGATCCTTTACACAGAGCAGACTTGAAACACTCTTTTTGTGGAATTTGCAAGTGGAGATTTCAGCCGCTTTGAGTTCAATGGTAGAATAGGAAATATCTTCCTATAGAAACTAGACAGAATGATTCTCAGAAACTTCTTTGTGATGTGTGCGTTCAACTCACAGAGTTAAAACTTTCTTTTCATAGAGCAGTTAGGAAACACTCTGTTTGTAAAGACTGCACGTGGATATTCAGACCTCTTTGAGGCCTTCGTTGGAAACGGGTTTTTTTCCTGTAAGGCTAGACAGAAGAATTCTCAGTAACTTCCTTGTGTTGTGTGTATTCAACTGACAGAGTTGAACTTTCATTTAGAGAGAGCAGATTTGAAACACTGTTTTTGTGGAATTTGCACTTGGAGATTTCATGCGCTTTGGGGCCAATGGCAGAAAAGGAAATATCTTCGTATAAAAACTAGACAGAATCATTCTCAGAAACTGCTGCGTGATGTGTGCGTTCAACTCTCAGAGTTTAACTTTTCTTTTCATTCAGCGGTTTGGAAACACTCTGTTTGTAAAGTCTGCACGTGGATATTTTGACCACTTAGAGGCCTTCGTTGGAAACGGGTTTTTTTCATGTAAGGGTAGACAGAAGAATTCCCAGTAACTTCCTTTTGTTGTGTGCATTCAACTCACAGAGATGAACGTTCGCTTAGACAGAGCAGATTTGAAACACTCTATTTGTGCAATTTGCAAGTGTAGATTTCAAGCGCTTTAAGGTCAATGGCAGAAAAGGAAATATCTTCGTTTCAAAACTAGACAGAATCATTCCCACAAACTGCGTTGTGATGTGTTCGTTCAACTCACAGGGTTTAACCTTTCTGTTCATAGAGCAGTTAGGAAACACTCTGTTTGTAAAGTCTGTAAGTGGATATTCTGACATCTTGTGGCCTTCGTTGGAAACGGGATTTCTTCATATTCTGCTAGACAGAAGAATTCTCAGTAACTTCCTTGTGTTGTGTGTATTCAACTCACAGAGTTCAATGATCATTTACACAGAGCAGACTTGAAACACTCTTTTTGTGGAATTTGCAAGGGGAGATTTCAGCCGCTTTGAGGTCAATGGTAGAAAAGGAAATATCTTCGTATAAAAACTAGACAGAATGATTCTCAGAAAATCTTTTGTGATGTGTGCGTTCAACTCACAGAGTTTAACTTTTCTTCTTATAGAGCAGTTAGGAAACACTCTGTTTGTAAAGTCTGCAAGTGGATATTCAGACCTCTTTGAGGCCTTCGTTGGAAACGGGATTTCTTCATATTATGCTAGACAGAATAATTCTCAGTAACTTCCTTGTGTTGTGTGTATTCAACTCACAGAGTTGAAGGATCCTTTACAGAGAGCAGGCTTGAAACACTCTTTTTGTCGAATTTGCAAGTGGAGATTTCTGCCGCTTTGAGGTCAATGGTAGAATAGGAAATATCTTCTTATAGAAACTAGACAGAATCATTCTCAGAAACTGCTCTGCGATGTGTGCGTTCAACTCTCAGAGTTTAACTTTTCTTTTCATTCAGCAGTTTGGAAACACTCTGTTTGTAAAGTCTGCACGTGGATATTTTGACCACTTAGAGGCCTTCGTTGCAAACGTGTTTTTTTCCTGTAAGGCTAGACAGAAGAATTCCCAGTAACTTCCTTGTGTTGTGTACATTCAACTCACAGAGTTGAACGTTCCCTTAGACAGAGCAGATTTGAAACACTCTTTTTGTGCAATTGGCAAGTGGAGATTTCAAGCGCTTTAAGGTCAAAGGCAGAAAAGGAAATATCTTCGTTTCAAAACTAGACAGAATGATTCTCAGAAACTCCTTTGTGATGTGTGCGTTCAACTCACACAGTTTAACCTTTCTTTTCATAGAGCAGTTAGGAAACACTGTTTGTAAAGTCTGCAAGTGGATATTCAGACCTCCTTGAGGCCTTCGTTGGAAACGGGATTTCTTCATATTCTGCTAGACAGAAGAATTCTCAGTAACTTCCTTGTGTTCTGTGTATTCAACTCACAGAGTTGAACGATCCTTTACACAGAGCAGACTTGAAACAGTCTTTTTGTGGAATTTGCAAGTGGAGACTTCAGCCGCTTTGAGGTCAATGGTAGAATAGGTAATATCTTCCTATAGAAACTAGACAGAATGATTCTCAGAAACTCCTTTGTGATGTGTGCGTTCAACTCACAGAGTTTAACTTTTCTTTTCATAGAGCAGTTAGGAAACACTCTGTTTGTAAAGTCTGCAAGTGGATATTCAGACCTCTTTGAGGCCTTCGTTGGAAACGGGATTTCTTCATATTCTGCTAGACAGAATAATTCTCAGTAACTTCCTTGTGTTGTGTGTATTCAACTCACAGAGTTGAACGATCCTTTACACAGAGCAGACTTGAAACATTCTTTTTGTGGAATTTGCAAGTGGAGATTTCTGCCGCTTTGAGGTCAATGGTAGAATAGGAAATATCTTCCTATAGAAACTAGACAGAATGATTCTCAGAAACTCCTTTGTGATGTGTGCGTTCAACTCACAGAGTTTAACCTTTCTTTTCATTCACCAGTTTGGGAAACACTCTGTTTGTAAAGTCTGCACGTGGATATTTTGACCACTTAGAGGCCTTCGTTGGAAACGGGTTTTTTTCCTGTAAGGCTAGACAGAAGAATTCCCAGTAACTTCCTTGTGTTGTGTGCATTCAACTCACAGAGTTGAACGTTCCCTTAGACAGAGCAGATTTGAAACACTCTATTTGTGTAATTTGCAAGTGTAGATTTCAAGCGCTTTAAGGTCAACGGCAGAAAAGGATATATCTTCGTTTCAAAACTAGACAGAATCATTCCCACAAACTCGTTGTGATGTGTTCGTTCAACTCACAGAGTTTAACCTTTCTGTTCATAGAGCAGTTAGGAAACACTCTGTTTGTAAAGTCTGCAAGTGGATATTCAGACCTCCTTGAGGCCTTCGTTGGAAACGGGATTTCTTCATATTCTGCTAGACAGAAGAATTCTCAGAAACTTCCTTGTGTTGTGTGTATTCAACTCACAGATGTGAACGATCGTTTACACAGAGCAGACTTGAGACACTCTTTTTGTGGAATTTGTAAGTGGAGATTTCAGCCGCTTTGAGGTCAATGGTAGAAAAGGAAATATCTTCATATAAAAACTAGACAGAACGATTCTCAGAAACTCCTTTGTGATGTGTGCGTTCAACTCACAGAGTTTAACCTTTCTGTTCATAGAGCAGTTAGGAAACACTCTGTTTGTAAAGTCTGCAAGTGGATATTCAGACCTCCTTGAGGCCTTCGTTGGAAACGGGATTTCTTCATATTCTGCTAGACAGAAGAATTCCCACTAACTTCCTTGTGTTGTGTGTGTTCAACTCACAGAGTTGAACTTTCATTTACACAGAGCAGATTTGAAACACTCATTTTGTGGAATTTGCAAGTGGAGATTTCAAGCGCTTTGAGGCCAAAGGCAGAAAAGGAAATATCTTCGTATAAAAACTAGACAGAATCATTCTCAGAAACTGCTCTGCGATGTGTGCGTTCAACTCTCAGAGTTTAACTTTTCTTTTCATTCAGCAGTTTGGAAACACTCTGTTTGTGAAGTCTGCACGTGGATATTTTGACCACTTAGAGGCCTTCGTTGGAAACGGGTTTTTTTCCTGTAACGCTAGACAGAAGAATTCCCAGTAACTTCCTTGTGTTGTGTGCATTCAACTCACAGAGTTGAACGTTCCCTTAGACAGAGCAGATTTGAAACACTCTATTTGTCCAATTTGCAAGTGTAGATTTCAAGCGCTTTAAGGTCAACGGCAGAAAAGGAAATATCTTCGTTTCAAAACTAGACAGAATGATTCTCAGAAACTTCATTGTGATGTGTGTGTGCAACTCACAGAGTTTAACCTTTCTTTTCATAGAGCAGTTGGGAAACAGTCTGTTTGTAAATTCTGTAAGTGGATATTCTGACATCTTGTGGCCTTCGTTGGAAACGGGATTTCTTCATATTCTGCTAGACAGAAGAATTCTCAGTAACCTCCTTGTGTTGTGTGTATTCAACTCACAGAGTTGAACGATCCTTTACACAGAGCAGACTTGAAACACTCTTTTCGTGGAATTTGCAAGTGGAGATTTCAGCCGCTTTGAGATCAATGGTAGAAAAGGAAATATCTTCGTATAAAAACTAGACAGAATGATTCTCATAAACTCATTTGTGATGGGTGCGTTCAACTCACAAAGTTTAACTTTTCTTTTCATAGAGCAGTTAGGAAACACTCTGTTTGTAAAGTCTGCAAGTGGATATTCAGACCTCTTTGAGGCCTTCGTTGGAAACGGGATTTCTTCATATTATGCTAGACAGAATAATTCTCAGTAACTTCCTTGTGTTGTGTGTATTCAACTCACAGAGTTGAACGATCCTTTACACAGAGCAGACTTGAAACATTCTTTTTGTGGAATTTGCAACTGGAGATTTCAGCCGCTTTGAGGTCAATGGTAGAATAGGAAATATCTTCCTACAGAAACTAGACAGAATCATTCTCAGAAACTGCTGCGTGATGTGTGCGTTCAACTCTCAGAGTTTAACTTTTCTTTTCATTCAGCGGATTGGAAACACTCTGTTTGTAAAGTCTGCACGTGGATATTTTGACCACTTAGAGGCCTTCGTTGGAAACGGGTTTTTTTCATGTAAGGCTAGACAGAAGCATTCCCAGTAACTTCCTTGTGTTGTGTGCATTCAACTCACAGAGATGAACGTTCCCTTAGACAGAGCAGATTTGAAACACTCTATTTGTGCAATTTGCAAGTGTAGATTTCAAGCGCTTTAAGGTCAACGGCAGAAAAGGAAATATCTTCGTTTCAAAACTAGACAGAATCATTCCCACAAACTGCGTTGTGATGTGTTCGTTCAACTCACAGAGTTTAACCTTTCTGTTCATAGAGCAGTTAGGAAACACTCTGTTTGTAAAGTCTGTAAGTGGATATTCGGACATCTTGTGGCCTTCGTTGGAAACGGGATTTCTTCATATTCTGCTAGACAGAAGAATTCTCAGTAACTTCCTTGTGTTGTGTGTATTCAACTCACAGAGTTGAACGATCCTTTACACAGAGCAGACTTGAAACATTCTTTTTGTGGAATTTGCAAGTGGAGATTTCAGCCGCTTTGAGGTCAATAGTAGAAAAGGAAATATCTTCGTAGAAAAACTAGGCAGAATGATTCTCAGAAACTCCTTTGTGATGTGTGCGTTCAACTCACAGAGTTTAACCTTTCTTTTCATAGAGCAGTTAGGAAACACTCTGTTTGTAAAGTCTGGAAGTGGATATTCAGACCTCCTTGAGGCCTTCGTTGGAAACGGGATTTCTTCATATTATGCTAGACAGAAGAATTCTCAGTAACTTCCTTGTGTTGTGTGTATTCAACTCACAGAGTTGAACTTTCATTTAGAGAGAGCAGATTTGAAACACTGTTTTTGTGGAATTTGCAAGTGGAGATTTCAAGCGCTTTGGGGCCAAAGGCAGAAAAGGAAATATCTTCGTATAAAAACTAGACAGAATCATTCTCAGAAACTGCTGCGTGATGTGTGCGTTCAACTCTCAGAGTTTAACTTTTCTTTTCATTCAGCGGTTTGGAAACACTCTCTTTGTAAAGTCTGCACGTGGAAATTTTGACCACTTAGAGGCCTTCGTTGGAAACGGGTTTTTTTCATGTAAGGCTAGACAGAAGAATTCCCAGTAACTTCCTTGTGTTGTGTACATTCAACTCACAGAGTTGAACGTTCCCTTAGACCGAGCAGATTTGAAACACTCTTTTTGTGCAATTGGCAAGTGGAGATTTCAACCGCTTTAAGGTCAATGGCAGAAAAGGAAATATCTTCGTTTCAAAACTAGACAGAATCATTCCCACAAACTGCGTTGTGATGTGTTCGTTCATCTCACAGAGTTTAACCTATCTTTTCATAGAGCAGTTAGGAAACACTCTGTTTGTAAATTCTGTAAGTGGATATTCTGACATCTTGTGGCCTTCGTTGGAAACGGGATTTCTTCATATTCTGCTAGACAGAGGAATTCTCAGTAACTTCCTTGTGTTGTGTGTATTCAACTCACAGAGTTGAACGATCCTTTAAACAGAGCAGACTTGAAACACTCTTTTTGTGGAATTTGCAAGTGGAGATTTCAGCCGCTTTGAGTTCAATGGTAGAATAGGAAATATCTTCCTATAGAAACTACACAGAATGATTCTCAGAAAATCCTGTGTGATGTGTGCGTTCAACTCACAGAGTTTAACTTTTCTTTTCATAGAGCAGTTAGGAAACACTCTGTTTGTAAAGTCTGCAAGTGGATATTCAGACGTCTTTGAGGCCTTCGTTGGAAACGGGATTTCTTCATATTCTGCCAGACAGAATAATTCTCAGTAACTTCCTTGTGTTGTGTGTATTCAACTCACAGAGTTGAAGGATCCTTTACAGCGAGCAGGCTTGAAACACTCTTTTTGTCGAATTTGCAAGTGGAGATTTCAGCCGCTTTGAGGTCAATGGTAGAATAGGAAATATCTTCTTATAGAAACTAGACAAAATCATTCTCAGAAACTGCTCGGTGATGTGTGCGTTCAACTCTCAGAGTTTAACTTTTCTTTTCATTCAGCAGTTTGGAAACACTATGTTTGTAAAGTCTGCACGTGGATATTTTGACCTCTGAGAGGCCTTCGTTGGAAACGGGTTTTTTTCATGTAAGGCTAGACAGAAGAATTCTCAGTAACTTCCTTGTGTTGTGTGTATTCAACTCACAGAGTTGAACGATCCTTTACACAGAGCAGACTTGTAACACTCTTTTTGTGGAATGTGCAAGTGGAGATTTCAGCCGCTTTGAAGTCAAAGGTAGAAAAGGAAATATCTTCCTATAAAAACTAGACAGAATGATTCTCAGAAACTCCTTTGTGATGTGTGTGTTCAACTCACAGAGTTTAACCTTTCTTTTCATAGAGCAGTTAGTAAACACTCTGTTTATAAAGTCTGCAAGTGGATATTCAGACCCCTTGAGGCCTTCGTTGGAAACGGGATTTCTTCACATTGTGCTAGACAGAGAATTCTCAGTAACTTCCTTGTGTTGTGTGTATTCAACTCACAGAGTTGAACGATCCTTTACACAGAGCAGACTTGAAACACTCTTTTTGTGGAATTTGCAAGTGGAGATTTCAGCCGCTTTGAGGTCAATAGTAGAAAAGGAAATATCTTCGTAGAAAAACTAGGCAGAATGATTCTCAGAAACTCCTTTGTGATGTTTGTGTTCAACTCACAGAGTTTAACCTTTCTTTTCATAGAGCAGTTAGTAAACACTCTGTTTATAAAGTCTGCAAGTGGATATTCAGTCCCCTTTGAGGCCTTCGTTGGAAACGGGATTTCTTCATATTATGCTAGACAGAAGAATTCTCAGTAACTTCCTTGTGTTGTGTGTATTCAACTCACAGAGTTGAACTTTCATTTAGAGAGAGCAGATTTGAAACACTGTTTCTGTGGAATTTCCAAGTGGAGATTTCAAGCGCTTTGGGGCCAAAGGCAGAAAAGGAAATATCTTCGTATAAAAACTAGACAGAATCATTCTCAGAAACTGCTGCGTGATGTGTACGTTTAACTCTCAGAGTTTAACTTTTCTTTTCATTCAGCGGTTTGGAAACACTCTGTTTGTAAAGTCTGCACGTGGATATTTTGACCACTTAGAGGCCTTCGTTGGAAACGGGTTTTTTTCATCTAAGGTTAGACAGAAGAATTCCCAGTAACTTCCTTGTGTTGTGTACATTCAACTCACAGAGTTGAACGTTCCCTTAGACAGAGCAGATTTGAAACACTCTTTTTGTGCAATTGGCAAATGGAGATTTCAAGCGCTTTAAGTTCAATGGCAGAAAAGGAAATATCTTCGTTTCAAAACTAGACAGAATCATTCCCACAAACTGCCTTGTGATGTGTTCGTTCAACTCACAGAGTTTAACCTTTCTGTTCATAGAGCAGTTAGGAAACACTCTGTAACGTCTGTAAGTGGATATTCTGACATCTTGTGGCCTTCGTTGGAAACGGGATTTCTTCATATTCTGCTAGACAGAAGAATTCTCAGAATCTTCCTTGTGTTGTGTGTATTCAACTCACACAGTTGAACGATGGTTTACACAGAGCAGATATGAAACACTCTTTTTGTGGAATTTGCAAGTGGAGATTTCAGCCGCTTTGAGGTCAATGGTAGAAAAGGAAATATATTCGTATAAAAACTAGACAGAATGATTCTCAGAAACTTCTTTGTGATGTGTGCGTTCAACTCACAGAGTTTAACCTTTCTTTTCATAGAGCAGTTAGGAAACACTCTGTTTGTAAACTCTGCAAGTGGATATTCAGACCTCTGTGAGGCCTTCGTTGGAAACGGGATTTCTTCATACTGTGCTAGACAGAAGAATTCCCAGTAACTTCCTTGTGTTGTGTGTGTTCAACTCACAGAGTTGAACTTCCATTTACACAGAGCAGATTTGAAACACTCTTTTTGTGGAATTTGCAAGTGGAGATTTCAAGCGCTTTGAGGCCAAAGGCAGAAAAGGAAATATCTTCATTTCAAAACTAGACAGAATCATTCTCAGAAACTGCTGCGTGATGTGTGCGTTCAACTCTCAGAGTTTAACTTTTTTTTTCATTCAGCGGTTTGGAAACACTCTGTTTGTAAAGTCTGCACGTGGATATTTTGACCACTTAGAGGCCTTCGTTGGAAACGGGTTTTTTTCATGTAAGGCTAGACAGAAGAATTCCCAGTAACTTCCCTTGTGTTGTGTGCATTCAACTCACAGAGTTGAACGTTCACTTAGACAGAGCAGATTTGAAACACTCTATTTGTGCAATTTGCAAGTGTAGATTTCAAGCGCTTTAAGGTCAATGGCAGAAAAGGAAATTTCTTCGTTTCAAAACTAGACAGAATCATTCCCACAAACTGCGTTGTGATGTGTTCGTTCAACTCACAGAGTTTAACCTTTCTGTTCATAGAGCAGTTAGGAAACACTCTGTTTGTAAAGTCTGTAAGTGAATATTCTGACATCTTGTGGCCTTCGTTGGAAACGGGATTTCTTCATATTCTGCTAGACAGAAGAATTCTCAGTAACTTCCTTGTGTTGTGTGTATTCAACTCACAGAAGTTGAACGATCCTTTACACAGAGCAGACTTGAAACACTCTTTTTGTGGAATTTGCAAGTGGAGATTTCAGCCGCTTTGAGGTCAATGGTAGAAAAGGAAATATCTTCGTATAAAGACTAGACAGAGTGATTCTCAGAAACTCCTTTGTGATGTGTGCGTTCAACTCACAGAGTTTAACCTTTCTTTTCATAGAGCAGTTAGGAAACACTCTGTTTGTAAAGTCTGCAAGTGGATATTCAGACCTCCTTGAGGTCTTCGTTGGAAACGGGATTTCTTCATATTATGCTAGACAGAAGAATTCTCAGTAACTTCCTTGGTGTTGTGTGTATTCAAATGACAGAGTTGAACTTTCATTTAGAGAGAGCAGATTTGAAACACTGTTTTTGTGGAATTTGCAAGTGGAGATTTCAAGCGCTTTGGGGCCAAAGGCAGAAAAGGAAATATCTTCGTATAAAAACTAGACAGAATCATTCTCAGAAACTGCTCTGCGATGTGTGCGTTCAACTCTCAGAGTTTAACTTTTCTTTTCATTCAGCAGTTTGGAAACACTCTGTTTGTAAAGTCTGCACGTGGATATTTTGACCACTTAGAGGCCTTCGTTGGAAACGGGTTTTTTTTCTGTAAGGCTAGACAGAAGAATTCCCAGTAACTTCCTTGTGTTGTGTACATTCAACTCACAGAGTTGAACGTTCCGTTAGACAGAGCAGATTTGAAACACTCTTTTTGTGCAATTGGCAAATGGAGATTTCAAGCGCTTTAAGTTCAATGGCAGAAAAGGAAATATCTTCGTTTCAAAACTAGACAGAATCATTCCCACAAACTGCGTTGTGATGTGTTCGTTCAACCCACAGAGTTTAACCTTTCTTTTCATAGAGCAGTTAGGAAACACTCTGTTTGTAAAGTATGAAAGTGGATATTCTGACATCTTGTGGCCTTCGTTGGAAACGGGATTTCTTCATATTCTGCTAGACAGAAGAATTCTCAGTAACTTCCTTGTGTTGTGTGTATTCAACTCACAGAGTTGAACGATCCTTTACACAGAGCAGACTTGAAACATTCTTTTTATGGAATTTGCAAGTGGAGATTTCAGCCGCTTTGAGGTCAATGGTAGAATAGGAAATATCTTCCTATACAAACTAGACAGAATGATTCTCAGAAACTCCTTTCTGATGTGTGCGTTCAACTCACAGAGTTTAACATTTCTTTTCATAGAGCAGTTAGGAAACACTCTGTTTGTAAAGTCTGCAAGTGGATATTCAGACCTCTTTGAGGCCTTCGTTGGAAACGGGATTTCTTCATATTCTGCTAGACAGAAGAATTCCCACTAACTTCCTTGTGTTGTGTGTGTTCAACTCACAGAGTTGAACTTTCATTTACACAGAGCAGATTTGAAACACTCTTTTTGTGGAATTTGAAAGTGGAGATTTCAAGCGCTTTGAGGCCAAAGGCAGAAAAGGAAATATCTTCGTTTCAAAACTAGACAGAATCATTCTCAGAAACTGCTCTGCGATGTGTGCGTTCAACTCTCAGAGTTTAACTTTTCTTTTCATTCAGCAGTTTGGAAACACTCTGTTTGTAAAGTCTGCACGTGGATAATTTGACCACTTAGAGGCCTTCGTTGGAAACGAGTTTTTTTCATGTAAGGCTAGACAGAAGAATTCCCAGTAACTTCCTTGTGTTGTGTGCATTCAACTCACAGAGTTGAACGTTCCCTTAGACAGAGCAGATTTGAAACACTCTATTTGTCCAATTTGCAAGTGTAGATTTCAAGCGCTTTAAGGTCAACGGCAGAAAAGGAAATATCTTCGTTTCAAAACTAGACAGAATCATTCCCACAAACTGCGTTGTGATGTGTTCGTTCAACTCACAGAGTTTAACCTTTCTTTTCATAGAGCAGTTAGGAAACAGTCTGTTTGTCAATTCTGTAAGTGGATATTCTGACATCTTGTGGCCTTCGTTGGAAACGGGATTTCTTCATATTCTCCTAGACAGAAGAATTGTCAGTAACTTCCTTGTGTTGTGTGTATTCAACTCACAGAGTTGAACGATCCTTTACACAGAGCAGACGTAAAGCACTCTTTTTGTGGAATTGGCAAGTGGAGATTTCAGCCGCTTTGAGGTCAATGGTAGAAAAGGAAATATCTTCGTATAAAAACTAGACAGAATGATTCTCAGAAACTCCTTTGTGATGTGTGCGTTCAACTCACAGAGTTTAACCTTTCTTTTCATAGAGCAGTTAGGAAACACTCTGTTTGTAAAGTCTGCAAGTGGATATTCAGACATCTTTCAGGCGTTCATTGGAAACGGGATTTCTTCATATTATGCTAGACAGAAGAATTCCCAGTAACTTCCTTGTGTTGTGTGTGTTCAACTCACAGAGTTGAACTTTCATTTACACAGAGCAGATTTGAAACACTCTTTTTGTGGAATTTACAGGTGGAGATTTCAAGCGCTTTGAGGCCAAAGGCAGAAAAGGAAATATCTTCGTATAAAAACTAGACAGAATCATTCTCAGAAACTGCTCTGCGATGTGTGCGTTCAACTCTCAGAGTTTAACTTTTCTTTTCATTCAGCAGTTTGGAAACACTCTGTTTGTAACGTCTGCACGTGGATAATTTGACCACTTAGAGGCCTTCGTTGGAAACGGGTTTTTTTCATGTAAGGCTAGACAGAAGAATTCCCAGGAACTTCCTTGTGTTGTGTACATTCAACTCACAGAGTTGAACGTTCCCTTAGACAGAGCAGATTTGAAACAGTCTTTTTGTGCAATTGGCAAGTGGTGATTTCAGCCGCTTTGAGGTCAATGGTAGAAAAGGAAATATCTTCGTATAAAAACTAGACAGAATGATTCTCATAAACTCCTTTGTGATGTATGCGTTCAACTCACAGAGTTTAACCTTTCTTTTCATAGAGCAGTTAGGAAACACTCTGTTTGTAAAGTCTGCAAGTGGATATTCAGACCTCCTTGAGGCCTTCGTTGGAAACGGGATTTCTTCATATTCTGCTAGAAAGAAGAATTCTCAGTAACTTCCTTGTGTTGTGTGTATTCAACTCACAGAGTTGAACGATCCTTTACACAGAGCAGACTTGAAACACTCTTTATGTGGAATTTGCTTGTGGAGATTTCAGCTGCTTTGAGGTCAATGGTAGAAAAGGAAATATCTTCGTATAAAGAGTAGACAGAACGATTCTCAGAAACTCCTTTGTGATGTGTGCGTTCAACTCACAGAGTTTAACTTTTCTTTTCATAGAGCCGTTAGGAAACACTCTGTTTGTAAAGTCTGCAAGTGGATATTCAGACCTCTTTGAGGCCTTCGTTGGAAACGGGATTTCTTCCTATTCTGCTAGACAGAAGAATTCTCAGTAACTTCCTTGTGTTGTGTGTATTCAACTCACAGAGTTGAACGATCCTTTACACAGAGCAGACTTGAAACACTCTTTTTGTGGAATTTGCAAGTGGAGATTTCAGCCGCTTTGAGGTCAATGGTAGAAAAGGAAATATCTTCGTATAAAAGACTAGACAGAATCATTCTCAGAAACTGCTCTGCGATGTGTGCGTTCAACTCTCAGAGTTTAACTTTTCTTTTCATTCAGCAGTTTGGAAACACTCTGTTTGTAAAGTCTGCACGTGGATATTTTGACCCCTTAGAGGCCTTCGTTGGAAACGGGTTTTTTTCCTGTAAGGCTAGACAGAAGAATTCCCAGGAACTTCCTTGTGTTGTGTGCATTCAACTCACAAAGTTGAACGTTCCCTTAGACAGAGCAGATTTGAAACACTCTATTTGTGCAATTTGCAAGTGTAGTTTTCAAGCTCTTTAAGGTCAACGGCAGAAAAGGAAATATCTTCGTTTCAGAACTAGACAGAATCATTCCCACAAACTGCGTTGTGATGTGTTCGTTCAACTCACAGAGTTTAACCTTTCTTTTCATAGAGCAGTTAGGAAACACTCTGTTGTAAATTCTGTAAGTGGATATTCTGACATCTTGGGGCCTTCGTTGGAAACGGGATTTCTTCATATTCTGCTAGACAGAAGAATTCTCAGTAACTTCCTTGTGTTGTGTGTATTCAACTCACAGAGTTGAACGATCCTTTACACAGAGCAAACTTGAAACACTCTTTTTGTGGAATTTGCAAGTGGAGATTTCAGCCGCTTTGAGGTCAATGGTAGAAAAGGAAATATCTTCGTATAAAGACTAGACAGAATGATTCTCAGAAACTCCTTTGTGATGTGTGCGTTCAACTCACAGAGTTTAACCTTTCTTTTCATAGAGCAGTTAGGAAACACTCTGTTTGTAAAGTCTGCAAGTGGATATTCAGACCTCTTTGAGGCCTTCGTTGGAAACGGGTTTTTTTTCATATAAGGCTAGACAGAAGAATTCCCAGTAACTTCCTTGTGTTGTGTGTGTTCAACTCACAGAGTTGAACTTTCATTTACACAGAGCAGATTTGAAACACTCTTTTTGTGGAATTTGCAAGTGGAGATTTCAAGCGGTTTGAGGCCAAAGGCAGAAAAGGAAATATCTTCGTTTGAAAACTAGACAGAATGATTCTCATAAACTCCTTTGTGATGTGTGCGTTCAACTCACAGAGTTTAACCTTTCTTTTCATAGAGCAGTTAGGAAACACTCTGTTTGTAAAGTCTGCAAGTGGATATTCAGACCTGTTTGAGGCCTTCGTTGGAAACGGGATTTCTTCATATTCTGCTAGACAGAAGAATTCTCAGTAACTTCCTTGTGTTGTGTGTATTCAACTCACAGAGTTGAACGATCCTTTACACAGAGCAGACTTGAAACACTCTTTTTGTGGAATTTGCAAGTGTAGATTTCAAGCGCTTTAAGGTCAATGGCAGAAAAGGAAATATCATCGTTTCAAAACTAGACAGAATCATTCCCACAAACTGCGTTGTGATGTGTTCGTTCAACTCACAGAGTTTAAACTTTCTGTTCATAGAGCAGTTAGGAAACACTGTGTTTGTAAAGTCTGCAAGTGGATATTCAGACCTCTTTGAGGCCATCGTTGGAAACGGGATTTCTTCATATTCTGCTAGACAGAAGAATTCTCAGAAACTTCCTTGTGTTGTGTGTTTTCAACTCACAGAGTTCAACGATCCTTTACACAGAGCAGACTTGAAACACTCTTTTTGTGGAATTTGCAAGTGGAGATTTCAGCCTCTTTGAGATCAATGGTAGAATAGGAAATATCTTCCTATAGAAACTAGACAGAATGATTCTCAGAAACTCCTTTGTGATGTGTGCGTTCAACTCACACAGTTTAACCTTTCTTTTCATAGAGCAGTTAGGAAACACTCTGTTTGTAAAGTCTGCAAGTGGATATTCAGACCTCCTTGAGGCATTCGTTGGAAACGGGATTTCTTCATATTATGCTAGACAGAAGAATTCTCAGTAACTTCCTTGTGTTGTGTGTATTCAAATCACAGAGTTGAACGATCCTTTACACAGAGCAGACTTGAAACACTCTTTTTGTGGAATTTGCAAGTGGAGATTTCAGCCGCTTTGAGGTCAATGTTAGAATAGGAAATATCTTCCTATAGAAACTAGACAGAATGATTCTCAGAAAATCTTTTGTGATGTGTGCGTTCAACTCACAGGAGTTTAACTTTTCTTCTCATAGAGCAGTTAGGAAACACTCTGTTTGTAAAGTCTGCCAGTGGATATTCAGACCTCTTTGAGGTCTTCGTTGGAAACGGGATTTCTTCATATTATGCTAGACAGAAGAATTCCCAGTAACTTCCTTGTGTTGTGTACATTCAACTCACAGAGTTGAACGTTCCCTTAGACAGAGCAGATTTGAAACACTCTTTTTGTGCAATTGGCAAATGGAGATTTCAAGCGCTTTAAGTTCAATGGCAGAAAAGGAAATATCTTCGTTTCAAAACTAGACAGAATGATTCTCAGAAACTTCTTTGTGATGTGTGCGTTCAACTCACAGAGTTTAACCTTTCTTTTCATAGAGCAGTTAGGAAACACTCTGTTTGTAAACTCTGCAAGTGGATATTCAGACCTCTTTGTGGCCTTCGTTGGAAACGGGATTTCTTCATACTATGCTAGACAGAAGAATTCTCAGTAACTTCCTTGTGTTGTGTGTATTCAACTCACAGAGTTGAACGATCCTTTACACAGAGCAGACTTGTAACACTCTTTTTGTGGAATTTGCAAGTGGAGATTTCAGCCGCTTTGAAGTCAAAGGTAGAAAAGGAAATATCTTCGTATAAAAACTAGACAGAATGATTCTCAGAAACTTCCTTGTGATGTGTGCGTTCAACTCACAGAGTTTAACCTTTCTTTTCATAGAGCAGTTAGGAAACACTCTGTTTGTAAACTCTGCAAGTGGATATTCAGACCTCTTTGAGGCCTTCGTTGGAAACGGGATTTCTTCATACTATGCTAGACAGAAGAATTCTCAGTAACTTACCTTGTGTTGTGTGTATTCAACTGACAGAGTTGAACTTTCATTTACACAGAGCAGATTTGAAACACTCTTTTTGTGGAATTTGCAAATGGAGATTTCAAGCGCTTTGAGGCCAAAGGCAGAAAAGGAAATATCTTCGTATAAAAACTAGACAGAATCATTCTCAGAAACTGCTCTGCGATGTGTGCGTTCAACTCTCAGAGTTTAACTTTTCTTTTCCTTCAGCAGTTTGGAAACACTCTGTTTGTAAAGTCTGCACGTGGATAATTTGACCACTTAGAGGCCTTCGTTGGAAACGGGTTTTTTTCATGTAAGGTCTAGACAGAAGAATTCCCAGTAACTTCCTTGTGTTGTGTGCATTCAACTCACAGAGTTGAACGTTCCCTTAGACAGAGCAGATTTGAAACACTCTATTTGTGCAATTGGCAAGTGTAGATTTCAAGCGCTTTAAGGTCAATGGCAGAAAAGGAAATATCTTCGTTTCAAAACTAGACAGAATGATTCTAAGAAAATCTTTTGTGATGTGTGCGTTCAACTCACAGAGTTTAACTTTTCTTCTCATAGAGCAGTTAGGAAACACTCTGTTTGTAAAGTCTGCAAGTGGATATTCAGACCTCTTTGAGGCCTTCGTTGGAAACGGGATTTCTTCATATTATGCTAGACAGAATAATTCTCAGTAACTTCCTTGTGTTGTGTGTATTCAACTCACAGAGTTGAAGGATCCTTTACAGAGAGCAGGCTTGAAAGACTCTTTTTGTCGAATTTGCAAGTGGAGATTTCAGCCGCTTTGAGGTCAATGGTAGAATAGGAAATATCTTCTTATACAAACTAGACAGAATGATTCTGAGAAACTCCTTTGTGATGTGTGCGTTCATCTCACAGAGTTTAACCTTTCTTTTCATAGAGCAGTTAGGAAACACTCTGTTTGTAAAGTCTGCAAGTGGATATTCAGACCTCCTTGAGGCCTTCTTTGGAAACGGGATTTCTTCATATTATGCTAGACACAAGTATTCCCAGTAACTTCCTTGTGTTGTGTGTGTTCAACTCACACAGTTGAACTTTGATTTACACAGAGCAGATTTGAAACACTCTTTTTGTGGAATTTGCAAGTGGAGATTTCAAGCGCTTTGAGGCCAAAGGCAGAAAAGGAAATATCTTCGTATAAAAACTAGACAGAATCATTCTCAGAAACTGCTCTGCGATGTGTGCGTTCAACTCTTAGAGTTTAACTTTTCTTTTCATTCAGCAGTTTGGAAACACTCTGTTTGTAAAGTCTGCACGTGGATATTTTGACCACTTAGAGGCCTTCGTTGGAAACGGGTTTTTTTCCTGTAAGGCTAGACAGAAGATTTCCCAGTAAATTCCTTGTGTTGTGTACATTCAACTCACAGAGTTGAACGTTCCCTTAGACAGAGCAGATTTGAAACACTCTTTTTGTGCAATTGGCAAGTGGAGATTTCAAGCGCTTTAAGGTCAATGGCAGAAAAGGAAATATCTTCGTTTCAAAACTAGACAGAATCATTCCCACAAACTGCGTTGTGATGTATTCGTTCAACTCACAGAGTTTAACCTTTCTTTTCATAGAGCAGTTAGGAAACAGTCTGTTTGTAAATTCTGTAAGTGGATATTCTGACATCTTGTGGCCTTCGTTGGAAACGGGATTTCTTCACATTCTGCTAGACAGAAGAATTCTCAGTAACTTCCTTGTGTTGTGTGTATTCAACTCACAGAATTGAATGATCCTTTACACAGAACAGTCTTGAAACACTCTTTTTGTGGAATTTGCAAGTGGAGATTTCAGCCGCTTTGAGGTCAATGGTAGAATAGGAAATATCTTCCTATAGAAACTAGACAGAATGATTCTCAGAAACTCCTTTGTGATGTGTGCGTTCAACTCACAGAGTTCAACCTTTCTTTTCATAGAGCAGTTAGGAAACACTCTGTTTGTAAAGTCTGCAAGTGGATATTCAGACATCTTTGAGGCTTTCGTTGGAAACGGGATTTCTTCATATTCTGCTAGACAGAAGAATTCCCAGTAACTTCCTTGTGTTGTGTGTGTCCAACTCACAGAGTTGAACTTTCATTTACACAGAGCAGATTTGAAACACTCTTTTTGTGGAACTTGCAAGTGGAGATTTCAAGCGCTTTGAGGCCAAAGGCAGAAAAGGAAATATCTTCATTTCAAAACTAGACAGAATCATTCTCAGAAACTGCTCTGCGATGTGTGCGTTCAACTCTCAGAGTTTAACTTTTCTTTTCATTCAGCAGTTTGGAAACACTCTGGTTGTAAAGTCTGCACGTGGATATTTTGACCACTTAGAGGCCTTCGTTGGAAACGGGTTTTTTTCCTGTAAGGCTAGACAGAAGAATTCCCAGTAACTTCCTTGTGTTGTGTGCATTCAACTCACAGTGTTGAACGTTCCCTTAGACAGAGCAGATTTGAAACACTCTATTTGTGCAATTTGCAAGTGTAGATTTCAAGCGCTTTAAGGTCAATGGCAGAAAAGGAAATATCTTCGTTTCAAAACTAGACAGAATCATTCCCACAAACTGCGTTGTGATGTGTTCGTTCAACTCACAGAGTTTAACCTTTCCGTTCATAGAGCAGTTAGGAAACACACTGTTTGTAAAGTCTGTAAGTGGATATTCTGACATCTTGTGGCCTTCGTTGGAAACGGGATTTCTTCATATTCTGCTAGACAGAAGAATTCTCAGTAACTTCCTTGTGTTGTGTGTATTCAACTCACAGAGTTGAACGATCCTTTACACAGAGCAGACTTGTAACACTCTTTTTGTGGAATTCGCAAGTGGAGATTTCAGCCGCTTTGAAGTCAAAGGTAGAAAAGGAAATATCTTCCTATAAAAACTAGACAGAATGTTTCTCAGAAACTTCTTTGTGATGTGTGCGTTCAACTCACAGAGTTTAACCTTTCTTTTCATAGAGCAGTTAGGAAACACTCTGTTTGTAAAGTCTGCAAGTGGATATTCAGACCTCTTTGAGGCCTTCGTTGGAAACGGGATTTCTTCATACTGTGCTAGACAGAAGAATTCTCAGTAACTTCCTTGTGTTGTGTGTATTCAACTCACAGAGTTGAACGATCCTTTACACAGAGCGGACTGGAAACACTCTTTTTGTGGAATTTGCAAGCGGAGATTTCAGGTGCGTTGAGGTCAATGGTAGAAAAGGAAATATCTTCGTATAAAAACTAGACAGAATCATTCTCAGAAACTGCTCTGCGATGTGTGCGTTCAACTCTCAGAGTTTAACTTTTCTTTTCATTCAGCAGTTCGGAAACACTCTGTTTGTAAAGTCTGCACGTGGATATTTTGACCACTTAGATGCCTTCTTTGGAAACGGGTTTTTTTCTTGTAAGGCTAGACAGAAGAATTCCCAGTAACTTCCTTGTGTTGTGTGCATTCAACTCACAGACTTGAACGTTCCCTTAGACAGAGCAGATTTGAAACACTCTATTTGTGCAATTTGCAAGTGTAGATTTCAAGCGCTTTAAGGTCAATGGCAGAAAAGGAAATATCTTCGTTTCAAAACTAGACAGAATCATTCCCACAAACAGCGTTGTGATGTGTTCGCTCAACTCACAGAGTTTAACCTTTCTTTTCATAGAGCAGTTAGGAAACAGTCTGTTTGTCAATTCTGTAAGTGGATATTCTGACATCTTGTGGCATTCGTTGGAAACGGGATTTCTTCATATTCTGCTAGACAGAAGAATTCTCAGAATCTTCCTTGTGTTGTGTGTATTCAACTCACAGAGTTGAACGATCCTTTACACAGAGCAGACTTGAAACACTCTTTTTGTGGAATTTGCAAGTGGAGATTTCAGCCGCTTTGAGGACCATGGTAGAAAAGGAAATATCTTCGTATAAAAACTAGACAGAATGATTCTCAGAAACTCCTTTGTGATGTGTGCTTTCAACGCACAGAGTTTAACCTTTCTTTTCATAGAGCAGTTAGGAAACACTCTGTTGGTAAAGTCTGCAAGTGGATATTCAGACCTCCTTGAGGCCTTCGTTGGAAACGGGATTTCTTCATATTATGCTAGACAGAAGAATTCTCAGTAACTTTCCTTGTGTTGTGTGTATTCAACTGACAGAGTTGAACTATCATTTAGAGAGAGCAGATTTGAAACACTGTTTTTGTGGAATTTGCAAGTGGAGATTTCAAGCGCTTTGGGGCCAAAGGCAGAAAAGGAAATATCTTCGTATAAAAACTAGACAGAATAATTGTCAGAAACTGCTGCGTGATGTGTGCGTTCAACTCTCAGAGTTTAACTTTTCTTTTCATTCAGCGGTTTGGAAACACTCTGTTTGTAAAGTCTGCACGTGGAAATTTTGACCACTTAGAGGCCTTCGTTAGAAACGGGTTTTTTTCATGTAAGGCTAGACAGAAGAATTCCCAGTAACTTCCTTGTGTTGTGTGCATTCAACTCACAGAGTTGAACGTTCCCTTAGACAGAGCAGATTTGAAACACTCTATTTGTGCAATTTGCAAGTGTAGATTTCAAGCGCTTTAAGGTCAATGGCAGAAAAGGAAATATCTTCGTTTTAAAACTAGACAGAATGATTCTCAGAAAATCCTTTGTGATGTGTGCGTTCAACTCACAGAGTTTAACCTTTCTTTTCATAGAGCAGTTAGGAAACACTCTGTTTGTAAAGTCTGCAAGTGGATATTCAGACCTCTTTGAGGCCTTCGTTGGAAACGGGATTTCTTCATATTCTGCTAGACAGAAGAATTCTCAGTAACTTCCTTGTGTAGTGTATATTCAACTCACAGAGTTGAACGATCCTTTACACAGAGCAGACTTGAAACACTCTTTTTGTGGAATTTGCAAGTGGAGATTTCAGCCGCTTTGAGGTCAATAGTAGAAAAGGAAATATCTTCGTAGAAAAACTAGACAGAATGATTCTCAGAAACTGCTTTGTGATGTGTGCGTTCAACTCACAAAGTTTAACCTTTCTTTTCATAGAGCAGTTAGGAAACACTCTGTTTGTAAAGTCTGCAAGTGGATATTCAGACCTCTTTGAGGCCTTCGTTGGAAACGGGTTTTTTTCATATAAGGCTAGACAGAAGAATTCTCAGTAACTTCCTTGTGTTGTGTGTATTCAACTGACAGAGTTGAACTTTCATTTAGAGAGAGCAGATTTGTAACACTGTATTTGTGGAATTTGCAAGTGTAGATTTCAAGCGATTTGCGGCCAAAGGCAGAAAAGGAAATATCTTCGTATAAAAACTAGACAGGATCATTCTCAGAAACTGCTCTGCGATGTGTGCGTTCAACTCTCAGAATTTAACTTTTCTTTTCATTCAGCAGTTTGGAAACACTCTGTTTGTAAAGTCTGCACGTGGATATTTTGACCACTTAGAGGCCTTCGTTGGAAACGGGTTTTTTTCCTGTAAGGCTAGACAGAAGAATTCCCAGTAACTTCCTTGTGTTGTGTACATTCAACTCACAGAGTTGAACGTTCCCTTAGACAGAGCAGATTTGAAACACTCTTTTTGTGCAATTGGCAAGTGGAGATTTCAAGCGCTTTGAGGTCAATGGCAGAAAAGGAAATATCTTCGTTTCAAAACTAGACAGAATCATTCCCACAAACTGCGTTGTGATGTGTTCGTTCATCTCACAGAGTTTAACCTTTCTTTTCGTAGAGCAGTTAGGAAACAGTCTGTTTGTAAATTCTGTAAGTGGATATTCTGACATGCTTGTGGCCTTCGTTGGAAACGGGATTTGCTTCATATTCTGCTAGACAGAAGAATTCTCAGTAACTTCGTTGTGTTGTGTGTTTTCAACTCACAGAGTTAAAGGATCATTTACACAGAGTAGACTTGAAACACTCTTTTTGTGGAATTGGCAGGGTGGAGATTTCAGCCGCTTTGAGGTCAATGGTAGAAAAGGAAATATCTTCGTATAAAAACTAGACAGAGTGATTCTCAGAAACTCCTTTGTGATGTCTGCGTTCAACTCACAGAGTTTAACCTTTCTTTTCATAGAGCAGTTAGGAAACACTCTGTTTGTAAAGTCTGCAAGTGGATATTCCGACCTCCTTGAGGGCTTCGTTGGAAACGGGATTTCTTCATATTATGCTAGACAGAAGAATTCCCAGTAACTTCCTTGTGTTGTGTGTGTTCAACCCACAGAGTTGAACTTTCATTTACACAGAGCAGATTTGAAACACTCTTTTTGTGGAATTTGCAAGTGGAGATTTCAAGCGCTTTGAAGCCAAAGGCAGAAAAGGAAATATCTTCGTTTCAAAACTAGACAGAATCATTCTCAGAAACTGCTCTGCGATGTGTGCATTCAACTCTCAGAGTTTAACTTTTCTTTTCATTCAGCAGTTTGGAAACACTCTGTTTGTAAAGTCTGCACGTGGATAATTTGACCACTTAGAGGCCTTCGTTGGAAACGGGTTTTTTTCATGTAAGGCTAGACAGAAGAATTCCCAGTAACTTCCTTGTGTTTTGTGCATTCAACTCACAGAGTTGAACGTTCCCTTAGACAGAGCAGATTTGAAACACTCTATTTGTGCAATTTGCAAGTGTAGATTTCAAGCGCTTTAAGGTCAATGGCAGAAAAGGAAATATCTTCGTTTCAAAACTAGACAGAATCACTCCCACAAACTGCGTTGTGATGTGTGCGTTCAAGTCAAAGAGTTTAACCTTTCTTTTCATAGAGCAGTTAGGAAACACTCTGTTTGTAAAGTCTGCAAGTGGATATTCAGACCTCCTTGAGGCCTTCGTTGGAAACGGGATTTCTTCATATTCTGCTAGACAGAATGATTCTCAGAAACTCCTTTGTGATGTGTGCGTTCAACTCACAGAGTTTAACCTTTCTTTTCATAGAGCAGTTAGGAAACACTCTGTTTGTAAAGTCTGCACGTGGATATTCAGACCTCTTTGAGGCCTTCGTTGGAAACGGGATTTCTTCATATTCTGCTAGACAGAAGAATTCCCAGTAACTTCCTTGTGTTGTGTGTGTTCAACTCACAGAGTTGAACTTTGATTTACACTGAGCAGATTTGAAACACTCTTTTTGTGGAATTTGCAAGTGGAGATTTCAAGCGCTTTGAGGCCAAAGGCAGAAAAGGAAATATCTTCGTATAAAAACTAGACAGAATCATTCTCAGAAACAGCTCTGCGATGTGTGCGTTCAACTCTCAGAGTTTAACTTTTCTTTTCATTCAGCAGTTTGGAAACACTCTGTTTGTAAAGTCTGCACGTGGATAATTTCACCACTTAGAGGTCTTCGTTGGAAACGGGATTTTTTCATGTAAGGCTAGACAGAAGAATTCCTAGTAACTTCCCTTGGGTTGTGTACATTCAACTCACAGAGTTGAACGTTCCCTTAGACAGAGCAGATTTGAAACACTCTTTTTGTGCAATTGGCAAGTGGTGATTTCAGCCGCTTTGCGGTCAATGGTATAAAAGGAAATATCTTCGTATTAAAACTAGACAGAATCATTCCCACAAACTGCGTTGTGATGTGTTCGTTCAACTCACAGAGTTTAACCTTTCTTTTCATAGAGCAGTTACGAAACAGTCTGTTTGTAAATTCTGTAAGTGGATATTCTGACATCTTGTGGCCTTCGTTGGAAACGGGATTTCTTCATATTCTGCTAGACAGAAGAATTCTCAGTAACTTCCTTGTGTTGTGTGTATTCAACTCACAGAGTTGAACTCTGGTTTACACAGAGCAGATTTGAAACACTCTTTTTGTGGAATTTGCAAGTGGAGATTTCAGCCGCTTTGAGGTCAATGGTAGAAAAGGAAATATCTTCGTATAAAAACTAGACAGAATGATTCTCAGAAACTCCTTTGTGATGTGTGCGTTCAACTCACAGAGTTTAACCTTTCTTTTCGTAGAGCAGTTAGGAAACACTCTGTTTGTAAACTCTGCAAGTGGATATACAGACCTCTTTGAGGCCTTCGTTGGAAACGGGATTTCTTCATACTATGCTAGACAGAAGAATTCCCAGTAACTTCCTTGTGTTGTGTGTGTTCAACTCACAGAATTGAACTTTCATTTACACAGAGCAGATTTGAAACACTCTTTTTGTGGAATTTGCAAGTGGAGATTTCAAGCGCTTTGAGGCCAAAGGCAGAAAAGGAAATATCTTCGTTTCAAAACTAGACAGAATCATTCTCAGAAACTGCTCTGCGATGTGTGCGTTCAACTCTCAGAGTTTAACTTTTCTTTTCTTTCAGCAGTTTGGAAACACTCTGTTTGTAAAGTCTGCACGTGGATAATTTGACCACTTAGAGGCCTTCGTTGGAAACGGGTTTTTTTCATGTAAGGCTAGACAGAGGAATTCTCAGTAACTTCCTTGTGTTGTGTGTATTCAACTCACAGAGTTGAACGATCCTTTACACAGAGCAGACTTGTAACACTCTTTTTGTGGAATTTGCAAGTGGAGATTTCAGCCGCTTTGAAGTCAAAGGTAGAAAAGGAAATATCTTCCTATAAAAACTAGACAGAATCATTCCCAGAAACTGCGTTGTGATGTGTTCGTTCAACTCACAGAGTTTAACCTTTCTGTTCATAGAGCAGTTAGGAAACACTCTGTTTGTAAAGTCTGTAAGTGGATATTCTGACATCTTGTGGCCTTCGTTGGAAACGGGATTTCTTCATATTCTGCTAGACAGAAGAATTCTCAGTAACTTCCTTGTGTTGTGTGTATTCAACTCACAGAGTTGAACGATCCTTTACACAGAGCAAACTTGAAACACTCTTTTTGTGGAATTTGCAAGTGGAGATTTCAGCCGCTTTGAGGTCAATGGTAGAAAAGGAAACTATCTTCATATAAAGACTAGACAGAATGATTCTCAGAAACTCCTTTGTGATGTGTGTGTTCACCTCACAGAGTTTAACCTTTCTTTTCATAGAGCAGTTAGTAAACACTCTGTTTATAAAGTCTGCAAGTGGATATTCAGACCCCTTTGAGGCCTTCGTTGGAAACGGTATTTCTTCATATTATGCTAGACAGAGGAATTCCCAGTAACTTCCTTGTGTTGTGTGTGTTCAACTCACAGAGTTGAACTTTCATTTACACAGAGCAGATTTGAAACACTCTTTTTGTGGAATTTGCAGGTGGAGATTTCAAGCGCTTTGAGGCCAAAGGCAGAAAAGGAAATATCTTCGTATAAAAACTAGACAGAATCATTCTCAGAAAATGCTCTGTGATGTGTGCGTTGAACTCTCAGAGTTTAACTTTTGTTTTCATTCAGCAGTTTGGAAATACTCTGTTTGTAAAGTCTGCACGTGGATATTTTGACCACTTAGAGGCCTTCTTTGGAAACGGGTTTTTTTCATGTAAGGGTAGACAGAAGAATTCCCAGTAACTTCCTTGTGTTGTGTGCATTCAACTCACAGAGTTGAACGTTCCCTTAGACAGAGCAGATTTGAAACACTCTATTTGTGCAATTTGCAAGTGTAGAATTCAAGCGCTTTAAGGTCAATGGCAGAAAAGGAAATATCTTCGTTTCAAAACTAGACAGAATCATTCCCACAAACTGCGTTGTGATGTGTTCGTTCAACTCACAGAGTTTAACCTTTCTGTTCATAGAGCAGTTAGGAAACACTCTGTTTGTAAAGTCTGTAAGTGGATATTGCTGACATACTTGTGGCCTTCGTTGGAAACGGGATTTCTTCATATTCTGCTAGACAGAGAGATTCTCAGTAACTTCCTTGTGTTGCGTGTATTCAACTCACAGAGTTCAACGATCCTTTACACAGAGCAGACTTGAAACACACTTTTTGTGGAATTTGCAAGTGGAGATTTCAGCCGCTTTGAGGTCAGTGGTAGAAAAGGAAATATCTTCGTATAAAAACTAGACAGAATGATTCTCAGAAACTCCTTTGTGATGTGTGCGTTCAACTCACAGAGTTTAACCTTTCTTTTCATAGAGCAGTGAGGAAACACTCTGTTTGTAAAGTCTGCAAGTGGATATTCAGACCTCTTTGTGGCCTTCGTTGGAAACGGGATTTCTTCATATTATGCTAGACAGAAGAATTCCCAGTAACTTCCTTGTGTTGTGTGTGTTCAACTCACAGAGTTGAACTTTCATTTACACAGAGCAGATTTGAAACACTCTTTTTGTGCAATTTGCAAGTGGCGATTTCAAGCGCTTTGAGGCCAAAGGCAGAAAAGGAAATATCTTCGTATAAAAACTAGACAGAATCATTCTCAGAAACTACTCTGTGATGTGTGCGTTCAACTCTCAGAGTTTAACTTTTCTTTTCATTCAGTAGTTTGGAAACACTCTGTTTGTAAATCTGCACGTGGATATTTTGACGACTTAGAGGCTTTCGTTGGAAACGGGTTTTTTTCATGTAAGGCTAGACAGAAGAATTCCCAGTAACTTCCTTGTGTTGTGTGCATTCAACTCACAGAGTTGAACGTTCCCTTAGACAGAGCAGATTTGAAACACTCTATTTGTCCAATTTGCAAGTGTAGATTTCAAGCGCTTTAAGGTCAACGGCAGAAAAGGAAATATCTTCGTTTCAAAACTAGACAGAATCATTCCCACAAACTGCGTTGTGATGTGTTCGTTCAACTCACAGAGTTTAACCTTTCTGTTCATAGAGAAGTTAGGAAACACTCTGTTTGTAAAGTCTGTAAGTGGATATTCTGACATCTTGTGGCCTTCGTTGGAAACGGGATTTCTTCATATTCTGCTAGACAGAAGAATTCTCAGTAACTTCCTTGTGTTGTGTGTATTCAACTCACAGAGTTGAACGATCCTTTACACAGAGCAGACTTGTATCACTCTTTTTGTGGAATTTGCAAGTGGAGATTTCAGCCGCTTTGAAGTCAAAGGTAGAAAAGGAAATATCTTCCTATAAAAACTAGACAGAATGATTCTCAGAAACTCCTTTGTGATGTGTGTGTTCAACTCACAGAGTTTAACCTTTCTTTTCATAGAGCAGTTAGTAAACACTCTGTTTATAAAGTCTGCAAGTGGATATTCAGACCCCTTTGAGGCCTTCGTTGGAAACGGGATTTCTCCATATTATGCTAGACAGAAGGATTCCCAGTAACTTCCTTGTGTTGTGTGTGTTCAACTCACAGAGTTGAACTTTCTTTTACAAATAGCAGATTTGAAACACTCTTTTTGTGGAATTTGCAAGTGGAGATTTCAAGCGCTTTGAGGCCAAAGGCAGAAAAGGAAATATCTTCGTATAAAAACTAGACAGAATGATTCTCAGAAACTCCTTTGTGATGTGTGCGTTCAACTCACCTTTCTTTTCATAGAGCAGTTAGGAAACACTCTGTTTGTAAAGTCTGCACGTGGATATTTGGACTTCTTTGAGGCCTTCGTTGGAAACGGGTTTTTTTCATGTAAGGCTAGACAGAATAATTCCCAGTAACTTCCTTGTGTTGGGTGCATTAAACTCACAGAGTTGAACGTTCCCTTAGACAGAGCAGATTTGAAACACTCTATTTGTGCAATTTGCAAGTGTAGATTTCAAGCGCTTTAAGGTCAATGGCAGAAAAGGAAATATCTTCGTTTCAAAACTAGACAGAATCATTCCCACAAACTGCGTTGTTATGTGTTCGTTCAACTCACAGAGTTTAACCTTTCTTTTCATAGAGCAGTTAGGAAACACTCTGTTTGTAAATTCTGTAAGTGGATATTCTGACAACTTGTGGCCTTCGTTGGAAACGGGATTTCTTCATACTATGCTAGATAGAAAGAATTCTCAGTAACTTCCTTGTGTTGTGTGTATTCAACTCACAGCAGTTGAACGATCCTTTACACAGAGCAGACTTGAAACACTCTTTTTGTGGAATTTGCAAGTGGAGATTTCAGCCGCTTTGAGGTCAATAGTCGAAAAGGAAATATCTTCGTAGAAAAACTAGACAGAATGATTCTCAGAAACTCCTTTGTGATGTGTGCGTTTAACTCACAGAATTTAACCTTTCTTTTCATAGAGCAGTTAGGAAACACTCTGTTTGTTAAAGTCTGCAAGTGGATATTCAGACCTCTTTGAGGCCTTCGTTGGAAACGGGATTTCTTCATATTCTGCTAGACAGAAGAATTCTCAGTAACTTCCTTGTGTTGTGTGTATTCAACTGACAGAGTTGAACTATCATTTAGAGAGAGCAGATTTGAAACACTGTTTTTGTGGAATTTGCAAGTGGAGATTTCAAGCGCTTTGGGGCCAAAGGCAGAAAAGGAAATATCTTCGTATAAAAACTAGACATAATCATTCTCAGAAACTGCTCTGCGATGTGTGCCTTCAACTCTCAGAGTTTAACTTTTCTTTTCATTCAGCAGTTTGGAAACACTCTGTTTGTAAAGTCTGCACGTGGATATTTTGACCACTTAGAGGCCTTCTTTGGAATCGGGTTTTTTTCCTGTAAGGCTAGACAGAAGAATTCCCAGTAACTTCCTTGTGTTGTGTACATTCAACTCACAGAGTTGAAGGTTCCCTTAGACAGAGCAGATTTGAAACACTCTTTTTGTGCAATTGGCAAGTGGAGATTTCAAGCGCTTTAAGGTCAATGGCAGAAAAGGAAATATCTTCGTTTCAAAACTAGACAGAATCATTCCCACAAACTGCGTTGTGATGCGTTTGTTCAACTCACAGAATTTAACCTTTCTTTTCATAGAGCAGTTAGGAAACAGTCTGTTTGTAAATTCTGTAAGTGGATATTCTGACATCTTGTGGCCTCGCTGGAAACGGGATTACTTCATATTCTGCTAGACAGAAGAATTCTCAATAACTTCCTTGTGTTGTGTGTATTCAACTCACAGAGTTGAACGATCCTTTACACAGAGCAGATTTGAAACACTCTTTTTGTGGAATTTGCAAGTGGAGATTTCAGCCGCTTTGAGGTCAATGGTAGAAAAGGAAATATCTTCGTATGAAAACTAGACAGAATGATTCTCATAAACTCCCTTTGTGATGTGTGCGTTCAACTCACAGAGTTTAACCTTTCTTTTCATAGAGCAGTTAGGAAACACTCTGTTTATAAAGTCTGCAAGTGGATATTCAGACCTCCTTGAGGCCTTCGTTGGAAACGGGATTTCTTCATATTCTGCTAGACAGAAGAATTCTCAGTAACTTCCTTGTGTTGTGTGTATTCAACTGACAGAGTTGAACTTTCATTTAGACAGAGCAGATTTGAAACACTCTTTTTGTGGAATTTGCAAATGGAGATTTCAAGCGCTTTGAGGCCAAAGGCAGAAAAGGAAATATCTTCGTATAAAAACTAGACAGAATGATTCTCAGAAACTGCTCTGCGATGTGTGCGTTCAACTCTCAGAGTGTAACTTTTCTTTTCATTCAGCAGTTTGGAAACACTCTGTTTATAAAGTCTGCACGTGGATATTTTGACCACTTAGAGGCCTTCGTTGGAAACGGGATTTTTTCATGTAAGGCTAGACCGAAGAATTCCCAGTAACTTCCTTGTGTTGTGTACATTCAACTCACAGAGTTGAACGTTCCCTTAGACAGAGCAGATTTGAAACACTCTTTTTGTGCAATTGGCAAGTGGAGATTTCAAGCGCTTTAAGGTCAATGGCAGAAAAGGAAATATCTTCGTTTCAAAACTAGAGAGAATGATTCTCAGAAACTTCATTGTGACGTGTGCGTTCAACTCACAGAGTTTAACCTTTCTTTTCATAGAGCAGTTAGGAAACAGTCTGTTTGTCAATTCTGTAAGTGGATATTCTGACATCTTGTGGCCTTCGTTGGAAACGGGATTTCTTCATATTCTGCTAGACAGAAGAATTCCCAGTAACTTCCTTGTGTGGTGTGTATTCAACTCACAGAGTTGAACGATGCTTTACACAGAGCAGACTTGAAACACTCTTTTTGTGGAATTTGCAAGTGGAGATTTCAGCCGCTTTGAGGTCAATGGTAGAATAGGAAATATCTTCCTATAGAAACTAGACAGAGTGATTCTCAGAAACTCCTTTGTGATGTCTGCGTTCAACTCACAGAGTTTAACCTTTCTTTTCATAGAGCAGTTAGGAAACACTCTGTTTGTAAAGTCTGCAAGTGGATATTCAGACCTCCTTGAGGCCTTCGTTGGAAATGGGATTTCTTCATATTATGCTAGACAGAAGAATTCTCAGTAACTTCCTTGTGTTGTGTGTATTCAACTCACAGAGTTGAACTTTCATTTAGAGAGAGCAGATTTGAAACACTGTTTTTGTGGAATTTGCAAGTGGAGATTTCAAGCGCTTTGCGGCCAAAGGCAGAAAACGAAATATCTTCGTATAAAAACTAGACAGAATCATTCTCAGAAACTGCTGCGTGATGTGTGCGCTCAACTCTCAGAATTTAACTTTTCTTTTCATTCAGCGGTTTGGAAACACTCTGTTTGTAAAGTCTGCACGTGGATATTTTGACCACTTAGAGGCCTTCGTTGGAAACGGGTTTTTTTCATGTAAGGCTAGACGGAAGAATTTCCCAGTAACTTCCTTGTGTTGTGTGCATTCAACTCACAGAGTTGAACGTTCCCTTAGACAGAGCAGATTTGAAACACTCTATTTGTGCAATTTGCAAGTGTAGATTTCAAGCGCTTTAAGGTCAATGGCAGAAAAGGAAATATCTTCGTTTCAAAACTAGACAGAATCATTCCCACAAACTGCGTTGTGATGTGTTCGTTCAACTCACAGAGTTTAACCTTTCTGTTCATAGAGCAGTTAGGAAACACTCTGTTTGTAAAGTCTGTAAGTGGATATTCTGACATCTTGTGGCCTTCGTTGGAAACGGGATTTCTTTATATTCTGCTAGACAGAAGAATTCTCAGTAACTTCCTTGTGTTGTGTGTATTCAACTCACAGAGTTGAACGATACTTTACAGAGAGCAGACTTGACACACTCTTTTTGTGGAATTTGCAATTGGAGATTTCAGCCGCTTTGAGGTCAATGGTAGAATAGGAAATATCTTCCTATAGAAACTAGACAGAATGATTCTCAGAAACTCCTTTGTGATGTGTGCGTTCAACTCACAGAGTTTAACCTTTCTTTTCATAGAGCAGTTGGGAAACACTCTGTTTGTAAAGTCTGCAAGTGGATATTCAGACTTCTTTGAGGCCTTCGTTGGAAGCGGGATTTCTTCATGTTCTGCTAGACAGAAGAATTCCCAGTAACTTCCTTGTGTTGTGTGTGTTCAACTCACAGAGTTGAACTTTGATTTACACAGAGCAGATTTGAAACACTCCTTTTGTGGAATTTGCAAGTGGAGATTTCAAGCGCTTTGAGGCCAAAGGCAGAAAAGGAAATATCTTCGTATAAAAACTAGACAGAATCATTCTCAGAACCTGCTGCGCGATATGTGCGTTCAACTCTCAGAGTTTAACTTTTCTTTTCATTCAGCGGTTTGGAAACACTCTGTTTGTAAAGTCTGCACGTGGATATTTTGACCACTTAGAGTCCTTCGTTGGAAACGGGTTTTTTTCATGTAAGGCTAGACAGAAGAATTCCCAGTAACTTCCTTGTGTTGTGTGCATTCAACTCACAGAGTTGAACGTTCCCTTAGACAGAGCAGATTTGAAACAGCCTATTTGTGCAATTTGCAAGTGTAGATTTCAAGCGCTTTAAGGTCAACGGCTGAAAAGGAAATATCTTCCTTTCAAAACTAGACAGAATCATTCCCACAAACTGCGTTGTGATGTGTTCGTTCAACTCACAGAGTTTAACCTTTCTGTTCATAGAGCAGTTAGGAAACACTCTGTTTGTAAAGTCTGTAAGTGGATATTTTGACATCTTGTGGCCTTCGTTGGAAACGGGATTTCTTCATATTCTGCTAGACAGAAGAATTCTCAGAAACTTCCTTGTGTTGTGTGTATTCAAGTCACAGAGTTGAACGATCCTTTACACAGAGCAGACTTGAAACACTCTTTTTGTGGAATTTGCAAGTGGAGATTTCAGCCGCTTTGAGGTCAATGTTAGAAAAGGAAATATCTTCGTATAAAGACTAGACAGAATGATTCTCAGAAAATCTTTTGTGATGTGTGCGTTCAACTCACAGAGTTTAACATTTCTTCTCATAGAGCAGTTAGGAAACACTCTGTTTGTAAAGTCTGCAAGTGGATATTCAGACTTCTTTGAGGCCTTCGTTGGAAACGGGATTTCTTCATATTATGCTAGACAGAAGAATTCTCAGTAACTTCCTTGTGTTGTGTGTATTCAACTGACAGAGTTGAACTTTCATTTAGAGAGAGCAGATTTGAAACACTGTTTTTGTGGAATTTGCAAGTGGAGATTTCAAGCGCTTTGGGGCCAAAGGCAGAAAACGAAATATCTTCGTATAAAAAGTAGACAGAATCATTCTCAGAAACTGCTCTGCGATGTGTGCGTTCAACTCTCCAGAGTTTAACTTTTCTTTTCATTCAGCAGTTTGGAAACACTCTGTTTGTAAAGTCTGCACGTGGATATTTTGACCATTTAGAGGCTTTCGTTGGAAACGGGTTTTTTTCTTGTAAGGCTAGACAGAAGAATTCCCAGTAACTTCCTTGTGTTGTGTGCATTAAACTCACATAGTTGAACGTTTCCTTAGACAGAGCTGAATTGAAACACGCTATTTGTGCAATTTGCAAGTGTAGATTTCAAGCGCTTTAAGGTCAATGGCAGAAAAGGAAATATCTTCGTTTCAAAACTAGACAGAATCATTCCCACAAACTGCGTTGTGATGTGTTCGTTCAACTCACAGAGTTTAAACTTTCTTTTCATAGAGCAGTTAGGAAACAGTCTGTTTGTCAATTCTGTAAGTGGATATTCTGACATCTTGTGGCCTTCGTTGGAAACGGGATTTCTTCATATTCTGCTAGACAGAAGAATTCTCAGTAACTTCCTTGTGTTGTGTGTATTCAACTCACAGAGTTGTACGATCCTTTACACAGAGCAGACTTGAAACACTCTTTTTGTGGAATTTGCAAGTGGAGATTTCAGCCGCTTTGAGGTCAATGGTAGAAAAGGAAATATCTTCGTATAAAGACTAGACAGAGTGATTCTCAGAAACTCCTTTGTGATGTCTGCGTTCAACTCACAGAGTTTAACCTTTCTTTTCATAGAGCAGTTAGGAAACACTCTGTTTGTAAAGTCTGCAGGTGCATATTCAGACCTCCTTGAGGCCTTAGTTGGAAACGGGATTTCTTCATATTCTGCTATACAGAAGAATTCTCAGTAACTTCCTTGTGTTGTGTGTATTCAACTCACAGAGTTGAACTTTCATTTACACAGAGCAGATTTGAAACACTCTTTTTGTGGAATTTGCAAATGGAGATTTCAAGCGCTTTGAGGCCAAAGGCAGAAAAGGAAATATCTTCGTTTCAAAAGTAGACAGAATCATTCTCAGAAACTGCTGCGTTATGTGTGCGTTCAACTCTCAGAGTTTAACTTTTCTTTTCATTCAGCGGTTTGGAAACACTCTGTTTGTAAAGTCTGTAAGTGGATATTTTGACCACTTAGAGGCCTTCGTTGGAAATGGTTTTTTGCATGTAAGGCTAGACAGAAGTATTCCCAGTAACTTCCTTGTGTTGTGTGCATTCAACTCACAGAGTTGAACGTTCCCTAGGACAGAGCAGGTTTGAAACACTCTATTTGTGCAATTTGCAAGTGTAGATTTCAAGCGCATTAAGGTCAATGGCAGAAAAGGAAATATCTTCGTTTCAAAACTAGACAGAATCATTCCCACAAACTGCGTTGTGATGTGTTCGGTCAACTCACAGAGTTTAACCTTTCTTTTCATAGAGCAGTTAGGAAACAGTCTGTTTGTCAATTCTGTAAGTGGATATTCTGACATCTTGTGGCCTTCGTTGGAAACGGGATTTCTTCATATTCTGCTAGACAGAAGAATTCTCAGTAACTTCCTTGTGTTGTGTGTATTCAACTCACAGAGTTGAACGATCCTTTACACAGAGCAGACTTGTAAAACTCTTTTTGTGGAATTTGCAAGTGGAGATTTCAGCCGCTTTGAAGTCAAAGGTAGAAAAGGAAATATCTTCCTATAAAAACTAGACAGAATGATTCTCAGAAACTCCTTTGTGATGTGTGCGTTCAACTCACAGAGTTTAACCTTTCTTTTCATAGAGCAGATAGGAAACACTCTGTTTGTAAAGTCTGCAAGTGGATATTCAGACCTCCTTGAGGCCTTCGTTGGAAACGGGATTTCTTCATATTATGCTAGACAGAAGAATTCTCAGTAACTTCCTTGTGTTGTGTGTATTCAACTGACAGAGTTGAACTTTCATTTAGAGAGAGAAGATTTGAAACACTGTTTTTGTGGAATTTGCAAGTGGAGATTTCAAGCGCTTTGGGGCCAAAGGCAGAAAAGGAAATATCTTCGTATAAAAACTAGACAGAATCATTCTCAGAAACTGCTGCGTGATGTGTGCGTTCAACTCTCAGAGTTTAGCTTTTCTTTTCATTCAGCGGTTTGGAAACACTCTGTTTGTAACGTCTGCACGTGGATATTTTGACCACTTAGAGGCCTTCGTTGGAAACGGGTTTTTTGCATGTAAGGCTAGACAGAAGAATTCCCAGTAACTTCCTTGTGTTGTGTGCATTCAACTCACAGAGTTGAACGTTCCCTTAGACAGAGCAGATTTGAAACACTCTATTTGTGCAATTTGCAAGTGTAGATTTCAAGCGCATTAAGGTCAATGGCAGAAAAGGAAATATCTTCGTTTCAAAATTAGACAGAATCATTCCCACAAACTGCGTTGTGATGTATTCGTTCAACTCACAGAGTTTAACCTTTCTGTTCATAGAGCAGTTAGGAAACACTCTGTTTGTAAAGTCTGTAAGTGGATATTCTGACATCTTGTGGCCCTTCGTTGGAAACGGGATTTCTTCATATTCTGCTAGACAGAAGAATTCTCAGTAACTTCCTTGTGTTGTGTGTATTCAACTCACAGAGTTGAAGGATCCTTTACAGAGAGCAGGCTAGAAAAACTCTTTTTGTCGAATTTGCAAGTGGAGATTTCAGCCGCTTTGAGGTCAATGGTAGAATAGGAAATATCTTCTTATAGAAACTAGACAGAATGATTCTCAGAAACTCCTTTGTGATGTGTGTGTTCAACTCACAGAGTTTAATCTTTCTTTTCATAGAGCAGTTAGTAAACACTCTGTTTATAAAGTCTGCAAGTGGATATTCAGACCCCTTTGAGGCCTTCGTTGGAAACGGGATTTCTTCATATTATGCTAGACAGAAGAAATCTCAGTAACTTCCTTGTGTTGTGTGTATTCAACTGACAGAGTTGAAGTTTCATTTAGACAGAGCAGATTTGAAACACTATTTTTGTGCAATTTGCAAGTGGAGATTTCAAGCGCTTTGGGGCCAAAGGCAGAAAAGGAAATATCTTCGTATAAAAACTAGACAGAATCATTATCAGAAACTGCTGCGTGATGTGTGCGTTCAACTCTCAGAATTTAACTTTTCTTTTCATTCAGCGGTTTGGAAACACTCTGTTTGTAAAGTCTGCACGTGGATATTTTGACCACTTAGAGGCCTTCGTTGGAAACGGGTTTTTTTCATGTAAGGCTAGACAGAAGATTTCCCAGTAACTTCCTTGTGTTGTGTACATTAAACTCACAGAGTTGAACGTTCCCTTAGACAGAGCAGATTTGAAACACTCTTTTTGTGCAATTGGCAAATGGAGATTTCAAGCGCTTTAAGGTCAATGGCAGAAAAGGAAATATCTTCGTTTCAAAACTAGACAGAATCATTCCCACAAACTGCGTTGTGATGTGCTCGTTCAACTCACAGAGTTTAACCTTTCTGTTCACAGAGCAGTTAGGAAACACTCTGTTTGTAAAGTCTGTAAGTGGATATTCTGACATCTTGTGGCCTTCGTTGGAAACGGGATTTCTTCATATTCTGCTAGACAGAAGAATTCTCAGTAACTTCCTTGTGTTCTGTGTATTCAACTCACAGAGTTGAACGATCCTTTACACAGAGCAGACTTGAAACACTCTTTTTGTGGAATTTGCAAGTGGAGATTTCAGCCGCTTTGGGGTCAATAGTAGAAAAGGAAATATCTTCGTAGAAAAACTAGACAGAATGATTCTCAGAAACTCCTTTGTGATGTGTGTGTTCAACTCACAGAGTTTAACCTTTCTTTTCATAGAGCAGTTAGTAAACACTCTGTTTATAAAGTCTGCAAGTGGATATTCAGACCCCTTTGAGGCCTTCGTTGGAAACGGGATTTATTCATATTATGCTAGACAGAAGAATTCTCAGTAACTTCCTTGTGTTGTGTGTATTCAACTGACAGAGTTGAACTTTCATTTAGAGAGAGCAGTTTTGAAACACTGTTTTTGTGGAATTTGCAAGTGGAGATTTCAAGCGCTTTGGGGCCAAAGGCAGAAAAGGAAACATCTTCGTATGAAAACTAGACAGAATCATTCTCAGAAAGTGCTCTGCGATGTGTGCGTTCAACTCTCAGAGTTTAACTTTGCTTTTCATTCAGCAGTTTGGAAACACTCTGTTTGTAAAGTCTGCACGTGGATAATTTGACCACTTAGAGGCCTTCGTTGGAAACGGGTTTTTTTCATGTAAGGCTAGACAGAAGAATTCCCAGTAACTTCCTTGTGTTGTGTACATTCAACTCACAGAGTTGAACGTTCCCTTAGACAGAGCAGATTTGAAACACTCTTTTTGTGCAATTGGCAAGTGGTGATTTCAGCCGCTTTGAGGTCAATGGTAGAAAAGGAAATATCTTCGTATAAAAACTAGACAGAATGATTCTCAGAAACTCCTTTGTGATGTGTGCGTTCAACTCACACAGTTTAACCTTTCTTTTCAGAGAGCAGTTAGGAAACACTCTGTTTGTAAAGTCTGCAAGTGGATATTCAGACCTCCTTGAGGCCTTCGTTGGAAACGGGATTTCTTCATATTATGCTAGACAGAAGAATTCTCATTAACTTCCTTGTGTTGTGTGTATTCAACTCACAGAGTTGAACGATCCTTTACACAGAGCAGACTTGTAACACTCTTTTTGTGGAATTTGCAAGTGGAGATTTCAGCCGCTTTGAAGTCAAAGGTAGAAAAGGAAATATCTTCCTATAAAAATTAGACAGAATGATTCTCAGAAACTCCTTTGTGATGTGTGTGTTCAACTCACAGAGTTTAACCTTTCTTTTCATAGAGCAGTTAGGAAACACTCTGTTTGTAAAGTCTGCAAGTGGATATTCAGACCTCTTTGAGGCCTTCATTGGAAACGGGCTTTTTTTCCTATAAGGCTAGACAGAAGAATTCCGAGTAACTTCCTTGTGTTGTGTGTGTTCAACTCACAGAGTTGAACTTTCATTTACACAGAGCAGATTTGAAACACTCTTTTTGTGGAATTTGCAAGTGGAGATTTCAAGCGCTTTGAGGCCAAAGGCAGAAAAGGAAATATCTCCGTTTCAAAACTAGACAGAGAATCATTCTCAGTAAACTGCTCTGCGATGTGTGCGTTCAACTCTCAGAGTTTAACTTTTCTTTTCATTCAGCAGTTTGGAAACACTCTGTTTGTAAAGTCTGCACGTGGATATTTTGACCACTTAGAGGCCTTCGTTGGAAACGGGTTTTTTTCCTGTAAGGCTAGACAGTAGAATTCCCAGTAACTTCCTTGTGTTGTGTACATTCAACTCACAGAGTTGAACGTTCCCTTAGACAGAGCAGATTTGAAACACTCTTTTTGTGCAATTGGCAAATGGAGATTTCAAGCGCTTTAAGGTCAATGGCAGAAAAGGAAATGTCTTCGTTTCAAAACTAGACAGAATCATTCCCACAAACTGCGTTGTGATGTGTTCGTTCAACTCACAGAGTTTAACGTTTCTTTTCATAGAGCAGTTAGGAAACAGTCTGTTTGTCAATTCTGTAAGTGGATATTCTGACATCTTGTGGCCTTCGTTGGAAACGGGATTTCTTCATATTCTGCTAGACAGAAGAATTCTCAGAATCTTCCTTGTGTTGTGTGTATTCAACTCACAGAGTTGAACGATCCTTTACACAGAGCAGACTTGAAACACTATTTTTGTGGAATTTGCAAGTGGAGATTTCAGCCGCTTTGAGGTCCATGGTAGAAAAGGAAATATCTTCGTATAAAAACTAGACAGAATGATTCTCAGAAACTCCTTTGTGATGTGTGCATTCAACTTACAGAGTTTAACCTTTCTTTTCATAGAGCAGTTAGGAAACACTCTGTTTGTAAAGTCTGCAAGTGGATACTCAGACCTCTTTGAGGCCTTCGTTGGAAACGGGATTTCTTAATATTATGCTAGACAGAAGAATTCCCAGTAACTTCCTTGTGTTGTGTGTGTTCAACTCACAGAGTTGAACTTTCATTTACACAAAGCAGATTTGAAACACTCTTTTTGTGGAATTTGCAAGTGGAGATTTCAAGCGCTTTGAGGCCAAAGGCAGAAAAGGAAATATCTTCGTTTCAAAACTAGACAGAATGATTCTCAGAAACTGCTCTGCGATGTGTGCGTTCAACTCTCAGAGTTTAACTTTTCTTTTCATTCAGCAGTTTGGAAACACTCTGTTTGTAAAGTCTGCACGTGGATATTTTGACCATTTAGAGGCCTTCGTTGGAAACGGGTTTTTTTCTTGTAAGGCTAGACAGAAGAATTCCCAGTAACTTCCTTGTGTTGTGTACATTCAACTCACAGAGTTGAACGTTCCCTTAGACAGAGCAGATTTGAAACACTCTTTTTGTGCAATTGGCAAGTGGTGATTTCAGCTGCTTTGAGGTCAATGGCAGAAAAGGGAATATCTTCGTATAAAAACTAGACAGAACGATTCTCAGAATCTTCCTTGTGATGTGTGCGTTCAACTCACAGAGTTTAACCTTTCTTTTCATAGAGCAGTTAGGAAACACTCTGTTTGTAAACTCTGCAAGTGGATATTCAGACCTCATTGAGGCCTTCTTTGGAAACGGGATTTCTTCATACTATGCTAGACAGAAGAATTCTCAGTAACTTCCTTGTGTTGTGTGTATTCAACTCACAGAGTTGAACGATCCTTTACACAGAGCAGACTTGAAACACTCTTTTTGTGGAATTTGCAAGTCGAGATTTCAGCCGCTTTGAGGTCAATGGTAGAAAAGGAAATATCTTCGTATAAAAACTAGACAGAATGATTCTCAGAAACTGCTTTGTGATGTGTGCGTTTAACTCACAGAGTTTAACCTTTCTTTTCATAGAGCAGTTAGGAAACACTCTGTTTGTAAAGTCTACAAGTGTATATTCAGACCTCTTTGAGGCCTTCGTTGGAAACGGGTTTTTTTCATATAAGGCTAGACAGAAGAATTCTCAGTAACTTCCTTGTGTTGAGTGTATTAAACTCACAGAGTTCAATGATCCTTTACACAGAGCGGACTTGAAACACTCTTTTTCTGGAATTTGCAAGTGGAGATTTCAGCCGCGTTGAGGTCAATGGTAGAAAAGGGAAATATCTTCGTATAAAAACTAGACAGAATGATTCTCAGAAACTCCTTTATGATGTGTGCGTTCAACTCACAGAGTTTAACCTTTCTTTTCATAGAGCAGTTAGGAAACACTCTGTTTGTAAAGTCTGCAAGTGGATATTTTCACCTCTTTGAGGCCTTCGTTGGAAACGGGTTTTTTTTCATGTAAGGCTAGACAGAAGAATTCTCAGTAACTTCCCTGTGTTGTGTGTTTTCAACTGACAGAGTTGAACTTTCATTTAGAGAGAGCAGATTTGAAACACTGTTTTTGTGGAATTTGCAAGTGGAGATTTCAAGCGTTTTGGAGCCAAAGGCAGAAAAGGAAATATCTTCGTATAAAAACTAGACAGAATCATTCTCAGAAACTGCTGCGTGATGTGTGCGTTCAACTCTCAGAGTTTAACTTTTCCTTTCATTCAGCGGTTTGGAAACACTCTGTTTGTAAAGTCTGCACGTGGATATTTTGAACACTTAGAGGCCTTCGTTGGAAACGGGTTTTTTTCATGTAAGGCTAGACAGAAGAATTTCCAGTAACTTCCTTGTGTTGTGTGCATTCAACTCACAGAGTTGAACGTTCCCTTAGACAGAGCAGATTTGAAACACTCTAGTTGTGCAATTTGCAAGTGTAGATTTCAAGCGCTTTAAGGTCAATGGCAGAAAAGGAAATATCTTCGTTTCAAAACTAGACAGAATGATTCTCAGAAAATCTTTTGTGATGTGTGCGTTCAACTCACAGAGTTTAACTTTTCTTCTCATAGAGCAGTTAGGAAAGACTCTGTTTGTAAAGTCTGCAAGTGGATATTCAGACCTCTTTGAGGCCTTCGTTAGAAACGGGATTTCTTCATATTATGCTAGACAGAATAATTCTCAGTAACTTCCTTGTGTTGTGTGTATTCAACTCACAGAGTTGAACGATCCTTTACAGAGAGCAGGCTTGAAACACTCTATTTGTCGAATTTGCAAGTGGAGATTTCAGCCGCTTTGAGGTCAATGGTAGAATAGGAAATATCTTCTTATAGAAACTAGACAGAGTGATTCTCAGAAACTCCTTTGTGATGTCTGCGTTCAACTCACAGAGTTTAACCTTTCTTTTCATAGAGCATTTAGGAAACACTCTGTTTGTAAAGTCTGCAAGAGGATATTCAGACCTCCTTGAGGCCTTCGTTGGAAACGGGATTTCTTCATATTCTGCTATACAGAAGAATTCCCAGTAACTTCCTTGTGTTGTGTGTGTTCAACTCACAGAGTTTGAACTTTCATTTACACAGAGCAGATTTGAAACACTCTTTTTGTGGAATTTGCAAATGGAGATTTCAAGCGCTTTGAGGCCAAAGGCAGAAAAGGAAATATCTTCGTATAAAAACTAGACAGAATCATTCTCAGAAACTGCTCTGCGATGTGTGCGTTCAACTCTCAGAGTTTAACTTTTCTTTTCATTCAGCAGTTTGGAAACCCTCTGTTTGTAAAGTCTGCACGTGGATAATTTGACCACTTAGAGGCCTTCGTTGGAAACGGGTTTTTTTCATGTAAGGCTAGACAGAAGAATTCCCAGTAACTTCCTTGTGTTGTGTACATTCAACTCACAGAGTTGAACGTTCCCTTAGACAGAGCAGATTTGAAACACTCTTTTTGTGCAATTGGCAAGTGGAGATTTCAAGCGCTTTGAGGTCAATGGCAGAAAAGGAAATATCTTCGTTTCAAAACTAGACAGAATCATTCCCACAAACTGCGTTGTAATGTGTGCGTTCAACTCACAGAGTTTAACCTTTCTTTTCATAGAGCAGTTAGGAAACACTCTGTTTGTAAAGTCTGCAAGTGGATATTCAGACCTCTTTGAGGCCTTCGTTGGAAACGGGATTTCTTCATATTCTGCTAGACAGAAGAATTCTCAGTAACTTCCTTGTGTTGTGTGTATTCAACTCACAGAGTTGAACGATCCTTTACACAGAACAGACTTGAAACACTCTTTTTGTGGAATTTGCAAGTGCAGATTTCAGCCGCTTTGAGGTCAATGGTAGAATAGGAAATATCTTCCTATAGAAACTAGACAGAATGATTCTCAGAAACTCCTTTGTGATGTGTGCGTTCAAGTCGCAGAGTTTAACCTTTCTTTTCTTGGAGCAGTTAGGAAACACTCTGTTTGTAAAGTCTGCACGTGGATATTCAGACCTCTTTGAGGCCTTCGTTGGAAACGGGATTTCTTCATATTCTGCTAGACAGAAGAATTCCCAGTAACTTCCTTGTGTTGTGTGTGTTCAACTCACAGAGTTGAACTTTCATTTTCACAGAGCAGATTTGAAACACTCTTTTTGTGGAATTTGCAAGTGGAGATTTCAAGCGCTTTGAGGCCAAAGGCAGAAAAGGAAATATCTTCGTTTCAAAACTAGACAGAATCATTCTCAGAAACTGCTCTGCGATGTGTGCGTTCAACTCTCAGAGTTTAACTTTTCTTTTCATTCAGAAGTTTGGAAACACTCTGTTTGTAAAGTCTGCACGTGGATATTTTGACCACTTAGAGGCCTTCGTTGGAAACGGGTTTTTTTCCTGTAAGGCTAGACAGAAGAATTCCCAGTAACTTCCTTGTGTTGTGTACATTCAAATCACAGAGTTGAACGTTCCCTTAGACAGAGCAGACTTGTAACACTCTTTTTGTGGAATTTTCAAGTGGAGATTTCAGCCACTTTGAAGTCAAAGGTAGAAAAGGAAATAACTTCCTATAAAAACTAGACAGAATCATTCCCACAAACTGCGCTGTGATGTGTTCGTTCAACTCACAGAGTTTAACCTTTCTGTTCATAGAGCAGTTAGGAAACACTCTGTTTGTAAAGTCTGTAAGTGGATATTCTGACATCTTGTGGCCTTCGTTGGAAACGGGATTTCTTCATATTATGCTAGACAGAAGAATTCTCAGTAACTTCCTTGTGTTGTGTGTATTCAACTCACAGAGTTGACCGATCCTTTACACAGAGCAGACTTGTAACACTCTTTTTGTGGAATTTGCAAGTGGAGATTTCAGCCGCTTTGAAGTCAAAGGTAGAAAAGGGAATATCTTCATATAAAAACTAGACAGAATGATTCTCAGAAACTCCTTTGTGATGTGTGCGTTCAAGTCACAGAGTTTAACCTTTCTTTTCATAGAGCAGTTAGGAAACACTCTGTTTGTAAAGTCTGCAACTGGAGATTCAGCCCTCTTTGAGGCCTTCGTTGGAAACGGGATTTCTTCATATTCTGCTAGACAGAAGAATTCCCAGTAACTTCCTTGTGTTGTGTGTGTTCAACTCACAGAGTTAAACTTTCATTTACACAGAGCAGATTTGAAACACTCTTTTTGTGGAATTTGCAAGTGGAGATGTCAAGCGCTTTGAGGCCAAAGGCAGAAAAGGAAATATCTTCGTTTCAAAACTAGACAGAATCATTCTCAGAAACTGCTCTGCGATGTGTGCGTTCAACTCTCAGAGTTTAACTTTTCTTTTCATTCAGCAGTTTGGAAACACTCTGTTTGTAAAGTCTGCACGTGGATATTTTGACCACTTAGAGGCCTTCGTTGGAAACGTGTTTTTTTCCTGTAAGCCTAGACAGAAGAATTCCCAGTAAATTCCTAGTGTTGTGTGCATTCAACTCACAGAGATGAACGTTCCCTTAGACAGAGCAGATTTGAAACACTCTGTGCAATTTGCAAGTGTAGATTTCAAGCGCTTTAATGTCAATGGCAGAAAAGGAAATATCTTCGCTTCAAAACTAGACAGAATCATTCCAACAAACTGCGTTGTGATGTGCTCTTTCAACTCATAGAGTTTAACCTTTCTGTTCATAGAGCAGTTAGGAAACACTCTGTTTCTAAAGTCTGTAAGTGGATATTCTGACATCTTGTGGCCTTCGTTGGAAACGGGATTTCTTCATATTCTGCTACACAGAAGAATTCTCAGTAACTTCCTTGTGTTGTGTGTATTCAACTCACAGAGTTGAACGATCCTTTACAGAGAGCATACTTGAAACACTCTTTTTGTGGAATTTGCAAGTGGAGATTTCAGCCGCTTTGAGGTCAATGGTAGAATAGGAAATATCTTCCTATAGAAACAAGACAGAATGATTCTCTGAAACTCCTTTGTGATGTGTGCGTTCAACTCACAGAGTTTAACCTTTCTTTTCATAGAGCAGTTAGGAAACACTCTGTTTGTAAAGTCTGCAAGTGGATATTCAGACCTCCTTGAGGCCTTCGTTGGAAACGGGATTTCTTCATATTATGCTAGACAGAAGAATTCTCAGTAACTTCCCTTGTGTTGTGTGTATTCAACTGACAGAGTTGAACTTTCATTTAGAGAGAGCAGATTTGAAACACTGTTTTTGTGGAATTTGCAAGTGGAGATTTCAAGCGCTTTGGGGCCAAAGGCAGAAAAGGAAATATCTTCGTATAAAAACTAGACAGAATCATTCTCAGAAACTGCTGCGTGATGTGTGCGTTCAACTCTCAGAGTTTAACTTTTCTTTTCATTCAGCGGTTTGGAAACACTCTGTTTGTAAAGTCTGCACGTGGAAATTTTGACCACTTAGAGGCCTTCATGGAAACGGGTTTTTTTCATGTAAGGCTAGACAGAAGAATTCCCAGTAACTTCCTTGTGTTGTGTGCATTCAACTCACAGAGTTGAACGTTCCTTTAGACAGAGCAGATTTGAAACACTCTATTTGTGCAATTTGCAAGTGTAGTTTTCAAGCTCTTTAAGGTCAACGGCAGAAAAGGAAATATCTTGGTTTCAAAACTAGACAGAATCATTCCCACAAACTGCGTTGTCATGTGTTCGTTCAACTCACAGAGTTTAACCTTTCTTTTCATAGAGCAGTTAGGAAACAGTCTGTTTGCAAATTCTGTAAGTGGATATTCTGACATCTTGTGGCCTTCGTTGGAAACGGCATTTCTTCATATTCTGCTAGACAGAAGAATTCTCAGAATCTTGCTTGTGTTGTGTGTATTCAACTCACAGAGTTGAACGATCCTTTACACAGAGCAGACTTGAAACACTCTTTTTGTGGAATTTGCAAGTGGAGATTTCAGCCGCTTTGAGGTCCATGGTAGAAAAGGAAATATCTTCGTCATAAAAACTAGACAGAATGATTCTCAGAAACTTCTTTCTGATGTGTGCGTTCAACTCACAGAGTTTAACCTTTCTTTTCATAGAGCAGTTAGGAAACACTCTGTTTGTAAAGTCTGCAAGTGGATATTCAGACCTCTTTGAGGCCTTCGTTGGAAACGGGATTTCTTCATACTGTGCTAGACAGAAGAATTCCCAGTAACTTGCCTTGTGTTGTGTGTGTTCAACTCACAGAGTTGAACTTTCATTTACACAGAGCAGATTTGAAACACTCTTTTTGTGGAATTTGCAAATGGAGATTTCAAGCGCTTTGAGGCCAAAGACAGAAAAGGAAATATCTTCGTATAAAAACTAGACAGAATCATTCTCAGAAACTGCTCTGTGATGTGTGCGTTCAACTCTCAGAGTTTAACTTTTCTTTTCATTCAGCAGTTTGGAAACACTCTGTTTGTAAAGTCTGCACGTGCATAATTTGACCACTTAGAGGTCTTCGATGGAAACGGGTTTTTTTCATGTAAGGCTAGACAGAAGAATTCCCAGTAACTTCCTTGTGTTGTGTGCATTCAACTCACAGAGTTGAACGTTCCCTTAGACAGAGCAGATTTGAAACACTCTATTTGTGCAATTTGCAAGTGTAGATTTCAAGCGCTTTAAGGTCAATGGCAGAAAAGGAGATATCTTCGTTTCAAAACTAGACAGAATCATTCCCACAAACTGCGTTGTGATGTGTTCGTTCAACTCACAGAGTTTAACCTTTCTCTTCATAGAGCAGTTAGGAAACACTCTGTTTGTGAAGTCTGTAAGTGGATATTCTGACATCTTGTGGCCTTCGTTGGAAACGGGATTTCTTCATATTCTGCTAGACTGAAGAATTCTCAGTAACTTCCTTGTGTTGTGTGTATTGAACTCACAGTGTTGAACGATCCTTTACACAGAGCAGACTTGAAACACTCTTTTTGTGGAATTTGCAAGTGGAGATTTCAGCCGCTTTGAGGTCAACAGTAGAAAAGGAAATATCTTCGTAGAAAAACTAGACAGAATGATTCTCAGAAACTCCTTTGTGATGTGTGCGTTCAACTCACAGAGTTTAACCTTTCTGTTCATAGAGCAGTTAGGAAACACTCTGTTTGTAAAGTCTGCAAGAGGATATTCAGACCTCCTTGAGGCCTTCGTTGGAAACGGGATTTCTTCATATTCTGCTAGACAGAAGAATTCTCAGTAACTTCCTTGTGTTGTGTGTATTCAACTGACAGAGTTGAACTTTCATTTAGAGAGAGCAGATTTATAACACTGTTTTTGTGGAATTTGCAAGTGGAGATTTCAAGCGCTTTGGGGCCAAAGGCAGAAAAGGAAATATCTTCGTATAAAAACTAGACAGAATCATTCTCAGAAACTGATGCGTGATGTGTGCGTTCAACTCTCAGAGTTTAACTTTTCTTTTCATTCAGCGGTTTGGAAACACTCTGTTTGTAAAGTCTGCACGTGGATATTTTGACCACTTAGAGGCCTTCGTTGGAAACGGGTTTTTTTCATGTAAGGCTAGACAGAAGAATTCCCAGTAACTTCCTTGTGTTGTGTGCATTCCACTCACAGAGTTGAACGTTCCCTTAGACAGAGCAGATTTGAAACACTCTATTTGTGCAATTTGCAAGTGTAGATTTCAAGCGCTTTAAGGTCAATGGCAGAAAAGGAAATATCTTCGTTTCAAAACTAGACAGAAACATTCCCACAAACTGCGTTGTGATGTGTTCGTTCAACTCACAGAGTTTAACTTTTCTGTTCATAGAGCAGTTAGGAAACACTCTGTTTGTAAAGTCTGCAATTGGATATTCAGACCTCCTTGAGGCATTCGTTGGAAACGGGATTTCTTCATATTCTGCTAGACAGAATAATTCTCAGTAACTTCCTTGTGTTCTGTGTATTCAACTCACAGAGTTGAACGATCCTTTACAGAGAGCAGACTTTAAACACTCTTTTTGTGGAATTTGCAAGTGGAGATTTCAGCCGCTTTGAGGTCAATGGTAGAAAAGGAAATATCTTCGTATAAAGACTAGACAGAATGATTCTCAGAAACTCCTTTGAGATGTGTGCGTTCAACTCACAGAGTTTAACCTTTCTTTTCATAGAGCAGTTAGGAAACACTCTGTTTGTAAAGTCTGCAAGTGGATATTCAGACCTCTTTGAGGCCTTCGTTGGAAACGGGTTTTTTTCATATAAGGCTAGACAGAAGAATTCTCAGTAACTTCCTTGTGTTGTGTGTATTCAACTCACAGAGTTGAATGATCCTTTACACAGAGCAGACTTGAAACACTCTTTTTGTGGAATTTGCAAGTGGAGATTTCAGCCGCTTTGAGGTCAATGGTAGAAAAGTAAATATCTTCCTATAAAGACTAGACAGAATCATTCTCAGAAACTGCTCTGCGATGTGTGCGTTCAACTCTCAGAGTTTAACTTTTCTTTTCATTCAGCAGTTTGGAAACACTCTGTTTGTAAAGTCTGCACGTGGATAACTTGACCACTTAGAGGCCTTCGTTGGAAACGGGTTTTTTTCCTGTAAGGCTAGACAGAAGAATTCCCAGTAACTTACTTGTGTTGTGTACATTCAACTCACAGAGTTGAACGTTCCCTTAGACAGAGCAGATTTGAAACACTCTTTTTGTGCAATTGGCAAGTGGTGATTTCAGCTGCTTTGAGGTCAATGGTAGAAAAGGGAATATCTTCGTATAAAAACTAGACAGAATCATTCCCACAAACTGCGTTGTGATGTGTTCGTTCAACTCACAGAGTTTAACCTTTCTTTTCATAGAGCAGTTAGGAAACAGTCTGTTTGTAAATTCTGTAAATGGATATTCTGACATCTTGTGGCCTTCGTTGGAAACTGGATTTCTTCATACTATGCTAGACAGAAGAATTCTCAGTAACTTCCTTGTTTTGTGTGTATTCAACTCACAGAGTTGAACGATCCTTTACACAGAGCAGACTTGAATCACTCTTTTTGTGGAATTTGCAAGTGGAGATTTCAGCCGCGTTGAGGTCAATGGTAGAAAAGGAAATATCTTCGTATAAAAACTAGACAGAATGATTCTCAGAAACTCCTTTGTGATGTGTGCGTTCAACTCACAGAGTTTAACCTTTCTTTTCATAGAGCAGTTAGGAAACACTCTGTTTGTAAAGTCTGCAAGTGGATATTCAGACCTACTTTGAGGCCTTCGTTGGAAACGGGTTTTTTTCATATAAGGCTAGACAGAAGAATTCTCAGTAACTTCCTTGTGTTGTGTGTATTCAACTGACAGAGTTGAACTTTCATTTAGAGAGAGCAGATTTGAAACACTGTTTTTGTGGAATTTGCATGTGGAGATTTCAAGCGCTTTGGGGCCAAAGGCAGAAAAGGAAATATCTTCGTATAAAAACTAGACAGAATCATTCTCAGAAACTGCTCTGCGATGTGTGCGTTCAACTCTCAGAGTTTAACTTTTCTTTTCATTCAGCAGTTTGGAAACACTCTGTTTGTAAAGTCTGCACGTGGATAACTTGACCACTTAGAGGCCTTCGTTGGAAAAGGGTTTTTATCCTGTAAGGGTAGACAGAAGAATTCCCAGTAACTTCCTTGTGTTGTGTGCATTCAACTCACAGATTTGAACGTTCCCTTAGACAGAGCAGATTTGAAACACTCTATTTGTGCAATTGGCAAGTGTAGATTTCAAGCGCTTTAAGGTCAATGGCAGAAAAGGAAATATCTTCGTTTCAAAACTAGACAGAATCATTCCCACAAAATGCGTTGTGATGTGTTCGTTCAACTCACAGAGTTTAAGCTTTCTGTTCATAGAGCAGTTAGGAAACACTCTGTTTGTAAAGTCTGTAAGTGGATATTCTGATATCTTGTGGCCTTCGTTGGAAACGGGATTTCTTCATATTATGCTAGACAGAAGAATTCCCAGTAACTTCCTTGTGTTGTGTGCATTCAACTCACAGAGTTGAACGTTCCCTTAGACAGAGCAGATTTGAAACACTCTATTTGTGCAATTTGCAAGTGTAGATTTCAAGCGCTTTATGGTCAACGGCAGAAAAGTAAATATCTTCGTATAAAGACTAGACAGAATGATTCTCAGAAACTCCTTTGTGATGTGTGCGTTCAACTCACAGAGTTTAACCTTTCTTTTCATAGAGCAGTTAGGAAACACTCTGTTTGTAAAGTCTGCAAGTGGATATTCAGACCTCCTTGAGGCCTTCGTTGGAAGCGGGATTTCTTCATATTCTGCTAGACAGAAGAATTCTCAGTAACTTCCTTGTGTTGTGTGTATTCAACTGACAGAGTTGAACTTTCATTTCGAGAGAGCAGATTTGAAACACTGTTTTTGTGGAATTTGCAAGTGGAGATTTCAAGCGCTTTGGGGCTAAAGGCAGAAAAGGAAATATCTTCGTATAAAAACTAGACAGAATAATTCTCAGAAACTGCTGCGTGATGTGTGCGTTCAACTCTCAGAGTTTAACTTTTCTTTTCATTCAGCGGTTTGGAAACACTCTGTTTGTAAAGTCTGCACGTGGATATATTGACCACTTAGAGGCCTTCGTTGGAAACGGGTTTTTGCATGTAAGGCTAGACAGAAGAATTCCCAGTAACTTCCTTGTGTTGTGTGCATTCAACTCACAGAGTTGAACGTTCCCTTAGACAGAGCAGATTTCAAACACTCTATTTGTTCAATTTGCAAGTGTAGATTTCAAGCGCTTTAAGGTCAATGGCAGAAAAGGAAATATCTTCGTTTCAAAACTAGACAGAATCATTCCCACAAACTGGGTTGTGATGTGTTCGTTCAACTCACAGAGTTTAACCTTTCTTTTCATAGAGCAGTTAGGAAACAGTCTGTTTGTCAATTCTGTAAGTGGATATTCTGACATCTTGTGGCCTTCGTTGGAAACGGGATTTCTTCATATTCTCCTAGACAGAAGAATTCTCAGTAACTTCCTTGTGTTGTGTGTATTCAACTCACAGAGTTGAACGATCCTTTACACAGAGCAGACTTGAAACACTCTTTTTGTGGAATTTGCAAGTGGAGATTTCAGCCGCTTTGAGTTCAATGGTAGAATAGGAAATATCTTCCTATGGAAACTAGACAGAATGATTCTCAGAAACTCCTTTGTGATGTGTGCGTTCAACTCACAAGAGTTTAACCTTTCTGTTAATAGAGCAGTTAGGAAACACTCTGTTTGTAAAGTCTGCAAGTGGATATTCAGACCTCCTTGAGGCCTTCTTTGGAAACGGGATTTCTTCATATTCTGCTAGACAGAAGAATTCTCAGAAACTTCCTTGTGTTGTGTGTATTCAACTCACAGAGTTGAACGATCCTTTACACAGAGCAGACTTGAAACACTCTTTTTGTGGAATTTGCAAGTGGAGATTTCAGCCGCTTTGAGGTCCATGGTAGAATAGGAAATATCTTCCTATAGAAACTAGACAGAATCATTCTCAGAAACTGCTCTGCGATGTGTGCGTTCAACTCTCAGACTTTAACTTTTCTTTTCATTCAGCAGTTTGGAAACACTCTGTTTGTAAAGTCTGCACGTGCATAATTTGACCACTTAGAGGCCTTCGTTGGAAACGGGTTTTTTTCATGTAAGGCTAGACAGAAGAATTCCCAGTAACTTCCTTGTGTTGTGTGCATTCAACTCACAGAGTTGAACGTTCCCTTAGACAGAGCAGATTTGAAATACTCTATTTGTGCAATTTGCAAGTGTAGTTTTCAAGCTCTTTAAGGTCAACGGCAGAAAAGGAAATATCTTGGTTTCAAAACTAGACAGAATCATTCCCAGAAACTGCGTTGTGATGTGTTCGTTCAACTCACAGAGTTTAACCTTTCTGTTCATAGAGCAGTTAGGAAACACTCTGTTTGTAAAGTCTGTAAGTGGATATTCTGACGTACTTGTGGCCT